>NC_000018.10:48222577-48523244 GCF_000001405.40 Homo sapiens | reverse complement strand
CTAAGAATATTACCTGCAGTAAGTCTTTTTGTTGTTGTTGTTTGTTCTGAGACAGTGGATCGCTCTGTTGCCCAGCTGGAGTGCGTTGATACGATAATGGCTAACAGCAGCCTCAATCTCCTGGGCTCAAGTGATCTTCCCACCTCAGCTTTCCAAGTAGCTGGGACCACTGGTCGTTGCCACCATGCCCAGCTAATTTTTTAATTTTTTGTAGAGACAGAGTCTTTCTATATTGCCCAGGCTGGTCTTGAACTCCTGAGCTCGAGTGATTCTCCTGCCTCAGCCTCCCACAGTTCTGGGATTACGGGTGTCAGCCACCCCACCTGGCCTGCGGTACCTATTTTAATCTTCACTGCAACGCAAGGAGCTAGGCACCAATATTATCTTCATTTTACAGATGAGAAACCCAAGACTTGAAAAGATTAAATTACTTGCCCAAAGTAACTCAGGTAGTTAGGACTCAAAATCCAAGCATTAGGACTCCATACTCTTAAATACTGCAGGATACACCCTCCTCTAAATACGTGTAGAATGTAGGGATAAGTGCTTTTCGTGAGCTGTATGTGCATTGCTAAAACTTAAGTGTTTCTAGGGGTGAAAAAGAGGGTGAAATAAAGCCCAGAGATTCACATTTGGAGGCCAGGAAATAGCTTATCTCCCAATATATTAGTGAATTCTATGAATATTTACAGCCTTGGGTTTACTGTGAGCTCAGTACTGTGTTAATTCACGTGGGGAAGCAAAGCTAGACAAGAAGATGGTGTGTTTCCTGCCTTGAGGACTTGCCAGTGTGGCGGACACATGCAGTGACACAAGGGCAAGGACAGAGAACAGCTTCAGGTGGAGTCTGATGACCAGGGAGGACAGTCAGTGCTGCTGAGAGAGGACTTGAGTGGCTCTGGGTGAGGGGTGGTGGTCAGAAAGGAGTTCACAGAGCACAGAGCACGGAACAGCAAGACCTTGCTGTCTTTGATGACAGCAAGACCTCCTGGCTTGGACTTCTCTGTAGGTCTTAACCAATGCTCCACGGAGTTGGCTGGAAGGCAACTCGTGTGATGCTGGATTTCTGCAGCAGTGCTCCCATCTTCATTTCTATGGCTTAAAAAGAAAGCTGGGGTTCTCTGGTTGGGTTGAGACAGGGAGGAAGGCTGTTCTCCCAGCCTGAAAGAGCTGCCTCTGTTGCCCCGTGTCCCTGTGACCTTCTGTGCTGTTTGGAGAAAGGAGGCTGTGTGAGTCTCCGCATAATGGAGACTGAAGGGATGCTGGCTTTTGAAAGCCCTCACCTCTCCATTCTCTCCCTGGGGAAACTGGGGGATAATTGGGGATTATATGCAGCCTCTAGGACACAGGGCCCTTTCAGCATGACTGTCTCCTGGGATTGGCTGTATTTGTGTCGACTGCAATTTTCCCTGGACAAGGGAAGGGAGCAGAGCAGGCCCTGTGCGGCCTTTTCAGAGCTGGGAATTGTACCTGGGCTTGGGGACTGCGGTAACATTGACAGTGATACAAAGCTGGTAACAGTGGAGGCTGCAACAATGACCACAGAGTGTAATCTTAGGACTAAACTAATTTCTTCTTCCCCCAGTACAGGCTGTGCAAATGAATGTGAACATGGTTGCCTGCCAGCATTGCACTCTGCTCTTGTAAAGTGGGGCACACCTGACCGTGGTTTCTCCACCTTGGGTACCTTCTTCCTCCTCTCCTTTTCCCAGGTGTCAGCACCCTTGGACCTTCTCCCCATCCCTTCTCTATGAAAAGCTGCACTCAGGAAGAGCATTCTCATCCATCATTATAGCTGTGCAGTAGAAGGTGGTATTCTGAGCAGGAACCAAGGGGCTGAGGGTCTAGTGCTGGCTTTGGCACTACCTGGCTTTATAAACTTGAGCAAGTTCCTGTCACCCTTCTCTAATTCTCATTTCCTCATGAATAATGTCAAGGAGTGGGGGCAAGGAGGGATTAGGTCAGTGATTCTCAGTCTTGGTTGTACACTGGAACAATCTGGGAAGCTTTAAAACTACCAGTATCCAGGATCCATAACAGCCAGTTAAATAGGAATATCTGGGGGCAGAGCCAAGGCATCAATGTATTTTAAAAGTCTCCCAGGAGGTTCTGATGTGAAGCCAGGCTTGAGAACCCCAGATGTGATGATTTCTAGGATCGTGATTATAGATGACTTTTAGATTACAAATCCCTGGATTAGCCTTACCAATGATATCAGCACTTTATATATTATTTCTAATGGTGGAATTTAAGTACAGTTGACCCTTTAACCATGTGGGGTTCGGCGTGCCAACAGCCTTATGCAGTTGAAAATCTGCGTATAACTTTTGTGTTTTGGGGGGCTTTTTGTTTTTTTGAGACTGAGTCTTGCTCTGTCATTAAGCTGTACTACAGTGGCACAATCAGGGTTCACTGCAGCTTCAACCACTGAGCTTAAGTGATTCTTCCACCTCAGCCTCCCAAGTAGCTGGGACCACAGGTGCGTGCCACCATGCCTGGCTAGTAACTTTTGGCTCCTCAAACACTTAAGTACTAATAGCCTACTGGTGAGTAGAAACCTACTGATAACATAAACTAGCAATTAACACATATTTTGTATGTTATAGGTATTATATACTGTATTCTTACAATAAAGTAAGCTAGAGAAAAGAAAATGTTATTAAGAAAATCGTAAGGAAGAGAAAATATATTCACTATTCGTTAAGTGAAAGTGGATCATCAAAGAGGTCTTTATCCTCATCGTTTTCACATTGAGTGGCTAAAGACAGGGAAAAAGAGAAGGGGTTGGTCTTGCTGTCTCAGGGGTGGCAGAGGTAGAAGAAAATCTGTGCATAAGTGGACCTGCATAGTTGAAACCCATGTTGTTCAAGGGTTAACTGTACTGATTTCTTTTGTAGGCAAAAGGTGGTATCATTTTTGTGAAGCGTCTTTCTAGACATCTAAGAACTGTGACATTCACAGAGTGGCCCTTTCAGAGTGGCTCTGACTACAATCAGCCTCATTAGTTTCAAAACTCCCAGTTGCCTTGCGGGGTAAGGTGAAAGGCACTCAGCATATTCCCCAGCATTCTCTAGGCATGGAAAGAGGAGGTCTTACCTGCAGGCAATAGAGGCACTCACGCAAGTATCATCAGTCACTTGATACTAATCAGCAAGAGATTCTCACACCGATCGACAAGAAAGAGTTGGAAGTAGGTAATTTTAAATATATATATGGAGAGTTTATTTGGGCCAAGTTTGAGGACATCAACCTGGGGACATAGATTTATGCCCTGAATATTTGCTCTAGTGGGTAGATGTGATGGTGAGTGTGGAGAAGTAGGAAATAGGTTCAGGATATGATTCATTGCCCAGGCCGAGTTAGCCAAGGGATACACTGGTATAGAGGCTCTGAGCAGCTGGAAAGAGGGTCTTAGTACCTTAGAATAGCAAAATTCAGAGGGTCCTAGAGGGATGTTAGGATAGCACCAAAGAGACATTCTATTTGTTTCCCTAAGGTCTGGCTCTGGGTGTAAGCTCCTATAAGGTAATCTATGATTTTATATCTTTGTTTCCTCATTAACTAAACTTGTGTTTATGCAACTTGTGTGATGAGCTATGAGGGGCACACAGGTGTGTACCCTAAGGTCTGAGTCACCTGCTTTGACTCAGATCCATAATACCTTTGCTGGTTCTTTGATTGTTTTCTGTAGATTTCCTCCTTTCCCCAGTGGGATTATCAGCTTTGAGCAGGCACGAATCTTCTCTGTTGCTTCTCAGGTGCTAATCAGTGCCCAGCCCAGGATGTTTGATAAATGCTTATTTATTTACTTCGTTGTAGCCCCCAAATGGGAGCCTATATTCTGGACATGATAATCCAAAGCTCCTAATATGAACATTAATTCATTCAACAAATATTTATTGAGTCCCAGGGACTAGACACTATATAACACTTCGGGAAGGGATGGATTCTTGTCATAATTTCAGGTTTGACAACCCCTTTCTTCAACTGAATGTTCTCATAGTCAGGGATTGGATTGTGTATTTCCTTGTATTCTTCACAAAGCCTAGTGTTTCTTTGCATATATGAGGCAGAACCTCAGTAAAAGTTTTTAAATGACTGAAAGAATAAATGAGTTTATTTAGCACTTATTAAATCCTCACAGCCTATGCTATATGCTGTGAGGCATATAAAAAAAAGAATAGACATGGAAGTCCTTAAGGAGTTTAAAATCGCATGGGGGAGTTTGTCAGACCTTCTTATGCATCACTGTAGATCCTCTACGCCTCGCTGCCTCTTATTTTAGCCATTGCTAAAGTGAGCTGTTCTAAAGGGCCTCAGCCAGCTTCCTATGGGACCAACCTAACTGTGGTGCCTCCAACTCATGCCCTATACCTGGTACCACCCTTAGATCCAGGCAAGCAGGACCCAGGCATCGACCTGAGCCTCAGGACCTGCCTACCCCTCCCAACTCCTTCCTTAAAATTTTCTAAGTACTATTGAACCTGGACTGAGACCTGCGTGGACCTAGGTTCCAATTTCTCCCATGGTATGTGCGTGCGCGCACACACACACACACACACACACACACACACACACACACACACAGGTTCATGCACCATACAAGAAGTCAATCAGATATCCCAAAGAGCTCCAGGACTTGGGCATATGGAGCCCAATTGTGGCTGGTTCCAAGAAGGCAATTATCTAGGAATGGCCCTTTTTGTCTCCTCCAAAGGCTTTTAGAACTCTGGTTCCCCTAGCCAGTGGGCTCTTCTGATTGACGTGGTGATTTCATGCTCTCCTGGTCAGTCTGCAGCCCTGCTGAGTGAAGGACAAATGTTCCCTGTGGAAGCTGTTCTGCTCTTCTAGCTCTCCCCAACAGGCCTTTCACCTGTCCTCCATTTTGATGGTGGTGTGTGGAATGCTGGAGTGAAATCGGCATTGAAATAGATCACATTCTAGGATGCAGTGATTACTGTCAAAGGGAAGACATGTTGAAGGGAAGACATGGTTGGAAGACATGCTGTTCAATATTTACATTACAAAATTCAGAAGGGAAAATTTACCATGTATGTTCAGAAAAGAATTCTTATTCACATTCCCCTGCATACTCTGAGTAAGACTTGCATTTATAGTCATCATCAGTGAAGCACATTAACAACCTTTGAGAGAACCATTGGAAACCAGTATCCTATCCACAGGTGGCTTAAAAGATGATGCAGCATTATGGGTAATGATGTAAACATCATTAAATCTATGGTATTAGGGAACTGCAGAGGCAAGAACCATATTATTTCAATACAAATAGGTTCTAAAGAACCACAGCATTGTGAGTAATGACAGTCATTGCTACCTTTTTCTCAGTGGAAGATCTGATTAGTCAGGAATGGTGCATCTAACAGTAATGAGCAGGAAGGGAATACTTCATGGTCCTGGATAGGAAGAGACGGTGCCTGGACACTACAAAAACTCTTCATGTGTATTGATAGGACAACAAAGTCAGTATCTATTGCCTACCCATGACTCTAAAACTTCATTGACAAATCACTCTATCTCATGTAGGCCTATGGAATTTGTTATATATATATTTGTTTGTTTGTTTTGAGATGGAGTCTTACTCTTGTTGCCCTGGCTGGAGTGCAATGGTGCCATCTCAGCTCACTGCAACCTCCGCCTCCTGGGTTCAAGTGATTCTCCTGCCTCAGCCTCCCGAGCAGCTGGGATTACAGGCACCCGCCACCATGCCTGTCTAATTTTTGTATTTTTAGTAGAGACAAGGTTTCACCATGTTGGCCAGGCTGGTCTCGAACTCCTGACCTCAGGTGATCTGCCCGCCTCGGCCTCCCAAAGGGCTGGGATTACAGGCGTGAGCCACCACACCCAGCCGAAATTTGTAATATATTTTTAAATCAGATTGTTTATATATAAAGAATATTTGCCCAAGGCCCTGTATTCCCTGAGGACAGCCCCGCTTGTACTGCTCACTTCCTGCCCAGAGGTTGTTCTGGCACTGCCACGTGGGACTCATGGGAACACATTCAGTGCCCCTGCATACACAGTTAGGAAGTGCAGACAAGTGAACACCCACCCCACAGAGCAAAACTGACCAATGGCGGCTAGGAGCCAGTAAATAAGTGCTTTTCTCCTTTTTCCCCAGGGGAAGATCCTGAATGTGTTTCATATGAGTTCCCAAATGGACCTGTGGGGACAGGCAAGTAATCACCCATAAAAAGGACCACGTCCACCCTGCATCCTTGTATTGGTTCTCCCTCTAGCTCAGCTTTTCTCCCGTCTTTCACTTTTGCTCCCTGTAAGGGATCACTTTCTCCAATAAGATTCTCACACCCAAACCCTTCTTGCAGGTTCTGCTTTCTGGGAACCCAGGCTAAAACAGGGAGACGAATTGAACAGATAGAACTAAATAAATAAACCAGAAGATAAAGAAGTATGTCACAAGTGCTTCACTGTTTGTGTTAAACTGTGTAGCTGTGACTTTCAACGTGGAGGTAGTAAATCAAACTTGGGTAGGGAGTTTTGTCAAAGCATACTTGTCCTTCCTCCTAGATCTGATTCCTCACAGTCGGGAATCATTTCTTATCAGGAACGGCTATTTGAATGGGATAATGTGGGACAGAATTTTCTGTGTGGGTTTCCAGGGACTGCTGCTATAAGGATTTGTTTGATTTTTTTTTTAGAAAACATTAGAGATCTGTCATAATAGTAACCAAATTCATTAAGATATAAAGAAAACTTTCATAGAGGAAATAGGGTTTGTATTAGTTTGCTAGGCCTGCCATAACAAACTATCGGGATTGGGTGTCTTAGACAACAGAACTTTATTTTCCCACTGTTCTGGAGGCTGGAAGTTGGCAGGACCGGGTCCTTCTGAGGCCTCCCTCCTTGGCTTGCAGACAGCTGCCTTCTCACTGCATCCTTACATGGCCTTTCTCTGCACATGTGCATCCCTAGTGTCTCTTCAAGCTCTGTTTACATGGACACCAGTCCTACTGGATAAGGGCCTTCCCACAGGACTTGATTTTAACCAAGTTACCTCTTTAGAGGTGCTTTCTCCAAATACAGTCACATTGAGAGGTGCTGGGGGTTAGAACTTCAACATATGAATTTGGGAGGATGCATTTCAGCCCACAACAGGGCTTGAGGGGCCTTGAGACACCAGATACATTGGGGCAGGGCAAAAGACAAAGGGCAAAGGAGCCTTTCCCTCCAGCATCCTCACTGTGGTGTATTCAGATGCCCTTATGGAGATTCAATATCCTTTTTTCTCTTTTTCAGTGAGAGAAGGGCAGAGAATCACCCTGGTTGACCACAGGAGCACTAATCCCCTCTGAGACAAGGTAAGTGCCCATTATCCCCAACTATATCCCTGAGCTGTGACCCTCTGGGTCCCCTTTGGGGCATTACACGCTGTTCCTCCAGTGTGGATTGACTAGGCTGTTGTGCTTAAGAGTCCAAAGGAGAAGGTGCCAGGTGAGTGGCGCAGCCCCCAGAAGACAACCCAGCCAGGTCCTTTGGGGAGCAGTGGCTTCAGGGGAGTCATCCCACCCTCACCCTAAAAGGCTGAATTGAATGGTGGTCCTGTGGTGCTAACTTGGTAAAAGGAGGAAAGAAGAATGGGAAGAGGTCTCAGGACTAGGTCAAGAGAAGCACCTGGAACAGAAGATCCAGCCCAGCACTGACCACTCCACTATGGGTCATAGGTTGAGCTGTCCCATAATGATCATCTGGCACCTCTGGTGTTAGAGGACGAGGCTTGAGCTCTGTTCTCTGGGACCTATTGGGGCATGCTGATGCACACGGTCCTGAAGGGAAGAGGGAAGACAGCACCCCTCATTCCCACATGTCCACATTTCTCCCCCATGAATGGAGCCATTGCTTCCTCATCCTGGTGAACTCCCTCCTCCCTTCCCAATACCCTCTCCTCCCTCCCCAGTGTCATCCCCATCAACTTCCTGGTTGTAGCCAAAGCCTGACTTGCAACAGGTCAAACTTTCTGGGGAGGCTTCCTGGAAGAATGGGGTCATTTTCATACGTCAGGGAGATGCTCTGCTTCTGCTACCAAGCAGCGCTGCCTTCCCATCAGACCCAGCTCTGACAGCCTTTTGTCTGCTGCTTTCATTTCTGCCAAGATTTTCCCACATCCTGCTGAGCCTGATTAACAAACCTGGGGCCCACTTTTCGGTTTCTGACCAATAGAGAAAACGCTGACAGCCAGCAAGGACATTGATGCTTTCTTGCCAATGGCGGCGGTGGCAGAGGCAGAGAATTCTCCAGCTGGGCCGTTTGGACTGGCGCACGGCCCCACGCTGGGCCAGCTGCAGGTGTTCCAGATGGCCAGCCTGGAGCCTGCTCAGCTCCACAGCCAGCCTTTGTTTATGGCCTACTGTCCTCACCATCCCCGTCAAATGCACATCGAGTGCCCTGCCACACCTAGAACTACAGCAGAAGGCTTCTTGATGGAGCTGATATTTCAAGGCATATTTCTTTTATTTATTATTTATTTGTTTACTTATTTATTTTTTGAGACAGGGTCTCACTCTGTCACCCAGCCTGGAGTGCAGTGGTATGACCACAGCTCACTGCAGCCTGGACCTCCTGGGCTCAAGCAATCCTCCCACCTCAGCCTCCCGAGGAGCTGGGACTACAGGTGTGCACCACCATGCCTGGCTATTTTTAATTTTTTATACAGAGAGTCTCGCTATGTTATGTTGCCCAGGCTGGTCTTAAACTACTGGGTTCAAGGGATCCTCCTGCCTTGGCTTCCCAAAGTGTTGGGATTACAGTCATGAGCAACCACACCCAGCCTCATATTTCTTTTAAAAAGGAAGACAGATGAGAAAATTTTATTATGGAAGTGTTGCAGACCAAAGGGAATTGGACTCTATAATATCTGTTGACAGCATTGGGTTTCTATGTCCATTAGAAACCAAATACTATAAAAGTAAGTTTTTATAACAACAACTTATTTGAAGTGAAGACTAACCCAGAACATCTGGAATGGATGGTCACTTTTTCCAGAAATCATTCATTGGTTTGGCTAAAATGCCAGGTGCCATATGCTTTTCTTCATGTGGAGTTCATGAACAGACAAAAGTACTTGGGGTGAGAGAGGTCAGAAAAGTGTGCTATTGATAAGAGAGTTGACTGGGAAGGGGCATGAAGGAACCTTCTGGAAATTGTCTACAGCTTGATCTGGGTGGCGGTTATATATGTGTAGTCATATGTGGAAATTTATCAAGATATACAGTTGAGTGCACTCATGTATGTGTGATAAACTTCCATGTAAATTTAAAAGTTTTTGGACTCCCTACTCTGTGCTGAGTACTGCACTAGGCACTTGGAGCACACATTCTTTTAGCAAAGACAGACAACCAGGCAAGTATAGTATGGCATATTAACGGCAGGTCAACAGGAAGTGCTGGTTGCTAGTCTGTCTCCATTTTCTCCTTCGGTAGTAGCAGAAGCATGGCATTTAGCTGGGAATGTTGCTACCCAGGATAAAAATGACAGCTCCCAAGCTTCTTTACCAAGGTGTGGTCCCCTGATTAGCTCCTGGCCAATAAGATGTGACTGGAAGTGCTCCGAAGGACATCAGGGAAGGCTGCTTAAAATGAAGGCCACCTTTGTTACCTTTTGCCCCTTCTGGGGTCTGAAATGTGGACCAGAGTGCAGCATTTCCAGCTGACATTTTGAATCAAAAGGTGACCTTGAGGATGAAAATCATGCAGCAAAGATGCTGGAGAAGAAAGAGAAGAGGATGAGTCCCTAATGACCTTGTGGAACTGCCATGGCAGCTTCAGTCTGTCTCCTTCCAGACAGTTTTTTACATGAATAAGTATACTTGTGTGCATTGAAGTCACTATGCTTCAGCGTTCTATTACTCACAGTGTAAGTAATCACACGTTAAGATAAAGGTAAACACAGGGTAGGGTTCCATGAGAGACATAGTAAGGCACCAGCTCTGAGTGGGCAACAGGTTATCATCAAAACAATTTCTTAGACAAGGTGCCACTTGAGCTGAGTCTTGAAGGACAAGTAAAATTTAGCTAAGAGATATAATGAGTCAATTTTTTTTGAGACAGAGTCTCACTCTGTTGCCCAGGCTGGAGCATAGTGGTGTGATCTCAGCTCACTGCAACCTCTGCCTCTGGGTTCAAGCAATTCTTGTGCCTTTGCCTCCTGAGTAGCTGGGACTACAGGCACGTGCCACCATGCCCAGCTAATTTTTATATTTTTGGTAGAGAAGGGGTTTCACCATGTTGGCCAGGCTGTTCTTGAACTCCTGACCTCAAGTGATCCACCCACCTCAGCCTCCCAAAGTGCTGGGATTACAGGCATGAGCCACCACATCCGGCCATAATGAGTCTTTTTTTTTTCCCATAAGTTATTAGAGTACAGGTGGTATTTGGTTACATGAGTAAGTTCTTTAGTGGTGATTTGTGAGATTTTGGTGTGCCCATCACCCAAGCAGCCTACACTGCACCCTATTTGTAGTCTTTTATCTCTCGTTCCCTCCCACTCTTCCCTCCAAGTCCCCAAAGTCCATTGTATCGTTCTTATGCCTTTGTGTACTCATAGCTTAGCTCCGACATATTAGTGAGAACATGTGATGTTTGGTTTTCCATTCCTGAGTTACTTCACTTAGAATAATAGTCTCCAATCTCATTCAGGTCACTGCAAATGCTGTTAATTCATTCCTTTTTATGGCTGGTAGTATTCCATCATATATATATATATGCTTTTTCTGTATCTATTGAGATGACCATGTGATTTTTGCTTAGTCTTGCTTTGGCTATGCAGGCTCTTTTTTGGTTCCATGTGAATTTTAGAATTGTTTTCTCTAATTCTGTGATATATATATATCAATCATATTCTGTGATCACAGCTCACTGCAGCCTGGACCTCCTGGGCTCAAGCAATTCTCCCACCTCAGCCTCCCGAGGAGCTGGGACTACAGGTGTGCACCACCATGCCTGGCTATTTTTAATTTTTTATACAGAGAGTCTCGCTATGTTATGTTGCCCAGGCTGGTCTTGAACTACTGGGTTCAAGGGATCCTCCTGCCTTGGCTTCCCAAAGTGTTGGGATTACAGTCATGAGCAACCACACCCAGCCTCATATTTCTTTTAAAAAGGAGGACAGATGAGAAAATTTTATTATGGAAGTGTTGCAGACCAAAGGGAATTGGACTCTATAATGTCTGTTGACAGCATTGGGTTTCTATGTCCATTATATATATATATATATATATATATATATATATATATATATATATATATATATATCATATTCTGTGATATATATATGATATATATATCATATTCTGTGATATATATATGATATATATATCATATTCTGTGATATATATATGATATATATATCATATTCTGTGATATATATATGATATATATATCATATTCTGTGATATATATATGATATATATATCATATTCTGTGATATATATATGATATATATATCATATTCTGTGATATATATATGATATATATATCATATTCTGTGATATATATATGATATATATATCATATTCTGTGATATATATGATATATATATCATATTCTGTGATATATATGATATATATATCATATTCTGTGATATATATATGATATATATCATATTCTGTGATATATATATGATATATATATCATATTCTGTGATATATATATGATATATATATCATATTCTGTGATATATATATGATATATATATCATATTCTGTGATCTATATATGATATATGTATCATATTCTGTGATCTATATATGATATATGTATCATATTCTGTGATCTATATATGATATATGTATCATATTCTGTGATATATATATGATATATGTATCATATTCTGTGATCTATATATGATATATGTATCATATTCTGTGATCTATATATGATATATGTATCATATTCTGTGATCTATATATGATATATGTATCATATTCTGTGATCTATATATGATATATGTATCATATTCTGTGATCTATATATGATATATGTATCATATTCTGTGTTCTATATATGATATATGTATCATATTCTGTGTTCTATATATGATATATATCATATTCTGTGATCTATATATGATATATATATCATATTCTGTGATCTATATATGATATATATATCATATTCTGTGATCTATATATGATATATATATCATATTCTGTGATCTATATATGATATATATATCATATTCTGTGATCTATATATGATATATATATCATATTCTGTGATCTATATATGATATATATATCATATTCTGTGATCTATATGATATATATATCATATTCTGTGATCTATATGATATATATATCATATTCTGTGATCTATATGATATATATATCATATTCTGTGATCTATATGATATATATATCATATTCTGTGATATATATATGATATATATATCATATTCTGTGATATATATGATATATATATCATATTCTGTGATATATATGATATATATATCATATTCTGTGATATATATGATATATATATCATATTCTGTGATATATATATGATATATACATATCATATTCTGTGATATATATGATATATACATATCATATTCTGTGATATATATATGATATATACATATCATATTCTGTGATATATATATGATATATACATATCATATTCTGTGATATATATATGATATATACATATCATATTCTGTGATATATATGATATATACATATCATATTCTGTGATATATATATGATATATACATATCATATTCTGTGATATATATATGATATATACATATCATATTCTGTGATATATATATGATATATACATATCATATTCTGTGATATATATATGATATATACATATCATATTCTGTGATATATATGATATATATATCATATTCTGTGATATATATGATATATATATTTTGTGATATATATGATATATATATATTCTGATATATATGATATATATATCATATATATCATATTCTGTGATATATATATCACTCCGTGGGTTGTCTGTTCACTCTGCTGATTGTTCCTTTTGCTGTGCAAAAGCTCTTCAGCTTAATTAGGTCCCAGCTATTTAACTTTGCTTTTACGGCATTTGCTTTCGGGTTCTTGGTCATGAAATCCTTGCCTAAGCCAATGTCTAGAAGGGGTTTTACAATGTTATCTTCTAGAATTTGTATAGTTTCAGGTCTTAGCCTTAAGTCTTTAATCCATATTGAGTTGATTTTTATATAAGGTGAGAGATGAGGATCTGGTTTCGCTCTCCTACATGTAGCTAGCCAATTATCCCAGCACCATTTGTAGAAAAGGGTGTCATTTCCCCACTTTATGTTTTTGTTTGCTTTGTCGAAGATCTCTTGGCTGTAAGCATTTGGGTTTATTTCTGGGTTCTCTATTCTGTTCCATTGGTCTATGAGCCTATTTTTATACCAGTACCATGCTGTTTTGGTGACTATGGCCTTAGTTTAGTTTGAAATCAAGTAGTATGATACCTCCAGATTTATTCTTTTTGCTTAGTCTTGCTTTGGCTGTGCGGGCTCTTTTTTGGTTCCATATAAATTTTAGAATTGTTTCTTTCTAATTCTGTGAAGAATGATGGTGGTATTTTGATGGGGATTGCATTGAATTTGTAGATTGCTTTTGGCAGTATAGTTATTTTCACAATATTTATTCTACCCATCTATGAGCATGGGATGTGTTTCCATTTGTTTGTGTCATCTATGATTTCTTTCAGCAGTGTTTTGTAGTTTTCCTTGGAGAGGTCTTTTGACTCCTTAGTTAGGTATATTCCTAAGTATTTTATTTTATTTATTTATTTATGTATTTATTTATTTATTTATTTATTTATTTTGCAGCTTTTGTAAAAGGGGTTGAGTTCCTGAGTTTTTGATTTGATTCTCTGCTTGGTCGCTATTGGTGTATAGAAGAGCTACTGATTTGTGTACATTAATCTTGTATCAGAAACTTTGCTGAATTCTTTTATCAGTTCTAGGAGCTTCCTGGAGGAGTCCTTAGTGTTTTCAAGGTAAATGATCATATCGTCAGCAAATAGTGACAGTTTGACTTCCTCTTTACTGATTTGGATGCCCTTTATTTCTTTCTCCTGTCTGATTGCTCTGGCTAGGACTTCCAGTACTGTGTTGAAGAGGAGTGGTAAGAGTGGGCATCCTTGTCTTGTTCCAGTTCTCAGAGGGAATGCTTTCAACTTTTTCCCATTCAGTATTATGCTGGCTGTGGGTTTGTCATAGATGGCTTTTATTACATTAAGGTATGTCCCTTCTATGCCGATTTTGCTGAGAGTTTTAATCATAAAGGGATGCTGGATTTTTGTCGAATGCTTTTTCTGCATCTATTGAGATGACCATGCGATTTTGTTTTAAATTCTGTTTATGTGGTGTATCACATTTATTGACGTGTGTATGTTAAACCAGCCCTGCATCCCTGGTAGGAAACCCACTTGACCATTGTGGATTATCTTCTGATATGTTGTTGGATTCAATTAGCTAGTATTTTGTTAAGGATTTTAGCATCTATGTTCATCAGGTATACCGGCCTGTAGTTTTCTTTTTAAGTTATGTTCTTTCCTGATTTTGGCCTTAGGTGATGCTGGCTTCATGGAATGAATTAGGGAGGGTTCCTTCTTTCACTACCTTGTGGAATAGTGTCAAAAGGATTGGCACCAATTCTTTGAACGTCTAGTAGAATTCTGCTGTGAATCCGTCTGGTCCTGGACTTTTTTTGTTGGTAATTCTTAAATTACTGTTTAAATCTCACTGTTTGTTATTGGTGTGTTCAGGGTATCTAATTCTTCCTGATTTAAGCTAGGAGGGTTGTATTTTTCCAGGATTTTATCCACCTCTTCTAGGTTTCCTAGTTTATCTGCATAGAGGGGTTCATAGTAGCCTTGAATGATCTTTTGTATTTCAGTGGTGTCAGTTGTAATATCTCCTGTTTCATTTCTTAGTGATGTTATTTGGATTTTCTCTCTTTTTTCTTGGTTAATCTTGCTAATGGTCTATCAATTGTATTTATCTTTTCAAAGAACCAGCTTTTTATTCCATTTATCTTTTGTATTTTTTATTTGTTTCAATTTCATTTAGTTCTGCTCTGAACTTTGTTGTTTCCTTTCTTCTGCTGGGTTTGGGTTTGGTTTGTTCCTGTTTCTCTAGTTCCTTGAAGTGTGACCTTAGAATGTTAGTTTGTTCTCCTTCAGTCTTTTTGATGTAGGCATTTGGGGCTATGAACTTTCCTCTTAGCACTGCCTTTGCTGTATCCCAGAGGTTTTGATAGGTTGTGTCATTATCGTCGTTCAGTTAGAAGAATTTTTAAACTTCCATCTTGATTTTGTTTTTGACTCAGTGCTCAGTCAGGAGCAAGTTATTTAATTTCCATGTATTTGCATGGTTTTGAAGTTCCTTTTAGAGTTAATTTCCAGTTTTATTCCACTGTGGTCTGAGAGAGTGGTTGATATAATTTCAATTTTCTTAAATTTATTGAGGCTCATTTTATGGCCTATCATATGGTCTATCTACGAGAAAGTTCCATGTGCTATTAAATAGCATGTATATTCTGCGGTTGGTGGATGAAATGTTCTGTATATATCTGTTAAGTCCATTTGTTCCAAGGTATAGTTTAAATCCATTGTTTCTTTGTTGACTTTCTGTCTTGATGACCTGTCTAGTGCTGTCAGTGGAGTACTGGAGTCCCCCACTATTATTGTGTTGCTGTCTATCTCATTTCTTAGGTCTATTAGTAATTGTTTTGTAAGTTTGGGAGTTCCAGTTTGAGGTGCATATATGTTTAGGATTGTGATATTTTCCTGTTGAACAAGGCCTTTTACCATTGTATAACGTCCCTCTTTGTCTCTCTTAACTACTGTTGCTTTAAAGCTTGTTTTGTCTGATATAAGAATAGCTATCCCTGATCACTTTTGGTGTCCATTTGCATGAAATGCCTTTTTCCACCCCTTTAGTTTAAGTTTATGTGAGTCTTTATGTATTAGTGAGTCTCCTGAAGGCAGGAGATAGTTGTTTGGTGAGTTCTTATCCATTCTGCAGTTCTGTATCTTTTAAGTGGAGAATTTAAGCCATTTACATTTATTGTTAGTATTGAAATGTGAGGCACTGTTGCATTCATCATGCTATTTGTTGCCTGTGTACTTTGGTTTTTTGTTTTTGTTTTTGTTTTTGCTTTTTAACTCATATTTTTGTTTTATAGGTCTTGTGTGATGTATGCTTTAAAGAAGTTCTGTTTTGATGTGTTTCCAGGATTTGTTTCAAGATTTAGAGCTCCTTTTAGCAGTTCTTGTAGTGGTGGCTCTGTAATGACAAATTCTCTTAGCATTTGTTTGTCTGAAAATGACTGTATCTTTCCTTCATTTATGATGCTTAGTTTCACTGCTGAGAAATCTGCTGTTAATCTGATAGACTTTCCTTTATAGGTTACCTGGTGCTTCTGTCTCACAGCTTTTAAGATTCTTTCCTTCATCTTAACTTTGGATAACCCAATGACAATGCGCCTAGGCAAAGATCTTTTTTGCAGTTAATTTCCCAGGTGTTCTTTATGCTTCTTGTATTTGGATGTCTAGGTCTCTAGCAAGGCTAGGGAAGTTTTCCTTGATTATTCCCCCAAATATGTTTTCTAAGCTTTTAGAATTCCCTTCTTCCTCAGGAACACCAATTATTCTTAGGTTTGGTTGTTTCAGATAATACCAGACTTCTTGAAGGCTGTGTTCACATTTTCTTATTCTTTTTTCTTTGTCTTTGTTGGATTGGGTTAATTTGAAACCTTGTCTTTGAGCTCTGAATTTCTTTCTTCTACTTGTTCAATTCTATTGCTGAGACTTTCCAGAGCATTTTGCATTTCTAAAAGTGTGTTCAAAGTTCCCTGAATGTTTTATTGTTTTTTCTCTAAGCTATCCATTTCCTTGAATATTTCTCCCTTCACTTCTCATATAATTTTTTGGATTTCCTTGCATTGGGCTTTGCCTTTCTCTGGTCCCTCCCTGATTAACTTAATAACTAACCTGAATTCTTTTTCAGGTAAATCAGGAATTTCTTCTTCGTTTGGATCCATTGCTGGTAAACTTATGTGATTTTTGGGGGGTGTTGAAGAGCCTTGTTTTGTCATATTACCAGGGTTGGTTTTCTGTTTCCTTGTGATTTGGGTAGTCTCTGTCAGAGGGAAGGTCTAGAGCTGAAGGCTGTTGTTTGGAATCTTTTGGTCCATGGTGTGTTCCCTTGATATAGTACTCTCCCCTTTTTCCTATGGATGTGGCTTCCTGTGAGCCAAACTTCAGTGATTGTTGTCTCTCTTCTGGGTCTAGCCACCTAGTGAGTCTACCCGGCTCTGGGCTGGTACTGGGAGGTAGTCTGCACAGAGTCCTGTGGATACCAGCACCTGTTCCAGTGGAGGTGGTGGGAGGGTGGGGAAGGGGGTTGGAATGGACTCCGTGAGAGTCCTTAGCTTTGGTGGTTTAATGCTCTATTTTTGTGCTGATTGGCCTCCTGCCAGGAGGTGGCACTTTCCAGAAAACATCAGCTGTAGTATTATGGAGAGGGACAGGCGGTGGGCGGGGCCCTAGAACTTCCAAGATTATATGCTCTTTGTCTTCAGCTACCAGGGTGGATAGGGAAAGACCATCCGGTGGGGGCAGGGCTAGGTGTGTCTGAGCTCAGACTCTCCTTGAGCAGGTCTTGCTGTGGCTTCAGCTTCTCCAGTGGGGGTGTGTGTTTGGGAAATGAGGGTCTCCCTTTCCCACTTCCAAAGTTGGGACACTCACAGTATTTGGGGTGTCTCCTGGGTCCTACAGGAGCAGTCCACTTCCTTCAGAGGATCTGTGGGTCCTCTCATAATGAGTCTTTTAAAATGCTGCTATGAGAGTCCTATGTGGGTATGAAAATCTGTTAAGGGTTGTTCAAATCCAGCCAATAAGACATTCTAACCTTCACGAAGCTAATAGTTTGATCTGCCTATTGGATAAGTAATAATTATTATTGCCTTTCTTTTAGTGGTTATTTGAATATTTATTGGTAAAATGGATGAGTGAAGCTTTATTTCTTTATTTGATTTGGAATCTACCCCCAGTAAGTATAAAAGCCATATTATATGGTCAAATGTCATTTTTTAAAAATCAAAACTTTATGGTGAAAGATATGCAAGACCTCTATTCTAAATATTACAAAACATTGCTAAGACATAGTAAAGAAGACCTAACTAAATATATTAAGTTGCTCAATATTGTTAAGATAGTAATTTTCCCAAATTTATTTGTACATTCAACACCACCACTATCAAAATCCCAATGGAATTTTTGGTAGAAATTGACAAGTTTATTCCAAAATTATATGGAAGCACAAAGGACCTAGAATAACCTAAATAATCTTGAAAAAGAATTATGTTAGAAAACTTAAACCACCTGATTTCAAGGGTTACTTATAAAGCTGCAATACTGAAGGACAGTGTGATGTTGGCATAAAGATAGTCAAATAAGATCAATGGAATGGAACATAGATTCCAAAAATGTACCTATGCCTATATGGTCCATTGATTCTCAACTAAGTCACCAGGCAATTCAGTGGGAAAAAGGAAAATCTTTTCAATAAATGGTGATGGGACAACAGGATATTCATATGAAAAAAAATTGAACTTTAACCCCTACCTCACACCATATGCAATAATTCACTCAAGGTGGATCACAGACCTAAACATAACAGCTAAATCCATAAAGCTTCTACAAGAAAACATGGGAGAATATTTTTACTATTTGTAGACAAGGATTTCTTAAGTGGGAGACAGAAAGACATTAAAATATTGTTATATTAGACTTTATCAAAATTGAAAACCAGCACCCATCAAAAGAAAAAGATACCATCAAGAAAATTGATGGACAAGCCACAAAAAGGGAGGATATATCTCAAAACAAAGAACAAAGGATTTGTATTCAGAAGATTTAAAGAACTACTATAACTCAATAATAAAAATGCAAACAACCAAATTAAGAGGACATAATGGCTTTTACAGATATTTCACAAAAGAAAATATATGAATGGCCAATATGCACATGAAAAGTGTTCATTAGACTTCAGAGAAATGCAAAATAAAATAATAATGAGTACAATTATGTACTCATCCATTAGAATGGCTAAAATTTAAAAGACTTAACATTTTTTTTAGTGAAGATATGGAGTAACTAGAACTCCCATACATTGCTGATAGGAGGGTGAAATGGTAAAACCATTCGAAAAACAGTTTGGAAGTTTATCAAAAGTTAAACATATGCCAGCCTGTGGTAGTTAATTTTAGGGGTCAATTTGAGTGGGCTAAAGAATGTCCAGAGAGCTGGAAAAACATTATTTCTGGGAGTGTCTATGAGGGAATTTCGTGAAGAGATTAACAGCTCACTCAGTAGACTGAGTAAAGATTGCCCTCACCAATGTTGGTTGTTATCATCCAATCTGTTGAAGGCCAGAATAAAACAAAAAGGCAGAGGAAGGGTAAATTCGTTTTCTGTTTGAGCTGTGCTGTTCATATTTTCCTCAGACACTGAAGCTCCTGGTTCTCAGGCCTTCAGACTTGGACTGAATTACACCACCACCTTTCCTGGCTCTCCAGCTTGCAGATGGCAGATTGTAAGACTTCTGTGTGATAATTGTGTGAACAAATTCCTATAGTAAATCTCCTCATGTATACATCTATATCTGTTTATTGGTTCTGTTTCTCTGGAGAATCCTGACTAATACACTACCCTATGACCTACCCATTCAAGTAGTGTTCAAAAGAAATGAAAGTATATGTCCACACCAATATCTGTAATCAAATGTTCATAGCAACTTTATTCATAATAGCCAAAACTGGGTTTGTGATATATGATTTGCAAATATAGTTATGTAGAATATAATGATGTTTTGGTCCATTATGGACCACATATATGATGATAATCCCATAATATTTTAATATTCTATTTTGACTATGTTTAGATATGTTTAGTTATACAAATATTTATCATTGTGTTAAAATAGTCTACGGTATTCAGTACAGTAACATGCTATACAGGTTAATAGTCTGGAAGCAATCAGCCACTTCATTAGCCATTATCTAGGTTTGTGTACAATGATGACATTGCCTGACACATTTCTCAGAACGTATCCCTATTGTTAAGCAACACGTGACTGTACTTTCTCCTAGTTTGTGGCTTGTCTTTACATTTTCTTACCATTATCTTTTTAAGAACAGTTCCCAGTTTAGCTGAAGTCTAATTTGTCATTTTTTTCTTTTATGAATCATACTTTTGATGTCATATACAAGAACTGTCACGAATATTTTTTCCTGTTTTCTTCTGGACATATAATCATAGGTCTTACGTTTAAGTCTATTATCCGTTTTGAGTTACTTTTTGTATACAGTACAAGCTATGAATCAAGATTAGTTGTTTTTTGTTTTGTTTTAACATATGGATATCCAAATGTTTCAGACCATTTGTTAAAAGACTGTTCTTTCTTCACTGAGTTGTCTCTTCATCTTTGTTTATACTCAACTCACCACATACGTGTGGGTTTGTTACTGAACTTTTTATTCTGTTCCACTGATTTATATGTCTATAGTTTCTAAACACCACATTATCTCAATTATAAGAGGCTTATAATAAGTCTTGAAATCAGGTAATGTAAGTCTTCTACCTTTGTTCTTTTTCATAATTGTTATTACCATTATAGATTGCCTTTCCAGATACATTTTAGAATGATTTTGTCTGCATCTACAATAAACTATGGTGAAATTTTGATTGGAGTTGCATTTAATATAGAGATCAGTTTAGAGAAAATTACATTTTAACAATATTGAGTGTGCAAATATGGCATATTTCTTCATTTATTGGGCCTTCTTTGGTTTCTTTATCAGTGTTTTGTAGTTTCCAGCATACGAATCCTGCATAGGTTTTGTGAGCTGTATACTTAAATACTTTTTAAAATTTTAGTGCTATTTTAAATGGCATAAAAAATATTTTTGAAGGTCAGGCACAGTGGCTCATGCCAGTAATCCCAGCATTTTGGGGGACCAAGGTGGAAGGATCACTTGAGGCCAGGAGTTTGAGACCAGCCTAGGCAACACAGCAAGACCCTGTCTCTAAAAGGAAAATTTTTCTTTAAGTAAAAAATTCAGTTGTTCATTGCTAGTGTGTACAAATACAATTGATTTTTGTATATTGATCACATATTGTGAAACCTTGCTAAACTCACTTATTAGTTCTAGTAGCTTTTTAAATACATTCACTTTTTCTGTACAGTCCAAATCATCTGAGAATAAAGTGTTATTTCTTCCTTTCCAAGCTGTAGACCTTTTATTTTTTTCTTGACTTACTGTACCAGCTGTACCTTCCTTATGATGTTGAATAGGAGTGGAGAGTGTGAGAGTGGACATCCTTGCCTTGCTGCTAATATTAAGGGGACATTAAGTCTTTCTCCATTAAGTATAATGTAAGCTGTGGGGTCTTTTTTGGTAGACATACTTCATCAGATAAGGAAATACCCTTCTATTCCTAGTTTGCTAAGTGGTCTTTTGTTTTTTTAAAGTATTCAATGGATATTGAATTTTGTAAGAGGCTTTTTCTGCACCTATTGAGATGATCACATGGATTTTCTTCCTTAATCTGCTGTTATGGGGAATTACATTGATTCACTTTGAACATTGAATTAACTGTGTGTTTTTAGGATGCATTACCCTTTTTATGTATTGTTGGGTTTGATTCGCCACTATTTTGTTGAGAATTTTGCATCCATGTTCACAAAGGATATTGGTCTTTTCTTGTAGTTTTTTTCTGATTTTGATATCAGAGTAATCCTAAATTCATAAAATGAATTGGGGAGTATTCTATTCTATTCTATATTCTTGAAAAGTTTGTATAGAATTGGCATTATTTTTTCTTTAATGTTTGGTAGAATTCACTGTAAGAAGCCATTTGGCTAAAGAGTTTTTGGCTTAAAATTTTTAAACTATGAATTCAACTTCTTTAATAGATATAGAACTATCTACATCATCATTTTTTTCTTTTAGTGAACTTTGATAGTTTATGTTTTTTAAGGACTTTGCCCATGTCATCTAAGTTGTTACACTTATTGACATATAGCCATGATCCTTTTAATATCTGTAGATTCAGTAATGATGTCTCTTATTCCAGATACTGGTAGTTTGTGTTTTCTCTCTTTCTTTCTTGGTCAGGCTGGCTAAAAATTTATCAAGATCAGTGGTCTTGTCAAAAAGCTCCACCATTAATTTCATTTATTTTCTATATTGTCTTTTGTTTTAAATTTCATTGATTTCTGCTTTGATTTTATTTTCTTCCTTCTGTTCCCTTTGGGTTTAATTTTCTCTCTCACTTTTTAGTTTACCAACATGGAATCTTAGATCATTTATTTGAGACTTTATTTTCTATTATAATCATTTAATTCTATAATTTCCAAGTGCTACTTTTGCTGCATTCCACAAATTTGAGTTGCTTTGTTTTAATTTTCATTCCACTCAAAATATTGTGTAATTCTCATGTGACTTCCTCTTTGACTTACATGTTAATTGGAAGTATGGTACATTATTTTCAGATATTTGAGGATTGTTCAGATATTTTTTCTGTTATCTATTTCTAGTACAATTCCAATGTGGTCTCAGATCATTCTTTCTATAATTTCACTTACTTTAAAATAGTTGGAAGTTTGTTTTATGTATGTTCCATGTATTTTTTGGTGTGTGTTTTGTCTTGTTTGAGACAGAGTATCCCTCTGTTGCCCAGGTGGAAGTGTAGTGGAACAATCTCAGCTCACTGCAACCTCTACCTCTTGGGTTCAAGGGATTCTCCTGCCTCTGCCTCTCAAGTAGCTGGGACTACAGGTGTGCGCCATCACTCCTGGCTTTTTTTTTTTTTTTTTTTTTTTTGTATTTTTAGTAGAGATGGGGTTTTGCTATGTTGGCCAGACTGGTCTTGAACTCCTGGCCTCAAGTGATCCACCTGCTTCAGACTCCCAAAGTGCTGGGATTACAGGTGTGAGCCACCATGCCGGCCTTCCATGTGTACTCGTAAAGAATGTGTATTAGGTTGTTGTGTGGAAGATTTCATAAATTCAATCAGGTGAAGCTGTTTGATAATGTTGCTCAGGTCTAATACATTTTTACTCATTTTCTTTCTATTTGTTCTGTTGTTTAGAGAGAGAGGAGTTTTGAAACTTCTCTCCATGTTGTGGATTTATCTATTTTTCCCTTCAGTTTGGTCAGTTTTTGTTTCAGTATTTTGAAGCTATTGTTAGGGACATACACATTTAGGAATGTTGAATTAACATCTTTATCACTATGTAATGTTTCTCTTTATTTTCAGTAATATTCTTTGTTCTGGAGTCTATTTTGTCAGATTTTATCATAGATACTCCATCTTTTGTTTAATAAATGTCTGCATGGTATATATTTTCTATCCTTTTCACTTATCCATGTCTTTCTATTAAAGTGAGTTTTTAATATAGTCAAATCTACTTTTTAAATCTAATTTGACAATCTTCTTTTTAAACATTTTCATTTTGAAACACATTTAGATTTACAGAACAATTGCAAAAATAGTGCAGAAAGTTCCCATGTATCTTTCACCTAGATTCCTCTCATATTAACATCTTGCACAGTTGATAGTTCAACGATCAAAACCAAGAAATGAACTCAACTACAGACTTTATTCAGATTTCACCAATTTTTTTCACTAATATTCCTTTTCTGTTCCAGAATCCTGTCCAGGATTTCACATTGCATTTAGTTGCAATGTCTGCTTAGTCTCTTCCATCTTTGACAGTTCCTAAGTTCTTCCTTGGCTCTCATAACCTTGACACTTTTGGAGAGTGATGGTCAGTTATTTTGTAGACCGTTCCATAATTTGAGTTTACCTGCTATTTTCTTATGATTAGATTGCGGGCATGTATTTTGGGCAAGAATACCACAACTGTAATATACTCTTCTTACTATATCATATTAAGATAATGTTTCTGTTAATGGTGAGGTTAGATGGTTTACATTTAATTATATATGTGATTGAATTAGAATCTGACATTCTGCTACTTGTTTTCTATTTATTCCATCTGTTCCTTGTTGTCATTTTACTCCATCTTTGTCTTTTTAAGAATTATTTTTTATTATTCAATTTATCTTCATTAGCTTATTATTTATTTATCTTCTAAAAATCCTCTTGTTTTAGTGGTTGGCTTAGGGTTTAAAATACACATCTTTAATTAAGCAATTTAATTTATCTATATACCTTTGGATCATCAGTCTGCCTTCAGATACATTATATCACTTCATATATAGTATAAGAAGCTTACAGAAATATAATCTCAATTCCTCTCTCCTATTTTTTGTACTTTTATTGTCATATGTTACATTTACATATGTTATAAACATACAATGCATTGCTACTATATTTGCTTTAAACTGTTCTCTACCTTTTAGAGTGGTTTTTAAAATAGAAAACTGTGAATATTACATTGTCTTTAGTTTAAGCCTTTCTATATATCTTTTTTGTGTAGACTCACATTTCTAATTTGCTATTGTATCCCTACTTTCTGTAGAACTTCTTTTTACATTTTTAATGATCTGCTAGTAATGAATCCTTTCAGTTTTTGTCTGAAAAATATTTATCTTTCCTTCATTTTTGCATGACATTTTTGCTGGATATAAGTTTATTGTTTGACTTCTCCCCCACTGCTTTGGCCTATTAAAGATATTGTATGGTTTGATAGTTTCTGACGAGAAGTTTGCATTTTTCTTATCTTCCTCTCTCTATATGTGTCTTTTTTTTTTTTTTTTACTGACTTCAAGATTTTCTCTTTAAGTGGATTTTCAAAAATTTGAATATTATGTGTCTAGGCTTCTTTGGGGAGCAGAGTTGGTGGTATTTATCTCTGAGTTTCTTGGATCTGTGGTTTGGTGTCTTATTGTTTTTGAAAAGTTTTCAGCCATTATGTTGGACTGATGGGTAATGTACCATTACATATGTACCATACCATTACATATGTAAAGTCCATAGGTCTTGGATGTACTGTTTTGTTGTTGTTGTTGTTGTTGTTGTTGAAAAAAAAAAAAACACCTTTTCACTCTTTCTTCTCTTTTGCTTTCAGTTTGGGTAATTTCTTTTGACCTATCTTTACATCCACTAATTTCCTCCTCAGCTGTGTTTAATCTACTGGTAAGCCCATCAAAGGTATTCTTATTCTCCTTTAGTATGCTTTTCATTTCTAGCATTTTCACAGTATCCTTTCTCATATTTTCCAGCCCTCTACTGAAATTGCTCATCTATTCACACATGTTTTCTAATTTTTCCACTAGATCCTTTAACATACTAATTCTAGTTATTTTACATTTTCTATATGATAGTTCCAACACCTAGGCCATCAATAAGTTTGGTTCTGTTGATTATTTTGTCTCTATGCAATAGAGTGTTATTTCTTTCTTCTTTGTGTGCAAATTACCCATGTCTGTGATTCTCAGGGGTTTTCTATTTTGTGCTATCCACATTTGGCCTTTAGAAATTTTTTAAAAAATGGAGCTGATTTTTTTAAACCCAATTTTATGAAAGCCATACCTTTCTCCCATGCTCTGCCCAGGTAATTTAGTACTCACATCTTGTCTCTTCTTAGATTGTCTTTCCTTAGATTTCATGCTAGTTGATTCTCTTGTAACATCAGATCTCTGAAGTGTTCACAAAAAGTTATGATTTTGTAGATTATCCAGTCTTTTTTTATTGTTAGGGTGACAATGATCTCTTTCCAACTTTCTACCTCTTCAGCAAACCTATGTTGGTTTTTTTTTTTTTTTTTTTTTTTTGAGACAGAGTCTCACTCTGTCACCCAGGCTGGAGTGCAGTGGTGTGATCTCAGCTCACTGCGACCTCTGCCTCCTAGGTTCAAGCGATTCTCCTGCCTCAGCCTCCGAAGTAGCTGAGATTACAGGCATGCACTACCACGCCTGGCTAATTTTTGTATTTTTAGTAGAGACGCGATTTCACCATGTTGGCCAGGCTGGTCTAAACCCATGTTTTTTATTTCTAGCATTTCCATGTGATTCTTTTCATTTCCATATCTCCTGATAATATGCCCTATTAATTTTCTACTGAAACTTTAAATTATTAATCCCAGTTATTTTAAATTCCCTGATAGTTCCAGTATCTGGGTCCTCTCTGAATATGGTTCTGTTGATTGCTTTGTTTCTTTACAGTGGCTTGTTTTTTCTTGCCTTTCTGTGTATCTTGTAATAAATTGGGGACAAGCTGTCTGGTACAATAGAGATTGAGGTTAATAGTATTTATGCTTGAAAATGAACAATGCTCTTCTTCCAGACATTTAGTGTGGGGCATTAAATCAATCTAATGAAGAGTTGAGTTGGTCTTGGGTTTTGCTGTCACTATGATTACCTGCTGTGCAACACCATCTTTAAATTCCTTTAGCATCGCCATGTGTCTAGGATGGGGCTGGAATCACAGAAAGCTTTTTCTTAATGTTTCTTCTCCTCCCTCAGCTCTAGAGAAGCCTTCCCTGTGTGCCTGCCCACAACAGCAGCTCTTCCCATGCTCTGGTTCCTCCCCCAGTGACAGGAGGCTGTTCTTTGTTACTTGGTGTTTGCTAGGCTGGTGGAGGGATGGAAGTGGGGTTGTCTGTTGTTCTGATTCAGCCTCTGCCTTAGGTAGGCACTGGGTGTCTGTGTGTTGGGAGTGGGGTTTTCTCAATGATCCTGACCTTTCTTCAGTCATAAGAAACCTAACTATGTGGGGCCAGGATAGGGTCCTGCCCCTTCTATAGGAGTGGTGACTTTTTTCTTTTCCCTTCCTCCAGTTGTACTGAATCTTCACTTATGCTCTAAGGCAGCAGTTGACAACCTTTTTGGCACCAGGGACTCGTTTCATGGAAAGACAAACTAGTTCCACGAACTAGGGGAGAGGATGGTTTTGGGATGGTTCAAGCACATTACATTTATTGTGCACTTAATTTCTATTATTATATTGTAATATATAATGAAATAATCATATAACTCACCATGTTGAATCAGTGGGAGCCCTGAGCTTGTTTTCCTGCAACTAGGTGGTCCTGTCTGGGACCAGTGACAGATCATCAGGCATTAGATTCTCATAAGGAGCGTGCAACTTAGATCCCTCACGTGTGCAGTTCACAATAGGGTTTGCACTCCTTTGAGAATCTAATGCCTCCACTGATCTGACAGGAAGCAGAGCTCAGGCGATAATGTGAGTGATGGGGAGTGGCTGTAAATACAGATGGAGCTTTGCTCGCTTGCCCACAGCTCACCTCCTGCTGCGCAGCCTGGTTTTTAACAGGCCACAGACTGGTACCAGTCTGTGGCCCAGGGGTTGGGGTCCCCTGCTCTAGGGGCTGTCGATTTGTTGCCCTTCCCCCAGTGGCTTAATGTCTTTTCTGGGTTGGAAGGATATGTGTGGGGTTTCATGCTTTTCCCACAGCTATATCCTCTCCCTTCTTCACCCCCGAACCATAAGGAAAGCCTCTCTCTGTCTCTCTGTCCTTACCCTGCTCTAAACCTGTTTCATGAGTTCCTGATGGAGGCTTATGGGGAAGAACTGCTAAGGTGTCTGAGCAACCTTGTGTCTGCAAGTGTTTCGTGGTCTCACACTAGCCCAGTCAGCCTTTGTGATTCTTCAGGCATTTTAGCTGGATGCTGCTTACTGGGTTGAATGTTGGCCCTGTCTTCCTCCTTTGCTCTGTTACAGGTGAACCAGTGCTCACATCCTGTCTATCTTTGGGAGAGGCTGTCTTTCCTTAGATTTCATGCTAGTTGGTGACATCATACACCCTGTGACATCAGTTTTTTGTGGGCTCGAGAAAAGTTATGCTTTGTAGGTTTTCTGGCTTTTTCTTATTGTTAAGGCAGGAGTGACACTCTTCAGCTTTCTACATTGTAGCTGGAAGCCAGAAGTAAAAATATATTTTTAGATGATTCACTTTTATCCTGAATCACTTTGGGCTCTTTTCAAAAATCATATTTATCCTGAATGGATTAAAAACTTTCTACCATAAAAATGATTCTGAGGAATATGTGCCTCAAGATTCTTGGGACATTCCAAAAGCACAATTCCAAAAATGTTTTTAGTAATGAGCGTCATTTGATAATTTGATATCAAATTATGCTCTAGGGCAGCAGTCCCTAACATTTTGGCATCAGGGACCAGTTTCGTGGAAGACAATTTTTTTCATGGACCTGGGAGGGAATGGTTTCAGGAGGATTCAAGCGCATTACATTTATTTGTACTTTACTTACATTATTATTACATTATAATAGATAATGAAATAATTATACAACTCGCCATAATGTAGAATCAGCAAGAGCCCTGAGCTTGTTTTCCTGCAACTAGGTGGTCCTGTCTGGGGGTGATGGGAGATAATGACAGATCATCAAGCATTAGATTCTCATAAGGAGTGTGCAAGCTAGATCCCTTGCATGTGCAGGTTCACCAAAGGATTCACACTCCTATGAGAATCTTATGCCTCCACTGATCTGACAAAAGGCAGAGCTCAGGTGGAGCTCAACCCTTGATATAGGTTCTCAAGATGTATGCCCCCACAAGGATACTCATCTGCATGTTCAGTTTCTAATGCTTCTTTATAGGTTCATTACTATATCATTACAGGAAAATAAAAACATATCATCCCCTAGATGTTGATAAAATTAATTAACTTCTCCAAGTCTCAGTTTCCTCATCTGTAAAAATGAGGATAATAATAGTCTCCGCACCATAGAATTACAGTGAGCATATAAAGAACTGAACACAGTCTTACAATAAGTACTGAACACTGTTCAATGCCACTATTGTTGTTAAGTACCACTAAAAATACAAGTATTTTTCATTTTTCTTATGAAAACAATGACCATAAAGTAATGAGATTCTAGAATCTCATTGTCTGTTCCCCAGTTGAAATTGCTAATAGCATCCCCTTTCATTTTCAGAAGTGTCCTCATATATCACCTTGACAAGATCACAGTTAGTAAGTTGGGGCAACAGGGCTTTGAATACAGGTCACTCTGAGTCAGAACTATGGAAAACACAAAGTTAAAAGTAAGAGCAACCTCTTGGCAGAAGCCAAGGATTCTCTCTTCTGTTTAGCCCTCTGTACAGGCTTCATTCCAGGATGCTCTCCAGACCAGGAATAAAGGATCCAGTATGTTCTGTATGCAGAAGGACTCCTTCTCTTCTTATCAACTTCCTGTCTGTCCTGTTTTGTTTTATTTGTTTTTTATTCCTTTCACTTTCTAATCCGAATAGTTCTCATTTTAATCCTTTCACAATATCCTCATGGAGGATTTCATGATTAGCTTTTAAAGGCAATATTGCTTCAGTTCAAAGTAGTACAACTAGACCTTATCACATACAAAAAATACTTAAGATCTGAGAAGTGCATTTTAGCCTAGAAACTTCAAATCAATACAGGGGCTTTAGGGAAATAGGGAGGGGTTCCTCTTGGGCAGTGAGGAAAGGCATGCAGCTGCATAGACATTGAGCAGCTCTCTCAGTGCCCTTTTCTCTTTCTCTTGACAACAGCATGGTGAGCTTCCTCTGGGGAAAAGCTCCCTGCTTTGTTGGACCTGGCCAATCGGTGACTGTGAGGACTTATGGGATGGGTCTGGTGACATCACCTGAACTGGTGAGATGTTCCAGGGCTTCCCTTGATATGTTGGCATGGAGATATTCTCTTTCAGCCAGGGGAGACTGATGGGGAAAATGGAAGCCTGGAGCTGCTGGTGGTCATCTTTGCCCCCTCCTGGGATGTGGGAAAAGAACAGACAAATGAGAGCCAAAGATGGAGGAAGACTTCTGATGAGTTATGTTTCTATTCCCTGTAGCTGAAAGAGTCCTGATTACTACAAGGAATTCTCTAGGTAACTTAGTGACAGTGGGCTTGTCTGATGGATATTGTCCAAAAATATCTAAGAGTAACCCTATCCTTTATTTATTGAATGCCTATTATCGTAGACTGATCGCAATGACAGCTCCATTACTAACCTCCCAGTATCTCATCCTCTGAGCGTGTCTTTGCAGCAGCTCCTAACAAGAGGTGGATCCTGTTTCCCCACTTCTTGAATCAGGGCTGGCTTATGACTTACTTTGAACGAAAGAATGTGACAGTGTGCCAGTTCTAAGCCTAGGTCACTGCCATGGGGAAAAAGCCTGGGCTGGCCTGCTGGAGGATGAGAGACACCATGTGGAGGAGAGGCGAGGCACCCTAGACCACATCCCATTAACTCACACAAGCAGAGCCACCGTCAACCTGCCGCTGACCACAGAATCATGAAGGACCCCAGCAAAGACCGGAAGAGCCACCCAACTGAGCCTAGCTTAAGTTGTTAGCCTACAGAATTGTGGACTAAATAAATGGTGGTTGTCTTAAGCCACTAAGTTTTGGGATGATCTGTTTCCTAGCAGTTAGATAACTGATACTCCTATTATGACTGAAGTACTTTATAAATACTAAGCATACTAGCTTTGAAGATAGATCTGATTTTGAGTCCTAGCTCCACAACTTACTAACTGTGTGACCTGGGACAGTTTTTAAAAACTGTCTCTGTTCAGATTTCTCATCTATAAAATGGATACAATAATAGTACTTATGGAATTTCGCTAAGATAAATGAGATTATACATGCAAAGTAACTAGCACAGTGCCTGGCATACAATAAGTCTTCCTTTATGGAGTTCATTATTATTACCACGAACAATACTCATGGTCCATCTTACAAAGTTGCAGCTGTTACACCTGTTTTATAGGAGAGGAGAGTGAAAGTCAGAAGGCTGACTTGTTGATGATAGCTGCCATACACAGAGGGCCCACGATATCCTGAAATTGTCATAAGCTGCATCTTCCAGTACTGGGGCCATAGGACCTGAAGGTGCAGCACAACCTAGGTGAGCCCAGGTGAGCTGAGACCAGGCTAGGGCCCGGGTGAGGAGAAGAGCCCACTCCCTCACCTCTTGGGGAGAACAGTGATGACTGGACCTGCAGACTTTCCAGATCAGTGTTCTGTCAGAAAGGAGCTGAGCCTGAGAGCAGGAGAGTAAGGAATGCCATAGGAAGGTGCTACTTCCTCCTCATTTCAGCTTTTACCAAAAGCTGAGAGGGAAGGGGGTCTGACAGGTGTAATTCTCTAGTCACTTTCTCATTCTGCTTCCCACAATTGGGTCATCTGCTACTGAGCCCCACAGGGCATGTTGTCTAGACTCTCTCCCACCCCAGTCCAGACAAAGCCAGAATAATGAATCATAGGATAACTAGGTCTTGGACTCCATGTTCTTCCAAAAGTCAGAACAATCCCATCCACTTTCTTACCACCAAAATTGCACGCATATACATTTGTGGTACACTCACCCCCAGTTCCCTGCTCCCCGTCCCTCCCACTGTTTCTCCCTCTGCGTGCTCTATGTCTACACACACACACTTATGCATACACACAAACACACACACACACTTGCACACTATTTATCTTACCATAGTAGTATTTAGACTTTGGGTTTTCATTGTATACTTAATTTTTTGCAATATTATTTATCACTGCCTGTTATATTTCCTATTTATTTGTCTTCTTCAACTAAAATATAAACAGAATATCCAGGAGGGATATTTTGTTTCTGATGTAGCCCCAATGCCTAGAACAGTGCCTAGCACATAGTGGGTACTAAATAAATCTTTGTTGAATTGAGTGAGTGAATGAATGAATCATATGTGTGTATGTGTCAGGGTGGGGTGGGGAGGAATGGATGATAAGTGGAGAATCAAAATATCATGTGTTTTTAAAGCATCAAGACCCAGACAGGTTGAGTGTCCAAGGTCCTAGAACCTGTCAGTGGAAAGCTGAGACTAGCTCCCATGTTCCGCTGAAGTGGAGGTGAAGAGCCAGAGCTTATTGATGAAAAGCAGTTGAGAAATGTACTGCCATTTTCATTTTATTGATCGTTTTTGTCCCCTCTTGTAGATCAACACCAATCCCTAAACTGACTTGCCCACACACCAAAGATAGGCCTTGCTGTCCTGAATAGCTTTTTTTTTTTTTTTTTTTTTTTTTTGTGCACACTTAGGAAGAGATCATATCCTGGGTGTGCTACTATACAAATCAGGGTGATGTGTTCTGCCTTCCAGGAGGCTCTTGGAACAGTGACAGCACAAGCTTACTATTCCATTTTCATATTTGAACAACTTTGAATGAAGTGTCTTGACTGGAGCTGTTTTTAGAAACAATAATAAGAATGCTTTCCCCTCCTTTTTCCCACTTTGTTGTTAAACTAGCCTTCCTCTCTCCCCCTTTTCCCTCCTCCACATTCTCTGGAAAGTGTTAGTTTCAATCTCCACCCAAATGCATATGGGAGCTTCAGCAGGGAGTGCAGAGTGATGGTCTGAAAGTGTGGGGAACCAGAAGATTCCACTGACTCAGGCCTCAGCCAGACTGGGTATGCGCCTGAGAACTGTCAAAAGAGAACACACAGACCAAGTTACAGTGTTTCCCCCAGTCATGGTATGCTGGCACTTGTGGGTAATTTAGAAACCCAGATATGGGAATTTTTCATGTTGTCCTTGTAACATCTCATCTCTTCCATCCAAGGTTTAATCATCTATCTTTCAAGCTCTGGGTTTTATCAGAATTGTTGTATTGTTTCCATTCAATTCAATTCCTGTTTATTGAGCAAACTGTAAAGGAAAACTCTAATTTGGCCAAGGTATAAGTTAATTGGAACAGTTAAATAACAAAACAATCTGGTACATACCCCTCTTGTTCTCAGTAATAATTCCTAATGCTTACAATATTGCCCGACCCATGTTAGGGACTTGATAAATATTTGTTGAATGAATGAATGAATATGCTAAGTACCGAAAGGGGGCAGTGCCTCCATTAGGTTTCTTAACGTCTCCTTGGGTGACCCACAATATTTTCCCAATTGTCTCCTGCCCTCTAGCACTCTTCCAAACTAATCCATTCTCCACTTGACTGCCACTGTAATCTTTATAAACTGAAAATTTGCTTGTGTCATGCCCAGGTCTAAAGTACTTTAACTTTCCATCATGGCTCTCCAGTGCTCTCAGGACAAAGTTTATTTATTTTTATTTTTTGTTTTAATAAACAATATGTATTTCTTAGATTTTTAATTTCTAATTTTTATGGGTCCATAGCAGGTGTATCTATTTATTGGTACATAGGATAAAGTTTATTATGTCATTCATTTATTCACTGAACTGAAGGTCTCCTGAGGAAAGATCACCACTGAGCCTTGGGCAGAAATTCTCAGCCTGGGGGCTGTGAGGACACACAATCAGATACCTTCTTTTATTATTGAGTGCCCAATGTAGAGATAGACAGCCACTGATCTAGAAACATATGGAAAAAAGGCGTATAACATTATAAGGGTATATGCATATAAGGGTATATGCAGCATGCAGCAGACAAAGCCTGCTTGTGAGAGGTAATGCTGGAAGTGAGCATTTCTTTTCTGAGAAGGCCATTCCAGGACAGGCTCCACCCAAATCAGGGATAAACCAACAGAGAGAGAAGCCGTGCCATTTCACCACTTAGTGTCATATCATCCTTCCCTGGGCAATAAAATCCCCCAGGTTAGCCTCCTGCCCTCTCCTGGAATTTCCTTGTCACAATCTGGCTGATTTTGGCTTTGGCCAAGCCTCTTTTCTGGGGAAGTTGTCCAACGGAGCTTGCCTGGAGAAAAGTGTGTATTGCATTGTTGCATATCCAACCTAGGAGAGTCAAGAAAGCAAACCTCAGGCAACACACCCAGAACTCAGTGGGTCAGAATAGAGCAGGAGTGGAAGGCTCCAAGAAAGAGATGTCTGAGAAAGATATCTGATATTATTTGTGGTAATTAAGACATCTTAACAATGGAATTAAGATGAACAATGCAAGGGAAAAAAAAGATAACTAGCAATTTCAAAATTCTGTGCAAGAAAGGAGTACTTCCTGGTACAAAGCTGACCTTCAGGAGCCAGCTCTCTGCTTGGGGTGAAAAGTGTAAACATGCATAAATAGTTATTAGTTAAGTTTCTGTCTCTTTTTCCCCCTTGCTCAGGACCCTCTTCAGCCAGCAGGTCTTAGTTCTGTCCCCAGCACAGCTTGCTCATTCAGGTCCTTAGTGACCTCCCAGTCTTGACACCTCTTCCCCTAGGACATTTACAATCCCACTGACCCCTTAATGCCCATATTGTATTTCTCAAGATGTCTCCCTGAACCATTCCACCCCAAAGGGATATCATTCTCTTCTGAAATTCATTAGCACCTATACTCTTAAGGAAGTTATCACTAACTAGTCAAGATTTTAAATAGTCTTTTAATGGGTATATATCTTCTGCAACCTTCCAAAGGGAAAGGGTACCCCTCTTCTTAGGCACACCAGGGACCTAACAGAGTATGCTCAGTCAACATTTATCCACTGGTTGATGATTAATGCCTGAGCCATGTGGCAGGGCTCCAAACATCACAGGCATTCCAGGAAGGAATGCAGAAGCTGCTAGCTATGTTATCTCACCAAGTGAGCTCAAGATAATGTAGAAAGCTGGATGGAGGCCAGCCCTGGTCCAAATCTCTGTGAGTGCCCTTTTTGTCTCTTAAGAAGGCTATTATACAGACCCTGACCTGGGTGACAAAATTCCTGAGGCTAGAGGCCTCCCCTCCCCCTAGAATTTCCAAGTCATAGTCTTGTTGATTTCTGCTCTGGCCAAGACCCTCTCCTGTGGATGACGTTTGTGTGAGGATGGCTGACAATGAATGTAGACCGTGCTGTTGTATATATATCAGATTAGGCAGCAGCCGGCACAGGTGGTCCTGACCTGGCAGTGGACTCTGAGTTGCTGCTGAAGTCCCCAGCTCCTTCCTGACTGTCGACTTTTTATGTCTTCATTGAGTACCTCTTAACCTTCTCAGTATGTAGTTCTTTGTCATAGATCTAAGTCTTTGATTTCACAGGACACGGGCAATACAAACTGGCTGGCTTCTCGGTGACCACATGCCCCCAGTACCCCTGCGTTCTTGCCTTGGTCCTATCTGGGGAAATGTTTTCCCTGACCCAGGGGAGCAACCTGGTTAGAGTAGAATAGAGTCAAGCAGGGTAGGCCAACCTGGGTAAGCTGAATTGTTGTGGAGGAGGTGGTGGGTGATGGTGATGTAAGAGGCCTTAGCTAACATTTAGTTCAACCCTCTTGTCTTACAGATGAGGAAACTAGTGCTCAGTTTTAATTAATTTCAGTCACAATATAAATTCATTTAATCTCAAGAGTTAGAAAGACACTTAAAATTCTTGGGAGGAAGTCATGTCATTCAATAATTCATCCAATGCTCGGCTGAGCATGATGGCTCATGCTTATAATCCCAGCATTTTGGGAGGCCGAGGCAGGCAGATTACCTGAGATTAGGAGTTCGAGACCAGCCTGGTCAACATGGTGAAACCCCTTCTCTATTAAAAATACAAACATTGGCCAGTCATGATGGTAGGTGCTTGTAATCCCAGCTACTTGGGAGGCTGAGGTAGGAAAATCGCTTGAACCTGGGAGGCAGAAGTTGCAGTGAGCCAAGATGGCGCCATTGCACTCCAGATTTGGGCAACAAGAGCGAGACTCCATCTCAAAAAAAAAAAATAATAATAATAATAATAATAATTCATCCAATGCTTGAGTCCTTTTCACAGTGTCCTGGCCACGTAGTTTTCTCAATCGTGCTTGAAAACCTCCAGTGGCAGATATCTTACTACCTGCTCATCACATATTCAGACAACTTTGGTTATTTAAAAAGTGAGTTAAAGAGCTGGAACTGGACACCAAAACTCCTGCATCTTTTTCCAGTATTCTCTCCCTTCTACCAGGCTGATGCTCAGTTCTTTTGAGGAACCCCAAGGGATAGAGGCATGAAAGATAGCTGCCTACTTCTCAGGGGAGAGAGGCCAGAAAAACTCAGAGGGGAAGACTTTAGGGTGACAGGGAAGAATCCCCTCTGTGTTCTCTGATTTAGCTGGGGCACAGTTTTCCTAAAAGAAGAGAGAGACAAGGAGAGACAACAAGGAGAGTGGAAACCCCGTTTAAATCATTCCCTTACTAATGATGTCTTAGAATGTAAGAAAAGACACCGTTTTAGTACTCTTTTAGGAGACTGTTTGGTGTGGTACTTATAAACTAGAGAGAAACTCCAAAGTCAGAGCTCCTTGGGTAGGAATGTTGCAACCTTATCTCCTGCAATGGTGGAAAAAAATTAATGGTCAAATGGATATTTACAGAATGTCTCACGGGTCCCAGATCTGTGCTAGGTTACATAAACACCCTCCCACTTACTCCTCATAATAACCTTGTGATGTGGGGGACAATAAGGCTGTAAATCTAAGTATTTGCTTAAAGTTTTACAATAAGTGATTGAGGAAGGAATAAATCCAGACTTCAAGACTCAGAGAAGAGCAAAAGCTTTTCCTGCTCTGAGCTTCCTTTTTGTGGATCCTGGCACAGTAGAAAACAGACTTGTACTCTCATGACCATTATTATGGGGTTCCTGGAGTCATTGTAGGGGTGTGGAGAGCTGCTAGAGATTAAAAAAATGGAGACAGTCAGCCTCTTTGGGGCTGGCTTCTAGAAGTGGCCATTATAATAGGGTAGAAACATGTGGTTGTCTTGGAAAGGAAAACTCTTGTGAACTAAAAAGTATTGGAGAGCTATGGATTAGAGGAAGAGCAGGATGAGAAGGGAAGCTGCCTGAACCCTGAGAAGGAAGCCCTTTTAGTTTCCCAGGGTGAGAGGCTAAGGAAGGTCCCCAGACACACCCCTCCATCATGGCCAGGGCTGGCTGGGGACACAGCTTTGGAAACAACAGTGTGCTGGTAGCTGAAGAGAGCCAGGCCTTCCTGAGGCTAGGAAGGATGAGAAATCTGTTCTTGCCATCCCCACTTTCATTCATTCATTTGCTTGTTCATTCAACAAATATTTACTGAATATCTATTGTGAGAGGCCCCTGTCAACCCTCTTTAGCCCATGGTACCCTGATGCATTCCTTTGATGTCTCAAAGCTGGTAACACCCATTATCTGGATCTCTGGTCCAGGACTCATACCTGAGAAGTTGTCTTGTCTACTGGTATAACACACCACTCCCAGACTTAGTGACTTAAAACAGACAGTATTATCACTTATGATTTTGTTGGCTGGTTGGGCTCAGCTGGGTGATTCTTACTTAGGATCTCGTACGTATTTTCAGTCAAATGGCAGCTGGTCGTAGAGTCATCTGAAGGCTTGAATGAGCTGACACCTGAAATGGCTCACTTACATGGCAGATGATGCCGTTGGCTGGGAGATGGAGCTGTTGACTGGAAAGCCTGCGTGTGGCTGTCCATGTGGCTTGGACTTCTCACAGCATGGTAATGGGCTTCCTAGGGAAAGTGTCCCAAAAGCAAGGATTCTAAGAGTCCAAGGAAGAAGCAGCAAGGCCTCATGACTTAGCTCAGAAGCTCGAGCACATTACTTCTGCTGCATTCAAGTGTCAAGGAAGATGGCCCATATTCATATGGAGAGGAGCAAGACTCTTCTTCTTCTTCTTCTTCTTTTTTTAGACAGACTCTTGCTCTGTCTCCAGGCTGGAGTGCAGTGGCGCAGTCTCAGCTCACTGCAACCTCCACTTCCCAGGTTCAAGTGTTTCTCCTGCCTCAGCCTCCCAAGTAGCTGGGACTACAGGCACATGCCACCACACCCAGCTAATTTTTGTATTTTTAGTAGAAATGGGGTTTCACCATGTCATCCAGGATGGTCTCGATCTCTTGACACTGTGATCCACCCACCTCGGCTTCCCAAAGTGCTGGGATTACAGGTGTGAGCCACCACGCCTGATCTCTACTTCTTAATGTAAGACATACTACTGTAGTACAGGGAGTCCAGAATTGTTTGAGGCCACCACGGAAGTCTGACCTTTGGCTCTGACAATTTATGAACTTCCATATGCGTAATACACTTACCCTCCCATAATCACCAAAAGTCTTCTTCCATTTCAGCACTTGCTCTATATCTTCATTAAATCAAATCCAAGTGTGACTGAAGCTCCTTAAATGTGTGGGGGTTTGGGGTTTTGTTTTTTGGTGTAGCTCCTTGGGTATCATTTTTTTCAATCTAAAGACCTGTGAAATAAACATGAGTTATTTTCACCCCACACACCCAACATAAGATGGCAATGCAGGGATAGGATAACTGCAATGAACCCTTCTCTTCAGAGAGGCAAAGAATGGGCAGAACAAAGCAGTGTCTTGTTCATAGCGATGCTGAAATACAGCCACACACATTACCAGTTTTTAAAAATAAGAGTTTAATTCTGCTCCGAGGAAGTGGTCCACCATCACTGTGGTAGGAAAAAGGCCCCAGGGGCTCTTTTTATTTTGGATTGCTTCTGTCTTTTTCATTCCAAGTTGGTGCTGCTTTCTTTAGACAATTCTCTTACAAACTTTGCGGGTTTCTCATTAATCTTATTGGCGTTTGTGCCAATATATAAATGCCATACCCATAAATATCTTTGAGGCAAACCCTTCTCTACCTTGCATTGAGAGTCAGGGTTCTGTGAGACGAGACAATACCCTTAATACTCTCGGAAGTCTTTTTATCTAGAAGAGGGTCTAAGATGCACCCTATTAAGATTCATAGGAGCCTGATTGTCTGTCTAAGAGGGTAGCATGGTTAGCATGTAATGGGATATCCTTAAATCTTTCTGAAATTTCAGCAAAGGGTTGTTACCTTAGTCCATTCTTACTTTGAGAACCTTTAATTAGCTGAAAAGACTGTCATGAGTCTTCCATACTTTCTCTAAATTTTGCCTAAAATTAGAAAATTGCCTTTTTAGTTCATCTTTATGACTGGGTATCTTGTCATAAATAACTGAAAGAAACATGTTAGCACTTAAAACATTCAGTCAGGATGACTGAATAAAAATAAATATTTTTTATTTCATGTCACTGAACTTCCACCACTATGTAGGAGCAGTCATATTTTCTTTGGTTTTTGTCTTCAAATCTTCACTAACAGCAGCCTCTGAACCTTCCAGCTTCTGCCTGTTGCCTGGTCCCAAAGCCAATGCCACATATTTTCGATTAAAATAGTACAATAGCAACCCACTTCCAGGTGCCAATTTCTGTTCAGCTTATGTATTGCTGAATAGCAAACCATCCTAAAATTTAGTGGTTGAAACAACAATTTAATATTATCTCACGTGACTTTCTGTGTTGACTGTCTTGGCCGGGCAGTTTTCACGTGGTTGTGTTCAAATGGTGCCTGGGGCTGAAGGGTTGACTGTACCAGATGCTAAAGATGGTGCACTCACATGGTTGGGAGCTCAGCTGGGCCTGTCCACCAGAGCCTGTCCACACATGGCCTCTGATGGGCTGCGCTTCTTATACCTGATGCTGTTTTCTGAGAGGGAACGTCCCCAGAGGATTGTTCCAAGAGACCCAGGCTTCATAGGACCTGGTCTTGGAAGTCCCAGAGTGTCATTTCCATCTCACTCTATTTGCCAAATTACTATAATCAGATTCAAGGTAGAGGAAATTAGACTCCACCTTCTGATGTGAGGAACAATGTGTACATACAGAAGGAGTAGAAGTGCTTAGACCAACTTTGGAGGTTAACCATAACAGATTTTTTTTTTCTTTTTTTCCACCAGTAAAGCTCCGGTTTCTCTAGTCTTGGCTTTATGAAAATTCACACTATGATGTTATTGGCTAACTACTAGATTGATGTTCCTTGGTGGTGTATCAGTCAGGATGGACTAGATTATATGATCATTACAAACAACACCAAAATCTTGGGGGCTAAATACCACATTTATTTCTCACTCACACTACATGATCATGGGGCTTTGACATGTTTACCTTGGCTCCCAGGCTGATAAATCTGACCCAATCTGGAACATTGCTGGCCCTTGTGGCAGAAGGAGGGTAAGAGTTTGAAGAATTGTGGACTGGCTCTCAATGTTTCAGCTGGACATGACTCTCATCACTCCCACTCATGTTTCATTATCCACAGAGAGCCACGTGGCCACACCTAACCATGGGGACGGGATGTGCCAACCTATCACGGCCTGGATGGCCAACTAGAAAGATGTGGTGAGCAGCACTGAGACTACCACAGGTGGGTACCTGAATAGCTGCTAATGCTAAAACTAAATAAATATTCATAAAAGGTGGCATTTCAGTCAACAGCTGTAAATTGGGTAAAGGGAGCAACTTTTTTTAACTTATTTTCTGTTACTTACCAATTTTCATATGAATGAGTTGATTTCCTGATATCTTCCAAAGTTTAATGTTTTATAATATTATTATAGTCCAATAAATTTAAACATATTTTATGTATTTAAATCCATTGCAGTTATTACTCTAACACAACCTCAAATTGTCCCATTGTCTAGTGGGAGCCTTTTGAAGTTAGCCCAACCTCATCTTGTACATTTTTCTGTCTCCCTGAGCTAGAATCAGTTGTTTCTTCAAGCAATCCTGGTTCCTTTCAATGGAAATTGGTATTTAGAATCTGAACACTAGGAGTGCTTATTACTATTGAGTACTATTGAGTTGGTCCTTGTTTCTAAGCCTTTTTTTAAAAAAGTGTATTTTTAATTGGTGTAATTGTACATACTTGTGGTGTATATGTGATTTTTCGATATAGGTATATAATTTGTTATAATCAAATTCGGGTAATTGGCATATTCATCAACTCGAATTTTTATCACTTCTTGTTTGAGGAACATTCAAAATCCTCTCATGTAAGTATTTTGAAATATACAATAAATTATTCTTAAGGATGTCACCCTACTGTGTTATAAAACAGTCCCCAACCCCTGGGCCATGGACTGGTAGCAGTCTGTGACTGCACAGCAGGAGGCGAGTGGCAGGGCAAGCCAGCAAAGCTTCATTCGTATTTACAGCCACTTTCCATTGCTCACATTACCACCTGAGCTCCACCTCTTGTCAGATCAGCAGTGACATTAGATTCTCATAGGAGTGCAAACCCTATTGTGAACTGTGTGTGAGGTATCTAGGTTGTGCACTCCCTGTGAGAATCCAATGCCTGATGATCTGTCACTGTCTCCCATTATCCCTAGATGGGACTACCTAGTTGCAGGAAAACAAGCTCAGGGGTCCCACTGATTCTACATCATGGTGAGTTGTATAATTACTTAATTATATATTACAATGTAATAATAGTATAAATAAAGTGCACAGTAAATGTAATGCGCTTGAACCATCCTGAAACCATTGCACCCAACCCCCACCTTCTGTCTGTGAAAAAATTGTCTTCCACGTAACTTGTCTCTGGCGCCAAAAACGTTGGGGGCCGCTGTTATAGAACACTAACATGTATTCCTCATATCTAGTTGCAATCTTGTATCCATTAGCAGACCTCTCTCTCTGCCCTTCCCAGCCTCTAGAAACCACTACTCTACTCTGCACTTCCATAAGATCGGTAAGATCAGCTCTTTTAGCTTCTTCATATGAGTGATAACATGCAATATTAGTCTTTCTGTGTTTGGCTTATTTTACTTAATATAATGTCTTCCAGGCTCATCCATGCTGTTACAAATGACAGGATTTCATTCTTTTTCTTGCCAAAAGTATTCCATCGTATATATACATATACGTAAATACATATATATATACACACACATATATATACACGATGGAATACATATATATATGTATGTACGTATATGTACACACACACATTTTCTTTATCTGTTCATTTGTTGATGGTCACTTAGCTTGATTCTGTGTCTTAGCTATTGGGAATAGTGCAGAAATACACATGAAGTGCAGACATCTCTTTCATATACTGGTTTTCTTTCACTTGTGGGGGGATTAGTGGATCCTGCGGTATTTCTGTTTTTAGTTTTTTGAGGAACCTCCACACTGTTTTCCATAATGGCCATATTAATGTAATTTCCCACTGACAGTGTATAAGAGTTCCCCTTTCTCTGCATGCTTGCCAACGTTTGTTATTTTTTTGTCTTTTTGATCAGGATATCTCATTGTGGTTTTGATTTGCATTTTCCTAATGATTAGCAATGTTGAGCATTTTTCATATACCTGTTGGCCATTTGGTTTTCTTCTTTTGAGAAATGTCTATTAGATCATTTGCCCTTTTATTTTTTTTGAATATGAGAGTCTTGCTTTGTTGCCCAGGCTGGACTTGAACTCCTGGGCTCGAACAACTATCTGCCTCAGCCTCCCAAGTAGCTGGGACTGCAGGCACACAATCACCAGCTCAGGTGCTCATTTTAAAATCTGGTTATTTGCTTTTTTGCTGTTGAGTTGTTTGAGTTCCATGTGTCCTGCTTATTAATCCCTTGTTGGATGCACAGTTTCAAATATTTTCTACTCTTCTACAGGTTGTCACTTTACTCTATTGATTGTTTCCTTTGCTGTGCAGAAGCTTTTTAGTTTGATAGAATCCCATTTATCTATTTTGCTTTTGTTGCTTGTGTTTTTGAGATCTTGTTAAAAAAAATTTTTGGCCAGACTAACGTCAGGAAGCATTTCCCCACGTTTCTTTCTAGTAGTTTCGTAGTTTCATGTCTTCAGATTTAAGTCTTTAATCCATTTTCAGTTGATGTTTGTATACAGTGAGAGATAGGGTTCTAGTTTCATTCTCCTGCATACAAATATCTAACTTTCTTAGCAACATGTATTGTAGAGACTGTCTTTTCCCCAATGTATGTTTTTGGTGTCTTTGTCAAAAATCCATTAGCTGTAAATACATTAATTTATTTCTGGGTTCTTTTTTTTTTCCAGGCTCAAGGTTGAGTTTAATAGTACAGGTAGAAATAGAATCTAGGGATCTGATTCTCACATTAGAGGATAATGATATCTTCCCAAAGGGGAAAAATAAAAGTATTTATTTTGGTAGATAACATTGATAAATCATTTTTGAAATATATAATATAAATTTCCTTGAAAATGTTTGGCATTTGTGAGTCTTTTTAGGTTGAGGTTTTTAGGTATTTTTTTTTCCCAAAAAATATATAAAGTTAGGGGAGCTAGCTTTAAACAACAAAAAAATTAATCTTAATTTCAAAATGACCTGAGTTCATCTTGCATGTTTATATAAATCAATTGTACAGCTTGAGTACTCTGAAACATAAAAGGCCACCACACTTCATAGAGTTCACACACATGCATTCTACAGTGATATTTATATGACCAGAACTTATTTCACATTTACATAAAGTTTAAAATTAAAATGTCTTAGTCAAATTTTTCATAAGCCCAACTATTTGAAGATGTCACAGTTATTACAGTGGAATAATTAATTCATACATCATACAGTATTAAGTTAGTCCCCAGTTCCAGTATTTATAATATTCACCCCATGTGAAAATTTCTTTGTACTGGCTAAGATGTGAGCCGTGAAATTTATATTGCTCAGTTTGGTATTTTTCCCTGTGTCTATGTTTTCCATCACAAAACCTCTATTTCACAATTCTGTACTTATAAAAGCCCAGGTTGGTTTATGTAGTCATAATGCAGTAGTCTAGAACATACCATGTAAAAGTAAAAAATAAAATTATTTTCAAGTTTGTTTTTAAAGTGCTCCATGTGCTGTATTATATCAACTTTCAGGTTACAGAAATCCACTATGACTGGTAATAGTTTTACAAAAAATCAGCAGTTAAGCAAGCATGATTTCTTCAAGTATGTATACATAGATTAAGAGAGCAAAAATTCTTTAGGCACATTCCTATTCAAATAATACAAAAAAACCCACAAGAGTACATAAGAGAGATGGCAGAGGTGTTTAGAAGGAAGGTCAGAGTGTCAGGGACTAATTTGTAAGGTAATTAGTGTGTAAACTCAAAGTGGTTTTGAATATTTTGGTAACAAATATTTGTCCAAAAAAAAAAAACAAAAATACTTATTCCTTATCAGAAAAAAATACAAAACAAATCTGTCCAAATGTTCAGAAGCTGCATCATAAAAATACTTTTTGAAAAATTTCATGCCTAATAGGTTGCTTCATCCATGTTGTCATCACTGTCTGGGCCAAAATCATTTCCATCTTCGAATTATGAATTAATGTAGTCATTTTCCTCTTCTTGCTCTTCTTCATTATATCCCTCCTGTTCTGCAGCATCATCGTCATCGTCATCATCACCTTCTTTACTTTCCTCTTTGCTTCCTTCTTCCTTTTCATTTTCCTCTTCTGAATTTTCACCATCACCTTTCTTTCCCAATTCCTCAATTTTTTTCAACACATCTGAAGTATTAGTGAGGTGACTTTGCCTGCGTCTTTTGCCTTTTCGGGTTTTGGGCCTGTGTTTTTACATTTATTTCTTGGCGTTATCTCTCTTGGAAGTCTTCTCCAATCTGGTATCCATTCTTCTTTATATACCTTCATGTATCTTTTACTATACCTTTCAATATCTTGTCTTTCTTCAGGTGTTTCAATAAAATAAGGCATTCTTTTCATTGTTTCTCTCAACTCCTGTTTCAAAGCCAGCATGTATTCTTCATCTTCTGTTTTCAGTGGCACTGATTTATAATCTGCATCAGGAAATAGTGGGGGTGGTTTCAACACTACATAAGGTAACTTTTCACCTTTGCTAAATCCAACAGCCTCAGTATTAAAGGTATGAGCAGCACATCCTCCTCTTCCTTTATTCCCAGCCATCAGATCTAGTTATACTAGACGAGTGGGCAAATTCTGAAAGGCATCTGCCTGGCTGCACCCATGCCCAGCATGTTGGCGCTCAAGTGGTACACCCACAAGTCTCCAGGTGGTAGTATCTTTTGAATTCAAGAACACTTCTATGAGTCGGGCAACCATGCCAACATTTGGCTGGTGCATGGCTCCAAGCAGGACGTGGTGATTGATACAGGCCTGGGGCTGCACAGCCTCCCTGAGTACCTGTACTCCTCTGGCCTCTTGTAGGACCTCAGGGCCAAAGAGTTATTTCTGGGTTCTTAATTTATTCTTTTCCATTGGTCTATGTGTCTGTATTTAAGCCAGCACCATGCTGTTTTGGTTACCATAGCTTTGTAGTATATTTTGAAGTCAGGTAGTGTGATATCCCCAGCTTTGTTCTTTTGGCTCAGGATTGCTTTGACTATTCAGGGTCTTCTGTGGTTCTATATAAATTTTAGGGTTGTTCTTTCTGTTTCTGGGAAGAATGTTATTGGTATTTTGATAGGGATTGCATTGAATCTGTATATCACTTTTGGCAGTATGGACATTTTAACAATATTAATTCTTCTAATCTATGAACATGTAATATCTTTTCATTTTTTGTATGCTCTTCAATTTTCTTTCATCAGTATCTTATAGTTTTCATTATGGAGATTTTTCACCTCTGGTTAAATTTACTTCTGGGTATTTTTTTTCCTAGCTATTGTAAATGGGATTGCTTTCTTGGTTTCTTTTTCAGATTGTTCATTATGGGCAAATAGAAATGCTGCTGCTTTTTGTATGTTGAGTTTGTATCCTGCAACTTTATTGAATTTGTTTATTAGTTCTAACAGTTTTTTGGTGGAGTTTTTAGGTTTTTCTAAATCATATTGCCTGTAAACGGGGACAGTTTGAATTCCTCCTTTCCAATTTGGATGCCTTTTATTTCCTTCTCTTGCTTAATTGGTCTGGCTAGGACTTGAAGTACTATGTTGAATAACAGTGGTGAAAGTGAGCATCCTTATCTTGTTCCAGATCTTAGAGGAAAGGCTTTCAACATTTCCCCATTCGGTATAAAATTAGTACTAATATGTTAGCTGTGGGTTTGTCATATATGACCTTTATTGTTTTGAGGTATGTTCATTTTATACCTAGTTTGTTGAGAGTTTTTATCATGAATTAATGTTGTATTTTATCAAGCATTTTTCTCCATCTATTAGAATGATCGTATGGTTTTGTCCTTCATTCTGATGATGTATCACATTTAGTGATCTTCATATGTTGAAATATCCTTGCAACTTGATCATGGTATGTAATCTTTTTGATATGCTGTTAGATTCAGTTTGCTAGTATTTTGCTGAGAAATTTTGCAACTATGTTCATCAGGAATTTTGGCCTATAGTTTTCTTTTTTAGTTGTGTCCTGGTCTGCTTTTGGCATCAGGGTAATGCTGGTCTTGTAGAATGAGTTTGGAAGAATTCCTTTGCCTTCAATTTTCTGGAATAGTTGCAGAAAAAAATAGTATTAGTTCTTTAAAATTCGTAGAATTCAGCAGTGAAGCCAACCAGTCTAAAGGGAGCAATTTTGAGGCCTTCCACAGATACCCTCAGATCCCACCTATGGCAACCTCTGCTGGCTTTAACCAAAACCTACCCCCTCTAAGTCAATTCTCCCTCATCCTCCTGAATTGGAGTGGGGAGTTGCTTCTCTCTATACATCCGTAGAGGGGTTTTACATGCAAAGATGATATTTTGTCGCCCCTCCCTTACTTTCAAAGCAATTCCTGGTAGAATTCAGAACATCTCAGCCCTGTCTACAGAGAAGTGGGTCTGCACAGTCCTTTGTGGAGTCTGCAGAGCCGTGTGTGTGACCCACATGGGGTCAAGGACACAGGATCCTACCTATGATCTGGTCTTCATTCCTTCTCAGGGAATGGGGCCAACTCATATTTTGACCTGAGTCAAATAGACCTAAGTTTGAATTCTGCTTCAGCCACTGTCTAGCTGTATAACATTGTGCCTCTTACTTTTTCTGAGCCTGGTTTCCACATATGTAAAATAGGGATGACAACATGTATTTTGCAGGGTAGTTATGAGACCTGAATGATCCAAATGACCATGCTGTGTACTAGCTGTGTGACCTTAAGCAAGTTACTTAACCCTTCGTACCTCTGTACTTATGGGTTGTTATGAGGTATGAGTGCATTAATATTTGCAAAAAGCACATGAGAGTGCCTTGTGCATACAAAACATTACTTAGTGTTAACTATTGTTAATATTAAAGTATGTAAACTGGCTGATGTGCAAAAGGCCTTCAGTAAATGTAAGCTATTTTATCTTCTCCTTCTCAAGCCCACAGGTTCTGACTGTAGAAGTCTGGTTTCTCTGAGGCCACCACAGAGTTCCAGGCAGCCCGTTTATCTGGATTTGAATAGTTTTAAGTAAGTGGCCTTGGTTTGCCTTCTGGCACACAAAAAATAAAGTAACAGAGACACCTAGTGGGAGCTGATAGCAAGTGCTCCAGCAAGTCTGAGTGCCTGTGTCTGGGATCAGGTGGAGACCCGGAGGATGGAACCACTGTGGCCCATGAGTGCACAATGAGGCCAACAGGCTCTCTCGAGCCATGCCAGGGCAGCCTTCACCAATGGGAAGCCCTGCTCATCCACCCTGCAGCTGGTCCTTGTCACCAAGGCTCTGTTCTGAACAACCTCTGGGGACAAAGAGTCTGTTGCTGTATCAGCTCACACGGGTGGACCTAGCCTCAGGTCGTGGTGGGGGATGTAGGAAAGCAGACAGTTTTCTGCTTTGAGGAGTTGGCAGAAAACGATTGGACTTGGCACTTTTTTTGCTGTGTGACCTCGGATGAATCATTTAGCATCTCTGAGCTCCAGTTTCCTTGTGTGCAAAAACAGAGTTAGTAATAGTGAGGATGGTTTAAAATGATGGATGTAGAAAGCGAAGTGCTGAGTCTATGCCCATACCCCCTTGAATGCACCCGAACTTGTCTGATCTCAGAAGCTAAACAGGGTCAGGCCTGGTTAGTACTTGGATGTGACAAAGTTAAGCACTGTGTTGTTGACACACAGGAAGCACCCAATAAATGGTAGCTATTGTTGTTATTGTTATGATTTTATGGTGGATAACCGCACATGAAATAAATAGGGAATAAATCCACACAATATTGAACCAAGTGAAAGCCATCGTAGTTTATAGCAGGTGAGAGACAGGGCTATTCCAGATCTGCAGTAGTTAGGTGAGGCCTCATGGAGAAGACAAGATTTCTGATGAGCCTCTGACTGCAACAACAAACAAATTATACTCCTACTGGCTGAAACAATTATGGGGTGTGTTGGCTCATATAACTTGGTAAGATTTGATCCAGTGCCTTGATGATGTTACGAGGAGCCAATCTTTTCTTTTAAAAATATTCTTGTGACATAAAAAAGATTTAGAAAACGACATAGCATTCACCTTAGGAAATAAAATAGCAAATATAGTTGAGGCTTCCTGGCCCTCCTTCAGTTGCATTTCCCCTTCCCCTACCCTGCAAAAAGAACCACTCTCCTAAATTTGGTGTTTATACTTCCCATGGATGTATTTATGTTATTATTACATATGTGTGTGTTCCTAAACAACATATGGTAAAATTGTATGTTTTAAACCTTTTTATAAATATGTCATAGAGTATGTGTCTGTATTTGTCTGTTTGGGCTGCATAACAAAATACCATAGATTTGGTGGCTTAAACCACAGAAATGTATTTTCTCAAAGTTCTAGAGGCCAGGAAGTCCAAGCTCAAGGTGCCAGCCAGGGAGGTTTCATTCTGCAGACTGTTCTCTAGTCTTGCAGGTAGCTACTGTTTCTCTGGGTGCTCACGTGACCTCTTCCTTGTGCTTGTACAGGGAGAGAAAGAGAGATAGCAAGCTCTTTGATGTCTCCTCATGAGAGCCCCATCCTCAGGACCCCAACTAATGCTAATGATCTCCTAAAGACCCCATCTCCAAATACGATCACATTTGGGGTAGAGTTTCAATATGTTAATTTTGAGGGGATACAGATATTCTGCTCATTTCATTCCACTTCTGCCTCCCACAAAGTTCATGCCCTTCTTACATGCAGATGCATTCATTCCATTCCAACAGTCCCAAAAGTCTTAATTCATTCCAGCATCAACTCTAGTTCTAAAGACCAAAATCTCAACTAAATATCATCAAAATCAGGTATGGATGAAAATCGAGCTACAATTCATTGTGAGCAAAACTACTCACCAGCTATGAACCTGTGAAACCCGACTATTATGTGTTTCCAAAATATAACGGTGGAAAGGGCATAGGATGAACATTCCCATTCCAGAAGGGAGAAATCAGAAGAAAGGGGTGACAGGTCCCAAGCAAGTTCAATACCTAGCAAGGCAAATTCCATTAGATCTTAGGGGTTGAGAATAATCCTCTTTGGTTCAGTGCTCTGTCCACCCCCCATCCCAGCCCACTGGAGTGGCAGCATCACCTCACCACTCTCTGTGGCAACCTCACCTGCACAGCTCTCTGTGGTGGCCATCTGGTCTACTGAAACTGAGAAGAAACCAACCTTACCCCTTGGTTCTGTGATAGGAGCCCTGATGATCTCTGAATTGCCTTCAGGGTCATTGTTGCCTTTTCTTGAAGGACAAAGCATATTTCTCAACTGAATAGTTCTACCATCCTGCTCTGTAGAATCGCAATATCCAACAGCCTTTTTTCAACCTGTCTCACTTTCTCTGTCCCCTTTAGTTCAAACTGGCAGTGCCTAACTTCTATCCCTGGCTCTTATGAGCTGGCTAGCGAAATCCATGTGTTGCACCCATGATCTCTTTATCAAATGTTTGGCCAGCCACAACCTTAGTGTGCTCTTTAGAGGTGAAAATGCTTCTTCATTTTTTGTTTTTCCAATATGCATAGGCTGAGAATTTTCCAAATCTTCAAGCTCTGGGTCCCTTTTTTTTTTTTTTTTTTTTTCAGTCTTTTGAGACAGAGTCTTGCTCTGTCACCCAGGCTGGAGTGCAGTGGTGCAATCTTGGCTCACTGCAAGCTCCGCCTCCTGGGTTCACACCATTCTCCTGCCTCAGCCTCTCAAGTAGCTGGGACTACAGGCGCCTGCCACCACGCCTGGCTAATTTTTTTTTTTTTTTGTATTTTTAGTAAAGACAGGGTTTCACCGTGTTAACCAGAATGGTCTCAATCTCCTGACCTCGTGATCCGCCTGCCTCGGTCTCCCAAAGTGCTGGGATTACAGGCATGAGCCACTGCGCCGGGCCCAAGCTCTGGGTCCTTTTTGATTAACAATTTTTTTCAATTTCTCTCTTCTCTCTCATTTTACTATAAGCAATAAAGAGAAACCAAACGACTCCTTTAACATTTTGCTTAGCAATGCCCTCAGCTAAACATCCAGTTTCATTGCTTGTAAGTTCTACCTTCAACAAAACACTAGAACAAAATTCAGCCAGGTTCTTTGCCACTTTGTAACAAGAATCACCTTTCCTCCAATTTCCAATAAACTCTTTCTCATTTTCAGCTGAAACCTCACCAGTATTACCTTTAGCAGCTGTATTTCTACCGACAGTCCTTTTAAGGCAATCTAGGCTTTTCCTAGCATGCACCTCAAAACTCCTCCAACCTCTACACATGAGCCAGTTCCAAAGCCACTTCTACAGTTTTAGCATTTGTTATGGCAACTCCCTGCTTCTCAACACAAAAATCTGTCTTAGTCATCTTGGGATGTCATAATGAAATACCATAGATGAAGTGGCTTAAGCCACAGAAATTAATTTTCTCACAGTTCTAGAAGCTGAAATTTCAAGTTCCAGCTGATTCAGTTTCTGGTCAGGGGCCTCTTCCTGCCGTACAGATGGCCACCTTCTCACTATGTCCTCACATGGACTTTCCTTGCTCTCTGTGTGTGTGTGTGTGTGTGTGTGCACGCGTGCGTGTGTGTGTGTGCACGCATGCGTGTGTGTGGAGAGAGAGACAGACAGACAGAGAGAAAACGTCTAGTGTCTCCTCTTATAAGGACACTAATCCTATCAGATCAGGGCCCCACCCTTTTGACTTCATTTAACCTTAATTACTTCCTTAGAGGCCCTGTCTCCAAATGCAGCCACACTGAAGGTTAGGTCTTCAACATATGAATTTGAGGAAACACAGACATTCACATTATATCATGGATTTATACTGATTCAAGAGTAATTGCAAATGGTTTGATCGGATGGTCGGGTACTTGGAAAGAACACGACTGGAGGATTAGAGACAAGGAAGTCTGGGAAAGTTATGTGGATGGAACTCAGCATGGGCAGACTGTGAAGATCTTTCTGTCCCATGGGATTGCTCATCAAAAGACATCGTTTGCGGATCAGAGGAGACTTTCAGTAGTCAGGAGGACCAAATAATACACTCTATCAATGTCAGTCAACATCTTTTCCCAGCCACCCCAGGGCTTGCTCAATGGACTCAGGGATAAACTGGTCATGGCAGTGGAGATGGAGCTGTGCATAAGCCCAACAATGTGGATGTTCCCTTACCAAGGCTGACCTGGCTATAGCTAAGTGAATGCTTAACTTGCCAACTGCAGAGATAAGCACCAACCCCCAATATACCACTCCCTGAGGGGACCTGTCAACCACCCCGTGGCAGGTTGATTACACTGGACCTCTTCTCTCCTGGAATCGGACAGCAATTGTTCTTGCTGGGATAGGCACACATTCTGGACAAGGATCTGGTTTCCCTGCCTGTGATGCCCATGCCTGCCCTTCACCACCAGTAGGCTCACAGAAGAATGCCCCATCCATCTTCAGAGCATTCTCAAGGGCATTCTGATTAAGGAATGTGTTTCTCAGCCAAGGAAGTACAGCAGTGGGTTAATGCTCTTGGGATTCATTGGTACTTCCACATACCCTATCGCCTGGAAATAAATGGTCTTATTGAAAGGTGGAATAGCTTCTTGAAGACCCAGTTGCAGCACCAGTTGGAAGGCAGTGTCCTGAAACCATGGGGTTCTGTGTCACAAGGTGCAGTATGTCCTTTGAATCAGAAATCATTACATGACATTGCCTTCTCCATGGCAAGAACTCACGAGTCTGGAAATCAAAGGGTAGAAGTAGAAGTGGTTCCTCTCTCCCTTACACCTAGTCACCCACTTATAGAATTTTTGCTTCCCATCCTGGCAACTTGGAGCTTTGTTGGTTTGGAAGTCTTAGGTCTGAATGGGAGAATGCTTATATCAGGGGACACATCGGTAGGATCATTGATTGGAAGATGAGAATGCCCTCCAGCTATTTTGGGCTATTTATACTATGGTACCAATTAGAAGAACAAGGATTTCAGCTTTCGTTTTTTTCTACTGACAGGAGCGATTAATTCCAGTTACCGGGGGAAACTGGTTTGCAGCTACACAATGGGGCAAGGAGAGTTATATCTGGAACTGAGAAGATTCTCTGGGGAACAGGAGAGTTTGGGGAGGGATGGGCAAGGGCAGCATCCTTAGCTCATGACTTGATGCCACCTACTCTGTTGACACCATGAATGACTCAAAATTAGGCCTGTCTCTGTAGCCATTTCTTTGTCTCTTTGACATGAGCCGGGTTCAGGATTTCCTGCCTCCAGCCCCAGCCCCGGCTCTTGGGCACCCTAGGTTTGGCCTTCCATGCCATGCTGCTTCACATGGTAAATATTGATGCTGCAGTATTTACAGAGACCTTCTTCCCCAGGACCCTCCTCCCCTGTGATCTATGCTTTCTCTTTCACTTACTCAAATTGAGCCCCACTCAATGTGGTTTCTGTTTCCAGTAATTTTCCCTCAGACTGCAGCTCTTTCCTTCTGGAATGAATTGTTTGCCGGATATTTCTGAGACTCTCAGGAATTTAAACTGTTCCACCCTCTCTGCTCCACCCAGATCCAGGCCCAGTTATCTTCACTGTGAGCCCCTGGGACTCCTCTTCCCTGCTCAGGATGCGCTCAGCTCTGATCAGGGTGTTGTCTTCATCTTTTGGGGGTGAGAATTTGTGGGTGACTTTTTTATTTTTGTGACCAAGTCCTGTTGTTGCTGGTTTGGCGTATTTGTCCATGTCCTCAGGTTTGATAGGTCTCCTGTCACCTAATTTGGTTGAAGAGGTTAGAGGTTAGAGGTGGGATTTTTGTTGTTGTTGGCTGAGGTGGTGGGTTTTTGGGGGGCTGCATCCTATCTGCTCTACTTGGTTGTCAGGAGAGGTTATAGGGAGATTGGGAAACCTACTGCCACCATGACCACATTGCCCTTGAGTTGGATTCTTAGTTGATTTTCTTTCTAAGGCCCTAATATATAGATTTTAAGGCTATGAATTTATCTTTAAATTCCGTTTTGGCTGAAGTCCACAGATTTTGGTAGATAAGGCTCTTATGTTGCTTTATTTTTAAAGATTGGTTCATTTCAGTTTTGGTTTCCTTTTAGACCCATGATACCTATTTTCTTTTTTTTTTTTTTTTTTTTGAGACGGAGTCTCGCTCTGTCGCCCAGGCTGGAGTGCAGTGGCGCAATCTCGGCTCACTGCAAGCTCCGCCTCCCGGGTTCACGCCATTCTCCTGCCTCAGCCTCCCAAGTAGCTGGGACTACAGGCGCCCGCCACTACGCCCGGCTAATTTTTTGTATTTTTAGTAGAGACGGGGTTTCACCGTTTTAGCCGGGATGGTCTCGATCTCCTGACCTCGTGATCCGCCCGCCTCGGCCTCCCAAAGTGCTGGGATTACAGGCGTGAGCCACCGCGCCCGGCCCATGATACCTATTTTCTAGATTGTGTTTTCCTTGGAGGTAGAGACGACATCTCTGTACATGGTTGTGTCTTTTGTAATTATTTAGTGTCAGAGCAGTAGGAAATGCTTGATATTTTTTGTTGTTGGAATGGAATGAAAATAGTGTTACACATTCCTGTTCTCTATCTGGTCCAGCATACAAACGAGACACAGCAGGAAAGAAGGAGTATTTAACATAGTACATCTGGGGTTCTTGGATCAAAATATGTTGTGATACTTCCAATTTAGGGTTAATTTGCCTAAGTATTATCTTTTTGTGGTGGTAACTCTCCCCCAGGAATATTGATTGGAATAATACATCTCTTTCTTTCCTTCCTTTCTTTCCTTTTCTTTTCTTTTCTTGTCTTTCTCTCTTTCTTTCTTCTTTCTCTCTCTTTTTTTCTTTCTTTTTTAACACAGGGTTTCCTCTGTCACCCAGGCTGGAGTGCACTGGTGCCATCTCAGCTCACTGCAACCTCTGCCTCCCGGGTTCAGGCAATTCTCCTGCCTCAGCCTCCCATGTAGCTGGGATTACAGGTGCCCACCACCACACCCAGCTAATTTTTATATTTTTTTGGTAGAGACAGGCTTTCATCATGTTGGCTGGGCTGGTCTCGAACTCCTGACTCAAATCTGCCCAACTCGGCCTCCCAAAGTGCTGGGATTAGAGCCAGCCAGCCCGGCAGGGATAATACATCTTTGAAGGATCAGCATATATTAATCAAATTGCCTTCCTTATAGCTGAATGTAACGTCACTGAGGGAATGAGAGTTTGGATGCCGATGAAGAAGAAATATTTTTGAAGCGTGGTTCAAAGCTGGAGAGGGCTGACTTGAGGAGCAGGAGTATCTAGAAATGTTTCCTAATCCTGACTACATCTTAGAATTCTTTGGAGGGGAGTGGTGGTTTCTAAAATACACCTAAGAGATTGTAATTTAATTGATTTCAGGTGGGGCCTGGGCACTAATAATTCAGAGGATGGAAGAAAGTAGAACAGCCTAGACTTAAGTGTATCCATTTTGCAGTTTTTTTCGAAGAGCTAGCGGTGGAGATGGCAGCTGCCTGGTACAGCACTGCGCCCTACCCATGGAGCATCTGAAAAAGTGGCAATGCATTCCTGTAGGTACATGGGAAACCAAGTGGCAGGAAAGGGGGCTACTTGGCAAAGATTGTTTGATAACACTGTGGGCTGGGCAGGAGCACTGAGCAGCAGATGGAACAGGAAGAAGCTTGCTGCAGTAGCCCAGGGAGAGGCAGCTTCAGCCACAGGCCCCCTGGGTTAGATTTTCTCCCCTTCTGCAACCTAGAGTGGCTCCCCTTCATGCTATTCCCAGGGCTGGGATAGCAGTGGCTGGGGCTGTTGTAACAAAGCACCACAAACTGGGTGGCGTCAACATAGTAATGTATTGTCTCACAGCTCTAGAGCTAGAAGTCTGAAATCACTGTGTCGGCTGGATTTGGGTTCCTCCTGAGGGCTGTGAGGGAAGGCTCTGTTCCAGGCCTCTCCCTTTTGTTTGTCAGGGGCCATCTTCTCTGGGTCTCTTCACATCATTTTCCTTTCTGCATGTTTTTTCCAGATACTCCCACACACACACTTTTTTTACAATCTTTTTTTTTGATATGGAGTCTTGCTCTGTCGCCCAGGCTGCAGAGCAATGGCATGATCTCAGCTCACTACAACCTCCACCTCCCAGGTTCAAGCGATTCTCCTGCCTCAGCCTCCCATGTAGCTGGGATTAGAGACACACACCACCACACTCACCTAATTTTTGTATTTTTTGGCAGAGAGGGGGTTTCACCATGTTGGCCAGGCTGGCCTTGAACTCCTGACCTCAAGTGATCTGCCTGCCCTGGCCTCCCAAAGTGCTGGATTACAGGCTTGAGCCACCGTGCCTGGCCCAGATTTCCCCTTTTTATAGGGACACCAGTCCTATTGGATTAGGGCCCATCCTAATGACTTTATTTTAACTTGATTCCTTTTGTAAAAATCATGTCTCCAAATAAGTCACATTCTGAGGTAGTGGGAGTTCAGAATTCAACATATGAATTTGAGCAGGACAGAATTTAACTCATAAGAGTTGACAAAGCCAGGTCTCTTTATTTCTTTGTTAGTACCTACAAATCACCAACACAAAATGGCTGCGTTCCCTCCCTAGGAGTTCTGACTGGGTCTTCCGGACTGACTTTCTGCTCTCCACAAGCAGCTCTCAGTTGATGCTTTCTCCTCTCTTACGCTGCCAAAATGTGTCCTGTAACCATTTCCAGTGTAGTCACATCATTCTTTTTTTTGTTATGCCCAATAGCTGAGTGACCTGGGTGGTCCAAAAATTCCCCTGAAGTCTTGTGACCTGGTCACGCAACACAGCCAGCAACGGCAGCAACCGCCCACCCTGGGAAAATCTGTCATTCCAGACTGCTTTAACTGAATCCTAGTTCATACACTTGTATGACTATGTATACCTGGAATTGCCCTTAGAGACTAAATATCCTAGAGGTGTTCAACCAGTTTTCACAAATACACTGTTTTTAGAGACAGGGTCTCAGTCTCTCTCCCAGGCTGTAGTGCAGTGATGCCATCGTGGCTCACTGCAGCTTTGAACTCCTGGTCTCAAGCAATCCTCCCACCTCGGCCTCCTGAGTAGCTGGGATAGCTGAGACAGCTGAGACTTCAGATGCACACCACCATGCCTGGCTAATTTTCTTTATTTTTTGGAGAGGCAGGGTCTTGCTATGCTGCTTAGTCTGGTCTTGAACTCCTGGCCTCAAGTGATTATCCTGCTTTGGCCTCCCAAAATTTTGGGATTATAGGTATGAGCCACCATGCCCAGTTCAAATAATCTCTTTTATTCAAATGAACTATTTGGTAAATCCTCAATGTAAAACAGGTAAAAAGAAATGAATGGACTAGGAGTTCCCATTTTTGTAATTTGTGGATGTTGCATGACTGTTGTGGAACCAATGGAGTACTTCCATGGAGCCCCGAGTTTCTCTGTCTCAGAGAAAACTGCAGATCTCTCCAAACTCCTTGGTTTGCAGGAAAGGAAATGGAACCCAAAGAAATGAAAAGAACGAGCCAAAAGCACTCACAGAGTGGAAGATCCAATGGGGAACTCTGGTATCTTGAAACCTAGACTAGTACTATCACAAGGGCCTGCCTCTGGCAGTCAGGACCTTAAAAAGAATGAGTTTACCATTGTTTTAGAAAGTATTTCTCGGCCAGGCGCGGTGGCTCATGCCTGTAATCCCAGCACTTTGGGAGGCCAAGGAGGGCGGATCATGAGGTCAGGAGATCTAGACCATCCTGGCTAACATGGTGAAACCCCATCTCTACTAAAAATACAAAAAATTAGCCAGGTGCAGTGGCGGGCGCCTGTAGTCCCAGCTACTCGGGAGGCTGAGGCAGGAGAATGGCGTGAACCCGGGAGGCGGAGCTTGCAGTGAGCTGAGATGGCGCCACTGCACTCCAGCCTGGGCGACAGAGCGAGACTCCATCTCAAAAAAAAAAAAAAAGAAAGTATTTCTCAAGTGAGTTCTGGACAGCATCTTGTAAGTAAGTATGATTCCCAAATAAATTCTGGAAAAGCTGTTCTATAATTCTCCATAGCTAACTCTCATAGCATATTAGTTGTACTTAAGGCTCAAAGATGTCCTGCAGCACAGAAAGCCACTTATCTTTGCTTATTCCAGTTTTTCCAAAAGTCTTAAAAAACAAAAACAAAAAGGTGTTACATTTTCCTAGGACTGCTTGCACTCTGCTTTGGAGCCCAGAAGAGTCTTCTCTTAAGATGTGAATCTCTACAGGGAGCAACTCAGTCATGCTAACAGTGGCTGTGAGATTTCAGGTATCATGACCTGCACCATTTCCTTTGCCTGGGAATTGCTGGCCAGCATCTCTGGCAGGTGCAAGGATGGAGGCAGATGAGCGAGGAATTGCAGTGTGGTAGAAATGAATGGTGCTGTCTTTAAATTGCCCCTTGGAGTTTTGTACTTCTTGTACCTTTTGGGAGAAGAGTAGCCTTCAAGAGCCTGGATGTGGCCAGTGGTCTGGGAGAGATTTCCTAGCCTATTCTTTCATTGTTTTGCCTCCTTTCTCTAATGCATGCCTACTTCCAAATCCTCCCTTCAAATGCTTGCTCCTCTCCATTCCTGCCAACACCTTTCTGAGCCTCTCATCGTTCTCCAGTGACCTCCAGGCAGAGCACTCTAAGGTCCGTCACCCTTATCTTCCCTGGACAGTTGGTGTATGTAAATGTGATTACCAGAATCTTTTGCAAGGATGAAGTTCCAACGCTCCAGCATGAGAATTTCCAACACTCCTTTAGAGTCTAGGAATAAACAAACCCAATTAAATTCACAGCCACCACCAGAGGGCACAGTGAGACTCATGCAGGAGTAAAGGATGTTGAATAGAGACTGCAAAAACTTACTCTTGAAATGCATTTATTTATTTATTTATTTATTTATTTATTTATTTATTTATTTTTATGTTCATAGCTGGTTCACATAGTCTTAGAAACAGGCAAAGTTTGAATCTAAAAACTGCAGAGTGAAATACTGTAGCTTTGGTCATTATTCGTGACTTCTTCATTACCTTTATTCCAAATTCAGTAGAATTCTCTTATAATTAGACTCATGCCACACCACTGCAGTTGTGCCCTGGGGACCTAATCCCAGCCTTTCATAGATGTGCAGGCAGAGTGTTCACAAGAAGTTCCCAGCCTTGTTCTCACAAACATGAATGCTAAGGAGGACTCCTTTATAATTAAGTTTCAACTATAAAGCAGGGCTGGGGAAAAATACGGTGTACAGTAGAGGCTGTTCTGGGTTGGCCTTCAGAAAATGGGACTCTGACTCCAGCTCTGATATGATTAACCATGTGAATCTCTGATGTAACAACAGTGAGAGTGGATGTTCATTGAGAACCTACTGTATGCCACCTACTGTGTGCCACCCTGGCACCTTATAAATATTATCACCATTCTTATGATAAAACTGCGAGACAGATATTTTCCCCTTTATTTAACAAATACGAAAACTGATGCTCAGAAATATTAAATGATGTGCTTAAAGACACACAGCCAGCAAGTGATGGAACCATGAAACCATTTCTAGGTGTGTTTGGCCATAAACCAGGTGATTTTTCATTACTTACACTTTTTCCACTTTTTGATGTTTCAGTTTCTGTACATTCTTTGTAATAAAATTCACTCCTGTCTTTCTGCTTATTCAGGCTTGGCTAACTGTTGTCACAATCTCAAACTCTCAGAGGTTGAATAAGATAAAAACCTTTCTTGTTTATGCATAAGTCCAATGCAAGTCAGACAGGGGCCTTTGCTCCAGGCAGTCATTCAGGCACCCAGTTTCCTTCCATCTTTTGGAGCTGCCATCTTCAGAATGTGGCTTTCAGGGTCTCCATGGATCAGAAAGGAGAGTCATATGAGAGATTTGTATGTGCCAGGCCTGGAAGTGGCACACATCACTTTCCATTTGTCTGAACTAGGTAATCCAGTCCTAACCTAATGGCAAATAGATTGGGAAATAACGTTGAGCCCTGGGTCCGGGAAGAAGAAGAGAAAATGGATATTGATGAACCTATCCCTCTCCACATCCCTATCTCATGAGATTGTGGTAAAGATAAAATAAAATAGTATCTGTCAGAGTACTTTACCAACAAGAGAGATGTGATAGTTTAAGCCTGGAGGGAAGGAGCTGTCAGAGAGAGATTGCAGATGGGGATATACATGAACAGCGATTATCATGGCCCAGTAAAGAGCTTGATCTATGTCCTGGGTTGAGGAATAAGGAAAAAGAGACTAGAGAAGCGTCACTCATCTCCCCAAATTTATGTAAGCCTTTCACTCTTTGGCTCACACTCTTATTTCTAGTATTCATTCATTTATTCACTCATTTATTCTCCAAAAAATTGTTACAATATCCTGGGCATTATGCCATGTGCTGGTGTGTGTGTATGTGTGTATGTGTGTGGGTAATGCCTCACGCTAAAGAAAATCTCCCTCTGGAGCTGGTGTCAATTCTAGGAAAGATGCATTGCTGTCTGCTCTAACACAGAAGCATTCCAATGTCATTGACTTGTCACCAGTTTGCTAGCTGGTGTACATGATGAAGGATGCCATTTCAAGGACTCAGCAATGGTCTTTTTTGCTAGTAGGTTGGGTACTCAGCAATCACAGTAAATAAATCAGAATCCCTGTTTTAGGACTTTTGTGTAAACTGTGTCCTTGTTACCTTGACCACTCTCTTCAAAGACACATTGAACAAATACTGAGATATCTGAGGGGAGAGATTGGATGACAAACGCACAGGATGGGCCACCCTGTCTAGATGGTGACTGAGAACCTCAAATGTGTATATGGCCTTCAGTCATCATTAATGTGTGACCCAAAGATCTATCCATGCACTTGGTGCCCACTTCCATAGGTCTATCTGCATTCTGCTTTCCCAGATTTCCTCAACTCTCATCTTCCAGTCTGTTCCTTCCAGGCCATTAGCCAGCTGGCTGAGCCATCTAATCCTACCATGAAGGAGTACACATCTATGCCTCAGGCCACATCCTTCCTCCACGTACAGCATATGATCAAGTATACTGGTTCCAGCTTGTCCCATTGGAAGAACCACCTCTTACCATTATCCTTCAGGGTCACTTTTGTTTGGGGCAACAATGCAGCAACAATCCCATTAAATCAACACTGAGTTCAGTGAGATGTCGGGTACTCCCAGGAGGCTATAAGTGTGGATCGATTGGGAGTCAGCAGTGCAGCAGAGAGGGGTGAAATGGGAGTCTGGACCATCTGTTTAAATAATTTACTTAATCTTTCTGGACCTGCTACAGGTTAGATCCAAATGTATCACTTCTGTTGCATGATAAATTACTGTTACATGTTTCCAAAAGTAGGACTCTATAGGTTAGATAACACCAACTCATAATGGAAACCAGACTGCATAGTAACAGGGTGCCCCATGGTCAGCTGCTCTGTCTCCACTAGGGTCCAGTAGTATGCCAGGAGCTACTTGCCAAACAAGATGGTTCTCTCCAGTAGTGCATGGCCTTATTCCAGAATCTGAGGGCTCTGTGCTGTGACTCTTCTATTTAAGGCTGCCACATCCTTATCCATTGCAGATGCCCCTAGCACACTGGATCTGTTGGTCACATGGCCCGAGAAACAGAATACCTGGAACCACAGCTTGGATTTGCTGCCCACACTCAACACTGGTGGCTTTCTGAGGCATCAGGGAACTGGGAGAGAAGTTTATACTATGTTGTCTTCAAAATCTAAAGAAACTGCAGCATGATGTCTCTCTTTAAAAAAAATTTATATGATAGTTTTATTGTTCAGATAATATATAAGATAGTATTATGGATTAGTATTTCTCAAATAAAAGAATATGATCTCTCTTTTACATTTATTTTATTTTATTTTTTAATTTTTATTCTGGGTTCAGGGATACATGTGCAGGTTTGCTATATAGATATGCTAAGTAAAGGTAAACTTCTTTGGTCTCACTCTACTGATGGATTGCCTGAGGCCGTGTTGATCTGCCCCAGTAAAGCTCCATATCCGGTGGCATGTGCCTGTAGTCCCAGCTACTTGGAAAGTGAGAGAATCACTTGAGCCTAGAAGTCCAAGGGTTCAGCCCAGGTAACAGTTAGACCTTATCTCTAAAAAAAAAAAAGAAATAAAAAATTTATATTTTGACCAGCAGCTGAAATGGAGTATTAAGCTTGCAGTATCCACTGCCAGAGGTGAGCTGATTGGGAATACAATAGGGACCAATACCTTCATCTCTCATATCTTGAATGGTAATGCTAATCTCTAAAATTCCTCCAGAAATGTGGCATTGCTTCTAATTTTTCTTGGAGGCTAGTATTGGGGATAGGAAAATGTCAAGAGCTTCCATTTGGCCTTTCAAGGGCTTCCATTTCTTCTCATAATAGTTCTCACTCCACAAATCAGGCCACTACTGTAAGGGATCTACCAGCTGGTAAGTATATGCTAATTATATCTATCCTAACTATATATTTGGGCACTGGGGAAATAACCACAGGGTGGGTTTGCAGATGCACTGGATCTTCTGTGAGAATGACTTTTGTCAGCACTTAGGGTTCTAGAATTCCATTCATAATGGGCTCTGGGTCTGTGAACTGACTTTGAGGCATAGGCCACAATTTTCCTTTGCAGTGGTTAATGTCAGTCTTCATTTGCCAGATTGAGATATTTTCTTGTTTGTATAAACCCAATAGCACCCTAATTGGTTGTCTACGCAACTCACTCCTTGGACTCTGTAATCTATTAATTACTGTCATAGCCCTGTGAACCAAAGCACTCTGACTGAACCTACCACTCTGGCTTGCTGCCTATCAAGTAATTATGTTTGCAGTGTGTGCCTTTGAAAGCCACCACTGAGCTTCTCCAAGATGCTGGTATCTTGCTCACCAATGCGCTTTCTAATGTCTGAGTGAAAAGTATGCCCTCTGGGTAGTAGGTTCTTGGTCTAAACATAAGAAGTCCCTGTATAATATTCCCAGTTCCCTGAGCCTTCTATTCTCTTCCTCAACACTATGCCAAAGTATTTCTGTGGTCTCCACTTTTTTTCTGTAGTTCCTTGTGGAGTCAAGGCCTCAGATATCCATCCTGGCAAACTATCCATGTGTTCTTGATACAAAACTAAATTATGAGTCATAAATGAGTTATCCCATGTCAACAAATACCCTACTATCCAGCTCTGTATTCGCCTCCCCTCTTTGGGCTACTACCCTCAATATTCACTTTATGTTCAGCAGTTCTTGCTAGGGTTTGTAACTCTTTTCTTATCTAGACAGTTTCACCCTGAAACAGGATTTTGCATCTGCACTTGAGCTTGCTGAGACCTGCCTCTGGCTCTCAGTCTGGAGAGAATGAGAGGTGGTGAAGGTTAGCTTTTCTTGAGGAGGACGGGCATCACCTTGGGAAGCCACTGCTTCAGGTGAGATTATTATACTGTACAACCAGCAAGTAGAGTCTAGTCTTCTCTGGCAAAGGTGAAGGTGTCACATCTTTGGGGAAGGAGGGCTTACAGGAATTTGGAGTTTCTAGATGCTCAGCTTCATCCACCTAATTGTCTCCATCCCAAGTCTGAGATTTCTACATTTTCCCTATCAGGACCCTAACTTGACATAGCATACTTGCCAAGGCTATGCATTTCATCTTCATGGCAGCTCCAAAACCCTTAGAATCAGATTCTGAACCTGATTTTCACACAGTTTTCCCTGATGTTGCAGGAAACAAAGACCTCCTTTAATATTGCCATAGAAGTCACCTGGCTTTTAGAGCCATTAATCAACTTCCTTGACCCTATCATTTATTTAAATGTCTTTAGTGCTGCCATTAGTAGCCATCCTAGTCCAAAAGCCTCATAGGTGACATTGCTTCTGTATTAGTCCATTTTCATACTGCTGATAAAGACATACCCGAGGTTGGACAGTTTACAAAAAAAAGAAGTTTAATCAACTTACAGTTCCAGGTGCCTGGTGAAGCCTCACAATCATGGCGGAAGGTGAAAGGCATATCTCACATGGTGGCAGACAAGCGAAGAGGGCTTGCGCAGAGAAACCCCACTTTTTAAAACCATCAGATCTTGTGACAGTTGTTCACTATCATGAGAACAGCATGGGAAAGAACTGCCCCTATGATTCAATTCCTCCCACCAGGCCCCTCCTACAACATGTGGGAATTCAAGATGAGATTTGGGTGGGGACACACCCAAACCATGTCAGCTTCTATACTGGTTGAAGGCCGTGGCCACTTAATCTTCCAATGCCTTGTCTTATGCCTGACCTGCACTTTATCCCAATTAACTACAGTGAAAATTGAAAAAATCACAAGTCTACCAAATGCCAAGGAGTTGTTACTGGCCATGTACTACCAGCAATGGAATACCTATTACTTTAAGACAAATGGGACATTCAACTCATAATTCCATCCTGATAATTGTTTTCTAGAATCACTCTTGGATGCAGAGCTTTAAGCAAGGATTAAAGTGCTGACACTGTATTTGCAAGGCATAAGAACAGGGAAATAAGCGTGGAAAAAAAAGGGAAGTGAGGCAAAGATACATGTAAAACAATGCAGTGTGTTACTGTGCTGGCCACTGCTTCATGATTAACCATGAGGAGGCATGTGATTCAATTGGCATGTGTGTTCATGCTGCATGGTGGATTTTCTCTAGAATTTCAAGGAGAAGCCAGTTCTCAGAGTTATCCACAGAAGGGAGAAATGAAGAGACATTTATTTTGTAGCTCTATTTTGTCTTCCATTTCTTAGCGGGTGCTAACACTCTTATCTTACATTATTTTGCTCCATAGCAGGTACTCAGAAAGCTAGAGGCCATGATCTAAGTGTAGCAATTTAGCCAAGTCTAGGAACAGAGGACAACTTGGTGTGGCAAATGGTATGTGTTGGTCATGTAGGCTTGTGCCTAATCTAGATTCTTGCCAGCATGGGGAAGTTGTTACAAGCAGTGGCAGCAGCATGGTTCAGGCAGAAATGTGGGAAGGAAGCCAGGGATGGTGACCCCAGAAAGCCAAAGTCTGTGTCAGACACATGATGCTGTGTCAGACACAGGATAACATGGACAAAGCAGGTTCATGTTACCCATTAAGACTTGCCTCACAGACTATCTAGCCAGCTCCAATTTGGGGCTTTACACATTATAAATTGGAACTTAAGTGTGCTAACATTGTCCATGCAAGCACTCATGTGTGCCCAGTTTTATGTAATAGCTCTGGTCCTGAAAAATATGGAAGAGCTCATGTTTCAAGAAGCCTGGTAGAAAACTGTTTTGTGAAAGTGTGGATTTCTTTGCCAATGTGAACAATAATGTTCTAATTTGGCAATAAGAGGAGTTTAGTTTCAACACAATAAATTTGAAGTTTCACACAACCCAATGTTGTATACTGTTCTAAAAAGTCTAATTTTAGCCAGGCACGGTAGCTCATGCCTGTAATCCCAGCACTTTGGGAGGCTGAGGCAGGTGGATCACTTGAGATCAGGAGTTCGAGACCAGCCTGGCCAACATGGTGAAACCCCATCTCTACTAAAAATACAAAAATTAGCTGGGAATGGTGTTGGACACCTGTAATCCCAGCTACTCAGGAGGCTGAGGCAGGAGAATCACTTGAACCCGGGAGGCGGAGGTTGCAGTGAGCTGAGATCGCGCCACTGCACTCCAGCCTGGGTGACAGAGGGAGACTCCATCTCAAAATAAATAAATCAATAAATAAATCAAATAAATAAATAGTCTAATTTGTTATTTGCCTTGGCCAGATTAAATTGTTACTCACTAGGGATAAAGCTAATGGCTTCTAGATATAGCACAGTCTCAAGCGAAGTTGACGGGCATGGACTTTTCACACGAGATGGTTCCTGGCTTGCAGCTCTAGACCAGGTTTTGTGGAGATCCTCAGGCCAGGAAAGCAACAGCAAGTTTCTTAACCTCTCTGGCTCCCAAGTGACTCTTCATTTTATTTCATGGAACAAATAAGGAAATATATGGAAAATTCTAATCAAAAATGCCAGGTACATATTATTATTTTGTCGTTATTGAGATAGAGTCTTGCTCTGTCACTCAGGCTGGAGTGCAGAGGCACGATCATAACTCACTGCAACCTTCACTCCTGGACTCCAGTGAAAGTTCCCTCCTCAGCCTCCCAAGTCGTTGGGATTACAGGCATGAGCCACCACACCCCGCATTTTGTTTCCTTTTTTTTTTTTTTTTTTTTGGAGACGATGGTCTTGCTGTGTTGCCCAGCCTGGTCTAGAACTCCTGGGCTCAAGCGATCCTCCCGCCTCTGCCTTTTGAGTAGCTGGAATTACAGGCCTGCACTACCATGCTTGGTCCTGGTACAGATTATTATTCAATATCACTTCTCCAGCATCAGTTTCACTCTCAGTAGACTCAGGTGCTGGTCCAGGTAGTAACAGCTAACACCCACTAAGCACTTCCTCTGTGCCGGGCACCATGCTCAGTGCTATAGGCGTTAAGCCCCTTTGAATCCTCATAGTAACCACGAGCTGGGCATTTTTATTTATCTATCAGAGAGCGCGAGTAACAGGCTCTAAGTCTGGTCTCTGGGATTCTGATGTTCTCTTTCCACCCACTGTGCTGCTTTGTTGGATCTTAGAGGGTCTCCCGACTCACTGTCGGCTTTAGCATGCCCTGTGATCTGAGAAGAGGGGAGGTGAGACACTACTGGAGGGGCACCGGGGTGATGGGCCAGGTGTGGAGATTGCCTGCAACTCAGTTCCCACAGCCTGGGGGTCAGCTGAAAGGAAACCCACAAAATATGTGTCAGTGTTCAGCCCAGGGACTCCGTTTTGGGGTGACAGGGAGCTGCCCTGCTGGGATTATCCCTACACAGTCATTTTAAGGAGGTTTCCAGCAACAGTACTCAAAGCTAACAGGGTATGTAACACCCAGAAATTACAATTTACCAGAAAATCCCAATCCCTGGGCATATTCTTCACAGTAGAGGTGTATTCAAAGGCTACTCAGCGCAGTGGGCATCTGACTCATCAAGCTCGCCCCGCTAACCAGTGCCCGTCCTTGTCCTTGCCTATCAGACAGCGCAGGGGCCAGGTGGGCCCAACTCCTTTTGCTTTCCTCTGGGTCAGGAGCCAGGGCGTCAGCCTCCCTGGGGGGTGACCATCATCTTCTGCGTTGGTTTGTGTTTATTGTGGGGAGGAGGCTGAAGGAAGGGTCTGGGCTGCAGGGGCCTGTGCCGTGGGATCTGATATTTGCCCTTGTCCTGGACATTCTCCCTTTCCCCTAATGAGCCAGCGTATCATCAGTAATATAGATGCAGAGCCCACTCCCTGGACTCACAAACCAGTAACTCACTCAGCTTCTCTGTGCCTCAGTTTCCTCATCTGTAAAACAGAAATCGCCACAGGACCGACTTCTTAGAATGGTGAGGATTAAATGAGCTGAGCTAGCAGAGAAGATTTAGAATATTTAGTGTCTGTCAAGTGAGCAGGGCTGTATACATTTAGCTATTATTATGCCATACCTTAGGCTCCTTCAGGGTGCTGAGACTAAGAAGTAGAAAGAAAAGCCACACCCCCTAAAAAGAGCTCTAGAATCTTAGAAAGTCAGAGCTGCAGGTGACCCTGTCCAAGCTCTGAGGCCTGGTGCTGTGTTAGCAACTGTTCCAGCATGAAAATCCAAACTATCATCTCTGGTCTTTCTCTGTGGTGACTTCATCTACTGAACCCCAAGTATGGCTCACATAGGGGACTGCATTCTGTCTGAGGCTCCCCTCACACAGCACTGCCCCCGACAGTTGCTAGAAGAGCTCCTAGATGAGTCATACTTGTGACAGCTTTTGGGTAGACCAGAAGCCTGTGCCCAAGGAGGGCTCCCACAGGTGAGTGGGGCTGCCTCACCCTCTGTTGCCTGCCTCTTCCCCCTGGGCAGGGCACCCTCAATAGGCTCTTTGTTCTCAGGACTCACCCCTGCTCCACCTAGTCTTTAACTGTCCCACAATCTGGGCTCAGGGCTTTACTTAAACCACCAAGCCCTTGCATCAAACCACAAGAAGAAAACCACACGCCTTTGGAATTGCTCAGTGCTCTCTTGTTTTTTTTCCCTTCCTTTCTTCTTCCCTCCAGCACACACACACACACACGCGCCCACACACACACACACACACACACAGCAGTTTTCCCATCAAGCAACTGTTTCCTGGTGTCATGAGACAGGCTGTCCAGGACTTGTTTTGGGAACGTGTGAACACAGGCGTAGCCATAGTCCTTACGACACTCAGGGGACCAGCCAGCCCCGTCTCTTGGGCCTGGGGCCCTCACCTCAGCTGCTGTTGGTGCTGTCTTGAAGCGCAGCAGACCTGGGACGGGAGCTGCCTTGCGTTTGTAGGCTCTCTGGACCAGGTGGCAGTAGCCCAGCCTTGAGCCCAGTGGTCTCGGTCAATGCCAGGCCTTGTGGACTTCTGGGTCCACTGAAGATCATGAGGTCAATGCTGGCAGCCTGGCCCCTTTGAGCTGCCCACACACAGTGGACTTCTGGCCCTGGGAACACAGGCTCCCCTGTCTGGGACTGTGGAGTCCTTGGCAGAGTGGGAAGGGGAAGGCAAAGTTGGTGAAGTGAGGGAAGGGTGAGGGTTCTATCAGTTTTTCTGGGCCCTCGGTCTGATTTCTCAGTGCAGATGAGGCAGCCCCAAAGTACCTTCCAAGAGAAAGGAGATGAAGCACCTTCAAAACACAAGTGTCCCAAGGCACCAGCCCTGCCATCACAGTGAGGATGAGAGATGGGCTCTTACAGGGTCACAGATTCCGATGCTTCCCAGGCCAGGCAGGTAATTCAACATGGAAAAGGCCAAACAGGTTATGCGGTACATGTTAAGAAAGACACTTAAATTAAAATGTTTTAATTTAAAAACATTATTTTAGGGCTGGGCACAGCACTTCGGGAGGCCGAGGTGGGAAGATGACTGGAGGCCAGTAGTTCGTGACCAGCCTGGGCAGCATAGCAAGACCCCACCTCTACAAAACACACACACACACACACACACACACACACACACACACACACACACATACACACACAAAACGTTCTTTTAGCTAAATAAAATGTATTTTTGATCAGATGCAGCCTCATGGCTGTGAGTTTCCAACCCTCTTCCCTACAATCCACAGTTCTGCTATTTAGAACTGTAGAATAAAGGTTCATAAAGAAAACTGTCAGAGTCCCTTAAGGGCTTAAAACACAGCACTGGCTTGGGCGCTGGTAGAGCTGTGGTTAAAAACACAGCCTTTGATGTCCAGCTCTGATAAGCATTTCTCATTGGCTTCATTTTAGCTGTATGAGTATTGAACACGTTATTAAACCTTGCTAAGTTTCAGTTTCCTCCTCTGTAAAATGGGGAGTCTATCTTTTAGCATAATGAGGCACCTCACATAGTAGGTGAAGCTTAATAAATGACCGCTGTGATGTGCTGCACCCACTTCCCCTAACCCCACACAAGGAGCTGGATGCCTTTTGCTGAATAGCAATGGTTCGGTGGACTGAGGGTTAATGCTTCTGTGGCTCTGGTCTGTGGCAAGAGGGGGTGTGGAAGTCAGAGCCAAGGTCAGACCTTCACAGGCCATTTCCCTGTGAACACAGAACAAATACTCTCTTTGCAGCTGGGCTGTTCATTTTAAATTCAGCAAAGGAGGGCTCGTTGGGGAAGTTTTGCCCTGGAGTCTTGGAATTTCTCACCAGATCTCTAGTGTTCACTTCCAGCTGCTCCCACTTTGCCCACCTTAGTAAGCAGTGGCCCATTTGCCCTTGATCTTAGCAAAAGAAGCAGATCTGCCCAACACCATGGCGTCTGGGGGTGGGGAACCCATCCGTGGCAGTGCCTTGGAGGCGTTTGAGAGAGGGGTTGGGCTAGGCTTCCTGAAATCGCCTTCTCCCACAGGGCTGTGCACATGAACTTGCAGACTCCTTGAAGGTGGAAGCGACCTGGTCTCTCTGGATCGCCACAACTCTGAGCACAGCACCTTGGATAAACAATGTGCTTAATGCATGCTGGAATCATTCTATGAAATCTAGACTTGAAAGCAGAAAAACAGGGACAGAATTTTCACTTTTTAAAAAGAAATGTTCATTTTATAAAACGTTTCCCCACTGAAGCCCTTAAGTAGAAACTTCCTTAATTACCCAAAATGAATTTTTGAGTAGCTCAAACCTAAGCTGATGGGCTGAATTGCCCTGTCCTGTCGCTGGCTCCTTCCTTTCCCCACCACCTCTCTAAATTCAATCCCATCCACCCTCAAGCACAGTGAGTATTGTTGAGACTTGCTTTACAGACACCCTGTTCAGTGCTGTGAACATGATCTCATTCCATCACCATGGCCACGGCATGGCCAGATATATTATTTTCCTTCTTTTATAGATGAGAAAATACAGGCTTGGATAATTCAAAACTACTTGTTCATAGGAATAGCAGAGTCAAGACCCAAAACCCAGCCTCAGGGCCAAACCAATGCTCAGAAATGTCTCTAAGGAAACCCCAACTCCAAAAAAGTCTTCCTGACCTTCCCCACCTCTCCTAGACAGACAGGAATGTCCCGTCTCTCTGGTTTCTGGTGCTCTCCTGGTCTTCTCGGACGGACGTTCTGCCCTGGGGGCAGCCACCTGGGTGTTTGCTGCCTCACCCTTCTGCCGCCCTTTCTCCCCAACTGCTCACGCTGGATTGGAATTGCCTGGAGAGTGAGCAACAGGTCTAAGTCCCCTTTGCATTCCCAGCAGTGCCAGGCTCGGTGCCAGCCCCCAGGGGGCTCTCTGGGTATTTCAGTTCATTTGATATATTATTTGTCCCAGAAGAAGGCACTGAGGCCCTCCAAGGAAGAGGCTGACAGGCCTCAGACAACCCCAGAGGTCTCCAGGGGAGCTCAGGCCGTTCTGTTCTAGCCTGGGCAACACTGGAAGCTGCCCTCTCTAGGGCTGTTCCACTCCCTGAGAAGATCTAGGAACAGGCAGGGAGGCTCCCAAATTGCCTCATGGTTCCACAGCCTCCGGCGCGTTCCACCTCCCTGGGCCCTAAGGAGCTGAGGCCCCAGACAGCCCCTTGGGCATGATCCTGGCCACTGGCCATCCCCCCATCTGCCCTCTCTCAGCCAGTGCCACCCACTCTTCTGGGCTGTGGGCCTGATACTGCTTCCTGCATTCCTGCTTACAGACCTGCTGAAATAGAATGAACAGAGTCCAGCCAGTCCTCAGCCTGATCACAGCAGGCCTGTCTGAGCATGTGACCTCTCTTCTTCCCCTTTCTTTGTCAGTCAAGCAGAGGTAATAACAATAATTAACCTGGAGCCCCTGATGGGTCCTCCTGGACCTCACACCCAAGGTCTCCCTGGATTATGCTAACAGTCCCAAATAGAAAATGAAGGTTGTTATTATTGTTCTCATTGTACGCCCAAAGGAACTGAGGCTTAAACTAGGTAAAGACAGAGGCACAGAGACAGCCTGGAGCATCCACCAGAGACAGGGACCTTGGGGTGGGGAGAGCTTGCCTGTGCTGAGAGCTAGGAGTGTCTTGTCCCCAGGCTGGCAGTGTGGGGCTTTGCAGCCTATCTTGGCAGGCACCAGAGCACTCCTGGAAGAGGAAGGGGTGGCAGGGACAAAAGCTACAGGGCTGGGATGAAGGTATCCCTGCCTGATCACCTGCCCCAGATCCTACCCAGGGACCCCCTATTACGTACGAGGCATGGGAGGTAAATGGCTCCCCCAGCTCTGCCCCAGACCAGCTCACAGCTGCTGTCTGGGCTGGATGAGCTTGGCAGCCAGTTCCTAGAGGGGTCTCTTGCCAGCAGCACCTATATCATCTAGTGAACCTAAAGGCACATTCCTGTAGAGTGCAGACTGAAGACGGACATCTGAGCTGCTGCCTTGACTTTCCTGTTCTGTGTCTCTTTTCTCATTTTGTTGGGGGGAGGGGTGTGGCCAGAAGAAAGGGGTAGGAGAGGTATAGACAGGATGAAGGGGTACTGTTATGCTTCTCTCTGCTGTTGCGGCCCTGCATTTGGAATATTCCCAGTGATACAGGACGGGGCCAGGGAAATGCTGGGAAGGGAAGGACATGGTCCCTGGCAAGGGCTCCACCCCCAGGCCTGTGCCAACGGACCTAGGTGAGGACAGGCATTTCTGTTTTCATGCCCAAATGTTGTATTTCCCAAGACCACCCTGGCCCGCCATGCCCCCATCCTGTGCCTATAAAACCCAGAGACCTGGCTGGGTGCGGTGGCTCACACCTGTAATCCTAGCACTTTGGGAGGCCGAGGCAGGTGGATCACGAGGTCAGGAGATCGAGACCATCCTGTAACATAGTGAAACCCTGTCTCTACTAAATATACAAAAAAAATTAGCCAGGCGTGGTGGCGGGCGCCTGTAGTCTCAGCTATTTTGGGAGGCTGAGGCAGGAGAATGGCGTGAACCTGGGAGGCGGAGCTTGCAGTGAGCCAAGATCGCGCCACTGCACTCCAGCCTGGGCAACAGAGCGAGACTCCGTCTCAAAAAAAAAAAAAAAAAAAAAAATCCCAGAGACCCTAGCCGGTAGAGACACAAGCAGCTGGACTTCGAGAGGAGTGGAAGAACACACTGACAAGCACCAGCAGACACCAGCAGGCCAACGACCAGCGGAACAAGGCACAGTTAGCCCAAGGGTAGTTGGAAGAGAGCCTGGCCGCCAAGCGGCCTGACTCCAGGGGAAAACCACCTGCCCACCCCATCTCCCTTCTGGCTCCCCCATCTGCTGAGAGCTACTGCCACTCAATAAAACCTTGCACTCATTCTCCAAGCCCACATGTGATCTGATTCTTCCGATACACCAAGGCAAGAAGCCCCAGGATGCAGAAAGTCCTCTGTCCTTGAGATAAGGCAGGGGGTCTAATTGAGCGGATTAACACAAGCTGCCTACAGATGGCTAAACTGAAAGAGCACCCTGTAACACATGCCCACTGGGCTTCAGCAGCAAACATTTACTCCTAGATGCTGCCATGAGGTTGGAGCCCCACAGCCTTCCTGTCTGCATGCTACCCCTAGAGGTGTGAGCAGTGGGGCACTGAAGAAGCGAGCCACACCTCCATCGCACTCCCTGAGAGGGGAACAAGGGAACTTTTCCTGTTTCACCAGTTCAAACTACCTATGGATCAGAAGCTCCAGGAGAAATGAAATTTTACAACTCTGGGAACCCACTGCCCACCAAGATAGATGAGCCTTGTGGGGCCTCCACACAGCCCAGCCCATGCTCTGAATTAGGCGCCTCCTTTCCTGAAGACCCTGCCTCCTTCCCAGATGCCACTCTACCCATCCATCCTCACATGAGTCATGTGTCAGCCATGAGGGGCTGTGCTGGAATCCTCCCAGCTCTGCTGCATGGAGGTGACTCTCACTATACATCTTGGGTGTGACAGGCCTTCAGAATGAACTTGACAGGGCTTGGTGGCTGTCTGAGACTTAGAATCCTTTCACTTATGCAGAATCTTAGGCTGCAGAATCTAGCTGAGCAGATGCGGCCATTTTTGCTTAGGGCCCCTTCTGCATACATTTCCTCTACACTTAGGGTCTTGGATGTCCCAGTCTTGCGGGCTACGGAATACTAACTAGTGGATGTGAGGTATTCATTTCTATCCAACATATATTTATGAGGAGTCTGCCACTGTACTGGGATCTGAGGATGCAAAGGTGGTCCCTGCATAGGTATATGGCTGGGGCAGACCCAGAAGCCAGGCGGCAAGCATACCCTCTCTGTTATGCCCCTGGGTGGCCTTTCCTGTAATTAACAATGAGAGGATTAACCATGAGAACTCCACCAGGGTGCTAGAGCACAGTAAAGGGCTAGTGGGATGTTAATCAGTCACTCCTTCTGAGACTTTCTGAATTGGTTCAATTTTGAGAACCCAACTCAAATACCATCTTTGCTGTGACACCTTCCTCCCATTCATTCCTTTAGCCAGCAAGTAGTTAGAGAATGCTAAAACTGATAGGTATTGGTAAAAGGACAAAGGAGTGTGGAACACGGCTGTGTACATCTAGGATATTGCATTCTAGTAGGGGAGACTCCTTTATTCTCCACAGATTGATTGAGGGCCCACCGTGGTCTAGGCATTGTGCTAGACACAGGGCATATGGCAACGACCCAGACCAACAGGGGTCCTCCCCTCCCGGTGCGTTAGACCTGGTGAGGGACACAAACATGTTGCAGCTAGCCCCACTGGTTGTGACCATCGTGGCATCATGGAGGGATGGAGTGCAGGGGGTGATAGAGCACACAGAAAAGCTTCCACACCCTGGCCAGAGCAGGTGTCCCCGAGGGAGTGATTCCATCTGTGCCCAAATATACACTCAAAGGTGGCCACAGCTCAGTACCACCCAGGGGTGCGATTAGTGCAATAGGAACTGCGAAGGGGAGATCCTCTCCAGCTGCGCAGAAGGCTTCCTGGAAGAAGTAGGCACTGAGTTGAGCATTCAAGCTTCCTGAATGACTGTAATCTACCCATGTCTGGAACTGAAAAGGCACTCCCAGCAGTCTCATCAAGTTAACTCAGTTGTTCATGCTGCGACTACATCATTGTGCTCCATTCTGCTCTGTTGCCTGTGTCCCCTGTGCCCCTCAGCATCATAACCCTCTTGAAGCCTCTGGGGACTGAGGCTTCCTGTATCCCCTTGGATCAGCTTGGTGGTGGGGAGTGGACAAAGTGCACAGCCTGGGAGGTTGGGTCCACGAGCAGATGTTCCTCAACACCCTTTTATGTCCCTCTCCAGGACACACTGTACCCAAGGAAAATCAGTGCAGTTTCTTGGGGGGAGGGATTTTTAAGTGGGTTTGGTAAAAGCAGAGTCCAGGCTCTGCCCCAGAAGGATCTTTAAATAGAGCAGAGGAACACTGTCAGGAGAGAATTCGCTTACGCTTTCTATTATTCATTTATATTGGGAACATTAACGGAATTAAGCTTTGAATAAAAAGGACTCTATTTTCAGAATAGTCCTGAGGACAATTAAAGGGCGGCATTTCCCTCCAGAGAGCTGCCATCAAACCATATGGCTTCATTTTGGAAGCCACCAAGTGTTCAAGTAATGTGGTGTAGAAATAAAAAGTGAAAAGAGGTGCTCCTGCCTGCAGCGGGAGAGAACTCAGGCTGGCCACCCAGCCTGTTGTGACTTCATCCTGCCTGGGGCCAATTCCCAGGTGCCTGGAGGTAGAAAGGTGGGCAGTGGTGGTGTAGGGAGCCTGGAGTGCTGTCTCCCTTACTGGAGGTCTTTTAGATGGTGCCTCCAGTTTTTAGGTTAAGAGACGTCTTTCCTGGATGTTCCTTGCCAAAGCTATTTCCTCTGTTAGGCAAGCCAGCATCCTTCACAGATCCACACTGATTTTGAGCACCTATTTCATGACCAACAGAGTTCTAGGAGCTGGAGACACAGCAGGGAGCAAAACAAAACACCTGTTCACACCGCACGTCGGGGAGGCAGACAGTTAGCCAAGTCAAATCTGCACGTACGGGTTAGTGATGGCAAGGCCACTGAGAAACATAAAGCAGACCAGGGGATAGAGAGCGATGGGGCAGTGTTCTGTCACCTGCGGGGAAGTCAGGGAAGGCCCCTCTCATTATGAGACCCTTGGGCAGAAGCCTGAAGGAGGCAAGGCTGACCAGGCAGCTCTGAGGGAAGTGCTCCCGGCCAAGGGAACAGCAAAGGCAAAGGCCCTATATTAGTCCGTTCTCACACTGCTGTAAAGAACCACCTGAGACTAGGTAGTTTAGGAAAAGGTTTAATTGACACATAGTTCTACAGGCTGTACAGGAAGCATGACTGGGAGGCCTCAGGAAACTTACAGTCATGGTGGAAGGAGGAGGGGAAGCAAGTATGTCTTACGATGGCAAAGCAGGAGAGAGAGCGAAGAGGGAAGTGCCACACTTTCAAACAACCACTTCTTCTGAGAACTCCCTCACTATCACCAGATTGGCAAGGGGGAAGTCGGCCTCTATAATCCAATCACCTCTCACCAGGCCCCTCCCCTGACATGTGGGGATTACAGTTCGAGGTGAGGTTTGGATGGGGACACAGAGCCAAACCATATCAGGCCCCAAGGCAAGAGAGGGCTGGCATCCTGGAAGAGGGAGCTGGGAGCAGCCACAGAGGTGTGTGTGTGGGGGTGGGTGGTGTGGCGTGGGGGGTGGGAGTGGTGGGAGCTGAGGTCAGGCTGTAGGACCTGGCAACCTGTGCAGAACACCTTGGATTTTACTCTCAGTGGCATGGGAAGCCATTGGAAGGCTCTGAGCAGAGGAGAGACATGATCTGATGGGTGCTTTACAATATCACTCATCAGCCATCATCACCTTGGGTGCTGCATGAAATGAGACTTGAGAGAAGGGCAGGGGCTGGAGCATGAAGAGTGTTAGAGGCCAGATGAGGGAGCTGGGCCTTCATCATGAGGTCAATGGAGAGCCATGGAGGAGTTTAGAGGAAGGAGTTAGTCCTCATCCTTATCTTGGAATAGAAGGCTCTAAGCACAGAGAAGTGAGGTCACCCTTCCCGGAACACACATAACTGGATAAGGTGGCTCTGGGATGGAAACTGAGGTCTTCAGATTCCTATCCTCGTTACTATGAGCTTTCTCCTGAATAACAACAGGAGACATTTACTGGGCATTTTCTCAGATACCAACCCACTTATCTTTCAAAACAACCCTGGAGGTAGGCAATATTATGACTCTCATTTTACAGACAAGGACCCCAAGGCACAAAGGGGTTAAGGAACTTGTCTGAGGTTACATGGCTAGAAAGTGGTAGAGCCGGGATTGGAACCCAGGCAGCCTGGATCAGGAGTCCGTGGAGTCAACCAGTGTGCTCCAGGGCCTTGCTAAGTCCTCCAGCCATGTGAATAGATGGGTGGGAGAACCGGGACTAGTTTCTACGGTGTTTGCGGAGCCGAGTCAGCTCTGTACCTGCCTGTACTCAGACCCCCATACTTTTCCTGCATCCTTAGTCCATTCCCACTGAGACCCCCACTGCAGTAGACATCGAAGGAACAAGAAGCGCAGCGGAAAATTAGACGCAAGAATTGCCTCCCCAGGAAGATATTCAAAGCTGCTTCTTAACTTGTTGCGCCCCCAGATCCCTCAGATCTTGAGTGCCCTGGGGAGCCGCCGTGCCCTCTCGGCCATAAGCAGAACACAGAGCGGCGGCCTCTTGTGCGGTTTGATCATGTGAACCATCCCGGTTGAAAAAATGAAGGGTATCGAATTAGGAATGAAAATGATTCTTTCCCCAAGCTCTGAATGCACTCCAAAATCCCTAGGGGGAGGCTTGGGTTTGTGTTGGCAAAGGAGGAGCTGGTGGAAATGTCTGCAACTCAGTCTCACGCTTCCTCCTTCTCCCTGACTGATTGCCTTAACAGGCGCCGAGGCTCTCCAGCCGACAGGCCACCAGAGGGCACCCACAGACAGGGCTGGCAGTCTCGGGCGGGCAGGCGGGTTAGCGTCCTCTGAGAAGGCCGGGGTCGGATGTCGTGGCACTGCAGAGAGAAAAGCATACACAGGAGCCGAAACACACTGAGCAGGCCCAGGACGCGAGAACGTGGATCTGGAGCCACACCCAGCCCGTGGCCTTCCCATGCAATGGCTGTGACAACTCTCCGGTTCTGTGGCCTATGCACCAAAACAATACCTGTGGGCTCTGTCTCAGTGTCAAACTGGGATTATGTTTTTGTTTCCAAGATTAATTTGAAAAAGGTGACTGGGCATGGTGGCTCACGCCTGTAATGCTAGCACTTTGGGAGGCTGAGGCAGGAGGATCCCTTGAGCCCAGGAGTTCAAGACCAGCCTGGGCAACATAGGGAGATCCTGTCTCTATTTAAAGTTTTTTTTTTTTTTTAATTTTGAAAAAATAATTTAAAAAGAAAAAAGAAAAAGGCAAGTCCTCTGTAGATGTGTAAAGACCACAGCTAGAAGTGACTACAGATACTACTTTATTAACCACCATGAGGGTCAACTGACCCAGGCCCCCAAAGTTAATTATCCAAACCCTGGCGACATTGGCTAGTGGTGGTTTTAGCCCAAACATACACATATGTACCCACATCTCCCATGTGTTTATCACACTGAATGAGAATTACCTCCTTATTTACATGGGGACCTGAAGAGCAGGAACCATATCCTGTGAATCTCTGTTCCCAGTTGAACTTTAATGTATGTCAAACATATATAGAACATTTGGTTCCATTTCTCCAGCAAAGCCTGGAAGACAAGAAACATGATGCTTTTGTGGATTCCAAGTAGAGAAAACCTTCCTGTTCTGTGGCCTGGGATTATTTCCAACTAGGCAGGTCCATGATTTTAGGACGGCGGTCAGCAAACTATATACCTAAGCCAAATCTGGTCCGTTGCCTGTTTTTGTAAGTAAAGTTTTATTGGAACACAGCTATGCACATTCATTTACTTACTATCTATGTCTGCTTTTGTGCTACAGCAGCAGGGTTAAGCAGTTGCAACAGAGACCATATTGCCCCACCTACACTGAATGTTTGCTCTCTGGCCCTTTACAGAAACAGTCTGCTGACCCCTGCTGGAGGAGGACACAATAGCAGCCTTGGGATGTGGCTGGCAGGAGAGCTCCTCCTTGCTTCACTGTGGTGATGGTGGGGCCAGCAGAGCCCCCAAGGGATGCTAGCCATGCCTTGGGTGTGCTATGGGTATGTGAAATCTGCTTCGTGGGGACAGCCTTGCTGAGAAGCCAAGGGTCCTGCACAAGTCCTTCCAGTTCTTGATACCCAGCTGCAGTGCTAGAGTACCTGTACCCTAGCACAGCCTGGGAGGGTCTGGACATCTTAGATCAGCTTCATTCTCTCTCTCTCTCTCTTTAAACATTAAAAAAAGAACATTTTATTGAGATATAATCCACACATTTAAAGCATAAACTTCAGTCCCTTATCTCTTAACCTACTTGTCTTGTGACTCTTTTCCCTTTCGTTTCCTTAAGCTACACCTGTATAAACTTGTTCCCTGCAAAGATTTCAGTGAATTTATTCACAATCAGGTGTAAGTGACGAATAATAGTAGGATCCCTAGAATCTCAGGATGACCCATCCCATGTTGTATGCTTTTGTCTCAGGTAGAGTTTTTCCCAAGTACACACTGGGATGGAGTTTGGGGTACAGAAGAAGACATCAAACAGGGAGGCAGACCAAACAAAGCCTTAGCCAGCCTAGCTCTTGCCTAGATGTCCAGGCTTCTGTGCTTGTCCAGACCTCTCTCAGTCACCAGATGCAAGTGCCCCAGGAGAGGAGGCTCCCTGCAGGGGAGGCCAACCCTGAAGAGCTGACCCTGGAGGCTTTCTGCGGACCACACTCCCCACAGCTGGATAGCGAGCCCTTCCCTGAAGGGGATCTAGAAGCTGTGTTTCCATGTGCACCTCACCCTTTTAAAGGATCCCATAACCCAGTGACCCTCCAGCACCCCACTGATAGGAGGACTCTCCCAGGACCAGGGCACCCTCTTTCTACAGAGGCAGCCCATCCCCATTTCACAAGGTGCTGGGCTTCCCTCTGCTGAGCTAAAATCTGCACTCCTAAAATGCAGGAGTGCTAGTCTAGGTTCTGCCCTTTGGAGCTACACAAATCAAAAACCCATTCCCATGATGACTATTGGGAGCATCTCCCAGCCCACTCCCATCCTGATCTCTCCATTCATTCCCCATGTGACATACGTCCGTGATCTCTGTCCAGATCATTGCTGTTTAGTCCAAATCCCTCTGACATATGGTTCCAGCTCTGAATGCAGTTCTCCAGGAGGCCTGCTTAGTGCTGAGACTAAGTCCTTCTTGCTCTGAAGGACACAGTCAAATCACAGTGTTGACTCAACTGAAGTTTACCAAAATCCTCAGCCACCAGCCACTGCTGATCCAAAGAGCCACGGACTGTCCTGCTGTAATTGACTCTCAGACACAAGTAAAGAATTTTGTATTTGTCTCAGTTTTTTTCTAACTTTTAGCCCCTTCCCAAGGGAATTTGCATTTTAACAGAAAAGGATGAATATCTGAGAAGGGATTCCTGGATGGATCAAAAGATGAATTTTCAGCCCTGGGTGTTCCTGCAAACACCCACAGATTAGTGCTTATTAGTGCTTCTTTTTTGTTTTTTTGTTTTTGTTTTTGTTTTTGTTTTTGTTTTGAGACGGAGTCTTGCTCTGTCACCCAGGCTGGAGTGCAGTGGCGTGACCTTGGCTCACTGCAACCTCCACCTCCTGGGTTCATGCCATTCTCCTGCCTCAGCATCCCAAGTAGCTGGGACTACAGGTGCCCACCACCACGCCTGGCTAATTTTTTTGTGTTTTTAGTAGAGATAGGGTTTCATCATGTTAGCCAGGATGGTCTCAATCTCCTGACTTCATGATCTGCCTGCCTCGGCCTCCCGAAGTGCTGGGATTACAGGCATGAGCCACCATGCCTGGCCAGATTAGTGCTTCTTAAACCCGTTTCAGGAGTATGTAGCAGTTCATTACAGGAAGCTCAAACAAGCTTCTTTTAGCAAGAAGCATCCTCCTGGAGGGTCACTTTATCCTAAGATTTGGGGACAAAAATTCCTATATTAAGCAACTCAGTAATAATATAGAAAAGAATGCAAAATATACATGAATTTCTAAGGGAAATTATTGACTTCAAAGACATTTCACACATCTTTTGGGATGCCTTAGGCCCACCCCTGGCCTCCCTGGAGGGGAGCAACATAGTCACTCTCTAGTTACAGAGTACTTGGTGTAGATAATGATGCTCTCCACCCTGGGCCAAAGTGGCCATGCATGGGCCAAGACATACACAAGATAACCAACCAAATAAGAACCAAACCCACACACTCCCTGCCAGTCTAGACAATGCAGTTTTGGAGGTAGAGGGTCCCTCACAGATCAGCTAGTCTGATTTTTTTGTTTTACAAAGATACTAACACCAAGAGCCAGAGAATGGAAATCATTTGCTCAAGATGGGGCAGATTTGTGGTCCCCTGAGTCTGAGTCTCCTTCATGGCATTTACTATGGGTAGTGCCAGGGAGGTGAAATTGGCTGGCTGTGAGGCTGAAACATGGTAGGTAGGCCCCTCGGGTTGCTGTTCCAGGAGATCATGGGGCCATGGGCATAATAGGCACAGGTAGAAGTTTCTGGCAGGAGTAGCTGCTGGAGAATCCACATACTTGATGTGCTGGGCAGCTCCCTGTGGGTTGAGTCAGCCTCAGCCAGCTACTAGGGATTCACCCTGGATCCATTCTCTTACGTGTGAGGCTGACATCAGAACCACTTTCTATGACTCCAAGAGAAAGCCACACTTCTTTCTCAACAGTTATTTCAGACATTGATTTTTTTCTCCCCCTGGTTGTTTCTCATGGAAAACAAGACTGCTTTCCCCCAAGTCCCAAGTGACTGCCTTCTTTGATCCTGCCCCTGGGGCTGTGTGTGTGACACCATCATTTGGCAAACAGTGAGAAAACAAAGAGAAAACCCAGAAGGGTTGGGGTTTCTAAAATCTAGGGCACAGTCCATCCCTTGAGAAGCAGCAAGTAATCTAGCTGAGTGAGAGAAGACCAACATGAATTTGAAAACAGTAAAAAACCATAAAGAAGGAAGGGTGGTTCAGGCTGTGATTGAGAGAATAGCTTAGAGGGGAGGGCTGGATGGGGACAGGAGTGATCAGGGAAACCTCGCTGGAGCTGCCATCTCCTGTCCTAGGTTTTGGGGCACCAGCACAAGAGTACCAGACTTGGAGGTGGGGGTGCACGTTTAAATTTGAGTTCACCCAAACGAATTTTGTAAGGGGGCCCATCTCCAGTTCTTCCTAAGTCCCCTCCCATGTTGTCCTCTATGCCCAGTGATTGTGTAAATCCCTCAGGAAAAGACTATCTCATCAGCATGCATTTTCTCAGATTGGCCCTGCTCTGCTGGCTTTTTCCCTACAGTTGTCTCTGTAGCTTCCCTTAGTCTCAGTTTCCCCATATGCGAACGAAAGAGATTTGTTCCCCTGCTCCTCTCTAAGAAGGTTGTGAAGATAAATGGCATCACAGGCTAGATCAATTCAACTCAAGCCCAGGGAAATATTGCACTGGGAAGCTTCATTCAAACTATTCTCCTCCAGTCTGTCAAGCATCGCTATCGAGACAGCTGGAGGAAGAATTTCAGATGGGGGGCTGGGCAAAGGGGTGGCACCCTTTGTATTCATTCATTCCACAAAAGAAAATATACTTGGATTCCAAGAAATGGAGGGAGCATAGCTCCAGGCAAGTGTGCAAGGGGGCCGCCTTGTCACCTTTCCTGAGTGTCCTGGGCCAGAGCAGCCGGTGGAGGACGTGGCACTTGGAACCAGCTCAGCTGCAAAGGCAGACCACAACCAAACCAGTAACTGCTTTTCCAGACACTGCACACAGCTTCGCCGGGCTGGAGAGTGTGAGGCAGCTGACAGACTGAGAAGGGCTTGCAGTTTCCAGCGCTCCGACCGGTGTCAGAAATCCTCAGAAGATTGATGGGCCTTTTCCAAAGAGGAGGCCAGAGCACTTTCAGGATGAGAGCCCGGGAGGAGCCGGGCTTTGGAGAACTTGGCACAGAGCTGCCTTTTGCCCCCAGGGACCTGGATCTGAGCGTGGTCCCAGAGTCTTGGCAGGAGGTCGTGTTTCAGTTGGCATCCTCTGCCGCGGTGGAGGAAGCCGACCACGGCCGGACATCCTGTGCCAGTTTGGGAGGGTTGGGAGCGCCTTTCAGAGAAGTCCCAAAACCCTGAGCACACGCAGTCACACTGCATTCATTCAGCACACAAGTGCTGTTTCTAAGGTCAGCACCAGATGTGACTTTAAAAGTGTACAAAAGGAACACAGATTTCAACAAGCGGAATCCTGCCTGGCCTTCAGCTTTAATGGAACAGCCCTCACAGGCCAACCTGGGTGGGTTTAAATTCATTTAAGCCACTTTCCTGACAGAGGGGTCTGACTACGGAGAACTCAGCCGAGGACTTGGAGCATTTCCTCCTGTAGTTAGATTCGGTGGAGGACTGGTGGGGCTGAGTCCTCAGCCCGATTAAGCAATGAATTGGGATTTGTTTCCCTGAGCCCAGGGGTGGCGGGGATGGGGTAAGGTTGTGGCAAGGTCCCTGGACTGGAGTCAGGCATTCTGTAATTGAGTCCTTCCTAGGATACTAACTAGCACATGACTGCAGGCCGTCAACCTCCTCGCTGTCCTATTCTGAGATTCCTCCAGCTTGAAAATTCGAAATGGGGGTGTTCCAACTATAAGCGAAGATTATATTTTTAATATGAGTGGAGGATTCCTGATGATCTCCAGTTAAAGGAAAGAGTTTTCTAAATCCATAGACTTTTGATTTCCCTTAAATTATTATGTAAATAGCAGATGTAAAGACAGTTCTAGTTGGAGTCAGGTAGGTAGGAAGAACTGAAATTCATTCAAATGAGCTTAAGAAAAAGGGAGTTTATTGGATCCTATGAAACCTAAGATGAGGCTGGGTCTTGCAGGGGCTGAAGCTGGAAGCTGGAAAGTTATCTGGAATGGAGATGGCCTGTCTGCTTCATTCTCTCTTTCTGTCCATTATGAGTTTCCTTTGTTTATCCAGAGTCCCTGTCACTCGTAAATGTCACAAGGCTTTGGCTTGTCATGATACTGACTTCTCCCTCCCTCTACTTTCCCTTAAAACCTCACCACTAGTGAACACAGCCTTGGGTCAGGTGTCCATCCTTGGTCTAATCAGCCTCTGTGGAGAAGGGGAGAGGTGTGGTACCTGTGCACTGGGCGGTTTCTCTAGAGAGGGCTGGGCTGGGAAGGGGCAGGTGCAAAAGCTATCTAGGACAAGAACATCTTGACCACTGCACCACCCTCTACTCTAGAAATTCTCTCTCTCTTTGGGTCCAGGGACTCCATATCCCATAACGCTTCTCTTTCTCTGGTGATTACTTTGACAGCTCCTTTGATGGTCTTTTCTTGCTATCTAGCCCTTTAGTTTTGATGTTCCCTAAGAACCTGTTCTTGATCATCTTTGCTTTATTAGGTCCTCAATAATCCAGGTCCTCAGTCCAGACACAAAGAATACGGTGGAGAACAAGACTGCCTCCATCGTCATAGGATTCACAGCCTAAAGAGAAAACAAGTGGTTTCAATCCATCATGACAAGCTCCATGATGGGAAGTGGGGAGAGGGTCTCGAGAGCACATATCAGGGAACTTAATTCCACCCACCAAGGACTCCCCAAGTATGTTTCCAGCTCCAATTCTCTTTTGACCTGCATTTGTCACTGTACTTATTGGACATCTCCATCTACCAGTTCTGCAGCAGTGTTAGATCTAAAATATCCACAATGGAAACAATTGTTACCCACCTAGAGCTGTTAAGCCTGTATTACTTATAGCTATTAACATTGGCACATCCTTCCAGGCTCCAAGGCTGGATACCTGGGAGTCCATTGACATCTCTTTTCTCTGATCATCGAAATCCAATGAGTTGTTAGGTCTTGTCAAGTTGCCCTCAGTGATGTCTGCAGGACCCAGTCTTCCCCTACATCCCCACCACCATTTCTGGTTCAAACACACGTTGTCTCTTCTCCTTGGTGTTGCAATAGTCTCCAGTTGTTCCCCTTAGCTGGATTCTCACCTCCCACTTCTCAGTCTATCAACAACACAGCACCCACAGTGAAGCTTAATTTTTCTGGGGGAAAAAAAAGAAACAAACTCTTTTTCCTCTTACTATATACTCTCAGAACACAGGATGCTTCCCCTGCGGTCACCAAAATGTGTGTGGGGTTTTTCCCATCAACTAATCAATTCTGTAGCCACACCAGCTAGGTGTCCTATAATTTAACTCAACTCTGACAATTCCTGGAGACAGTGTCAGATCCCACAGGTTAGGGCTTGGTCCCACAGGACTGCCCCTTACCTTAAGGGGCCAGACACAAGCCCCAGATTGTGATCTGTGCTTCTGACCGACTGGTTATAAATCTCACTACCCCCTCCTTGGGTTCAATTAATTTGCTAGGATGACTCATAGAACTCAAGGAAACACTTTACTTACATTAACCCATTTATTATAAATGATTTTACAAAGGATACAGAAGAAGATGGAAGAGATGTATGGAGCAAGATATGTGGGAAGGGGCACCGAGCTTCCATGCCCTTTCCGGGGGTGCCACCCTCCAGACACCTCCACGTGCTCAGCTACCCAGAGCTCTCTGAACCCTGTTCTTTTGGGTTTTTATGGAGGCTTCATTACACAGGCTTGGTTGATTAAATCATTGCCCATTAGTTAGTGATCAACTCAACCTTCAGCCCCACTACCCTCTCTGGAGGTTTAGGGGGTGGGACTGAAGGTTCCAACCCTCCAATCACATGGTTGTTTCCCCTGGCAACCAGCCCCCATCCTGAGGCCATCCAAGAGCCCTTCAAGAGTTGCCTCATTAGAACAAAAGATGCTCCTATCACCCAAGAAATTTCAAAGGATTTAGGAGCTCTATGTCGATACTCCTGTCACTCAGGAAATTACAAAGGTCTTAGGAGTTCTATGTCAGAAATCATGGTCAAAGACCAATTATTAGAACAAATATTTTTCTAGTGCCCCATCTACAAGGGTTTTAGGAGCTGTGTGCCAGGAATCAGGGGCAGAGAATAAATGTATATTTCTTATTATATCACAATATCAAATTTTGCTTTTCTGTTTTTACTTATGTCTTAGTCTGTCCAGGCTGCTATGCCAAAATACTATAAACCAGGTGGCTCATATATTAACAGGTAGAAGCATTATTGGATTTATTTCTCAGTTTTGGAGGACGGGCGGTCTAAGATCAAGACACTAGCAGATTTGGTGTCTGGTGAAGTCCCACTTCCTGGCTCCTTGCCTTCTTGCTGTGTCCTTACATGGTGGAAGGGAGTAACCAGCTCTTGGGGGCCTCTGTTGTAAGGGCACTGATCCCAATCATGACCCCTTGTGGTCTAATCACCTCCCAAAGGCCCCACCTCCTAATACCATCACTTGGGGGGTGAAGACTTCAACACAGCAATTTGGAGGAAGACACAAATATTCAGACCATTGCAACCTAACTCTTACTCAGCTTCTAAAATCTGAAATCTTAGTATTTACTATCTGTTTTCACTTCTCCCTTAAAAAACAAAATAGAACATTAGAGATAACGTTAATTTTTCCATTTAGATAACCAGTCACCCCAATCCCATTTGTTTACAGCGTGTGCTTTCCCCGGTGTTTGCGAACTTTCGGGGCTCCATTTGTGTGTTGGGGTATCTTTGGCCCCTCTATTTGATTTTATTGGTGTGCTGCTTTCTTCTGTGCCAATACCATACTTCATTAACATTTTGTTTTCTACAAAGTCTTAATATCTGGTGAAGCAAGCCCTCTGCTATTTTATTATACAACTGCCTTGGCTATTCTTGTCTCTGTGTGTGTGTGAGAGAGTGTGTGTGTGTATGTGTGTGGAGCGTGAATGTTTCCTCAATTTTGGAGCAAGTTATGCACAACTTGGAAGATGGAGCGTACATGACAGAGCTGTGACATTTCAAAATATCAACCAGATGATAAATTCTGACCTGCACATTGCTGCTGTGCTTCATTAGCCAAAAAATACCTTTTACTTATGTGGCAATTTATAATTTCTCAGACCCAGTAGAGTGATAAGAGGCAGCATTATTGCCACCATTTAATTATTTCTTAATTTTATGTTAAAAGTTTTATATTTTAATCAAAGCATAGATTAAAAAGTCAGATCAGTTTACAAGCTTTGATATGAAAAACAGCAGCCCCCTACCTTTCCCTCCATTTCTTCCTTCCCAGGGGCAACCATTTCAGCTCTGATTATTTTGGTAATTACAGTCACATACCATGTAATGACGTTTTTTTGGTCAACGACAAGCCACATATGTGATGGTGGTCCCATAAGATTATAAAACTATATTTTGTTGTGCCTTTTCTATGTTTAGATACACGAAGACTTACCATTGTATTACATTTGCCTACAGTATTCAGTACAGTGACTTGCTGTACAGGTTTGTAGCCTGGGAGCAACAGGCTGTAACACGTAGCCTCAGTGTAGTAGGCTGTGCCACCTAGGTTTGTGTAAGTACACTCTATAATATTCACAAGTAACAAAATCGTCTAACCACACATTTCTCAGAATGTATTCCTATTGTTAGGCAACCCTTGACTGTATTTCCATGTCTCTGAATGATATGTTGAAACTTGCCTTGCTGCCTGTTAATTTTTCAATTGTAAGCTTTAAGCTTTATTTTTCTTAATTAATTTTTTTCTATGGAATCTCTCTCTGTCACCCAGGCTGGAGTGCCGTGGTGCGAATTTGGTTCACTGCAACCTCCACCTCCCAGGCTCAAGCGATTCTCATACCTCAGCCTCCTGAGTAGCTGGGACTACAGATGCGTACTACCACATCCAACTAATTTTTGTATTTTTAGTTGAGATAGGGCTTCACCATGTTGGCTAGGCTGGTCTCAAACTCCTGACCTCAAGTGATCCACCCGCCTTGGCCTTCCAAAATGCTGGGATTACAGGTGTGAGCCACACAGCCTGGCTAGCTTTGAGCTTTAAATATTAGTCTACTGTGGATTTCTCTGCCCCTCCGACTCATGTGCACCCTTCCCTTTCTCCATCCTGGCAATCTGGTTATGTCATAATTTTGGTTAGATCAAGCTTTGGGGTTAACATGAACATGACTGCATAAAAGCCCTGTTTACAGCCAAACCATGTAGTGAACCACGATGACTTTTTTTTCCACACAATTTTTTGTTTCTCCTGGAAGTAATGATTACCTTGCTTTTTTTGTTTGCTTGGTTCCTGTTTAGCTTACACATATCTAATTCAATCTGGAAGCCTTCATCAATTGTCTAATTCTTCCCTTTGCAATTATCTGGTGACAATTTCTTCTTCTAGGATATCTCCCCTGGAGATTTCTGATGTACTCCAACATGGACTGGAAGTCTCTATGCTGGGTGCACAGCTGTCACCCTGGGCCTTTCTTCCACCAGCAAAGCTCTTTCATGTTGGATCTCTGTGTCATGATCGTGTTACCTTCCAGTTTTGGGGACACTTGTCCTCAAGGAGCTTCCAGGAAAGGGGTGCATGGGAGGGAAATATTTTGAGACCTTCTATGTCTAAAAATATCTTTCTTCCCTTTTCTTGATTGATTGGAACTTTAGAGGATTGTGGAGTCCCAGACTGGAAGGATTTAAGCTTCAGAATTTTGACGGTTTTGACCAACATCTTCAAGCTTCCAATAGTGTGATTGAAAAGTCCAAGGCCTTTCTGAACTTTGAAAGCTTGTAGATTATTTTTTTCTTTGCAAAACACTTAAAATTGTAAAAGCATTCTAAAAACAATGTTTTTAAATTTAAATATTCTAAAACTTTATCATGTTATTTCATCCATTGTGCTGGGCACTTGATAGGTCCTTAAACCTGTTAACTCAACTCCTTCCATTTTGGAGGGCTTCCTTGTCTTCTTTCCTTCTTTTCTTCCTTCCTTCCTGCAATTCTTCTCCTCTATTTTCACTTCTGTTTCTTCCTGGAACTCCTCTAGTTTGTATATTGCAACTCCTGAGCTAGTCCTCTAATTTTCTTATCTTGCCTTTTCTATTTTCCATTTCTTTTTCTTTGCTGTCTTTTATCAACTTTGTCTTCGATTCTACTAAATCATTTCTATTATGATTATTTTCAATTCTCAAGAGTCCTTGTTTTTTCTCTGGATGTTCTTTTTCATAATAACCTCTCCTCACCCTATGGTTGCAACATCTTCTCTTATGTCTCTGAGGATATTAATTGTAGCATTTTTAGAGTTTTCTTCTTCCTGAATCATCTCAGTTTTCTCTAAGTTCAACTGGGCCTCTATTTTTCATATTGGTGGCTTTCCTTCCCTGTCTGAACATCTTTGATTTGTGTCCTTAAAGGGGCCTAAGTAGCTGATTGGAAGATCTGGGTATGTGAGTGGCGACTGTCCTGAGATGATCTGGCTAGGTCATCTTGGACATTTTCAATATCGGCACCTTTAGGTTTTTCCTTCCTGGGCTGATCAAATTGTTTCCTTCCCGTCCTCCTGGGTTCTGGAGAGCTGAAGGTTTCAGCTTCCAGTGCACACACACTCACTAATGCTCTGGTTTTCAGTGGGAGACCCTGCCCCCAACTCTTCCTGGTAGTCTCCAATCATGAAACCTCCTGTTTCATCCTCTCCAGAGAAGAAAATTGCAGTCATCTTTCATAATGGGAAGACATTTGGCTGTGCAGGTCTGGGAAGTTTTTTTGTTTGCTTTGTTTTTTATACTTTAAGTTCTTGGATACATGTGCAGAACGTGCAGGTTTGTTACATAGGTGTACACATGCCATGATAGTTTGCTGTACTCATCAACCCATCATCTACATTAGGTACTTCTCCTAATGCTGTCCCTCCCCTAGCCCCCCACCCCCTAACAGGCCCCCGTGTGTGATGTTCGCCTCCCTGTGTCCATGTGTTCTCATTGTTCAACTCCCACTTATGAGTGAGAACATGCCATGTTTGGTTTTCTGTTCCTGTGTTAGTTTGTTGAGAATGATGGTTTCCAGTTTCATCCATGTCCCTGCAAAGGACATGCACTCATCCTTTTTAATGGCTGCATAGTATTCCATGGTATATATGTGCCACATTTTCTTTATCCACTCTATCATTGATGAGTATTTGGGTTGGTTCCAAGTCTTTGCTGTTGTGAACAGTGCTGCAATACACATACACGTGCATGTGTCTTTGTAGTAGAACGATTTATAATTTTTGGGTATATACTCAGTAATGGGATGGCTGGGTCAAATGGTATTTCTAGTTCTAGATCCTTGAGGAATCCCCACACTGTCTTCCGCAATGGTTGAACTAGTTTACACTCCCACCAACAGTGTAAAGGTGTTCCTATTTCTCCACATCCTCTCCAGCATCTGTTGTTTCCTGACTTTTTAATGATGGCTATTCTAACTGGTGTGAGATGGTATCTCATTGTGGTTTTGAATTGCATTTCTCTAATGACCAGCGTTGATGAGCTTTTCTTCATGTTTGTTGGCTGCATAAATGTCTTCTTTTGAGAAGTGTCTGTTCATATCCTTCACCCACTTTTTGATGGGGTTGTTTTTTTCTTGTAAATTTGTTTAAGTTTTTTGTAGATTCTGGATATTAGCCCTTTATCAGATGGATAGATTGCAAAAATTCTCTCACATTCTGTAGGTTGCCTGTTCACTCTGATGAGAGTTTATTCTGCTGTGCAGAAGCTCTTTAGTTTAATTAGATCCCATTTGTCAATTGTGGCTTTTGTTGCAGTTGCTTTTGGTGTTTTAGTCATGAAGTCTTTGCCCATGCCTATATCCTGAATGTTTCCCCCAATATTTATTTTAGCCCAACCTTTGCCTTTATTTCCAGAGGTGACTGGTCTCACTGTCTCACTGTTTCCTGAGTCTCTTGAGAGGTCTATCATTTAATCACATCGCTTCCTGGTTTTCTCCATGTTGGCCTAGAACTTAGTTTTCACATATCTGCTAAGTTGCCAAGTTAGTCACCGCTGTTTCATCTGCTTTGTAGCTTCCAAAATTTTGTTGCTAGAATTCTGTCCTGTTCTTTCCATCTTTGTTTATAAAGTTAAAACATTGCTGTCATTTAGGATGAAGTGTGATTTAGGGAGGAAGTGAGAATGGAAGCCTTTATTCAATCTATTATCATTATCTTTAATCCACTGTCTTATTTATTTGTGCTTTCCTATGCATTTAAGGATGGGGTTATCCAATTCCACACACAAACGCATACACAAAACCAAAACTCCAACTTTCGAAATTTTTATAACAGTTTTAAAAATTATAGATTGTTTTGGGGAGAAATGGCATTTTTCACAATTTTAAATCTTTGCATCTATAAATAGGATATACCTCTCCATTTATTCAAGTTATTGTTTGTGATCAATAGGAATTTGTATGGTAGATTCTTTGTAAGGGTGGTCACAGTACCTGTCCTCATCCTAGGATGCACACCCCTTTGCACTGTTACTTAGTCACTCCTCCATCCCTTGAATCTGGTCTGGCCTTCAGGCTTGCTTTGATTAGGACGCTGCAGTGGAAATGTTATTGTGTATCTGTCTTAGTCCGTTTGTGCTGCTATAGCAAAATATCTGACACTGGGCAATTGACAAAAACCAGATATTTATTTCCCACCCTTCTGGAGGCTGAGAAGTCCAAGGTCAAGGTGCCCAGCAGGTTCCACGTCTGGTGAGGGCTGCTCCTTGCCTTCAAGATGGCACCTTGTTTCTGCACCCTATGGAGGGGACCAACACTGTGTTACATGGTGGAAAGAAGGAAGGGGCAAGCTCACACCCTTAATCCCTTTATAAGGCACTAATCCATTCATGAGAGCAGAGCCTTGGTGTTCTAATCACCCTTTAAAGGCCCCAAGACTTGGCTGGGCAAGGTGGCTCATGCCAGTAATCCTAGCACTTTGGGAGGCCAAGGTGGGTGGATCACTTCAGCCCAGGAGTTTGAGACCAGCCTGGCCAACTTGGTGAAACTCCATCTGTACTAAAAATACAAAAATCAGCCGGGCATGTTGGCATGCACCTGTAATCCCAGGTATTTGGGAGGCTGAGGCAGGAGAATCACTTGAACCCGGAAGGTGGAGGTTGCAGTGAGCTGAGATTGTGCCACTGCACTCCAGCCTGGGTGACAGAGCGAAACTTCATCTCAAAGAAAAAAAAAAAAGCCCCATGAAGTCCCCGTGTCTGAATACATCCCCTCCCTTTATTTATTTATTTATTTTTTTGAGATGGAGTCTCACTCTGTCACCCAGGCTGGAGTGCAGTGGAATTACAGGCGTGAGCCACTGCCCCAGGCCTGAAAACATCTTAATACCGTTGCATTGAGGATTAAGTTTCAACATGAGTTTTGGAGGGGACACAAACATTCAAACCGTGGCCTTACCCAGGATGCCTTGCAGCTTCTGCTTTTGCCTCTTGGAACTGTTCCATTGCTACGTGGTTGCAGAAGGCAACCCAGCCAACAGTCAGTACCAGCCACCAGATACATGAGTGACACCATCTTAGATCATACAGCCCATCGAGACAATAGGTAACTGCAGCTGCATGAGTGAGCCTTGGTGACACCAGCAAAAAAACCACCCCAGCTAAGCCTGGACCAGATTGCTGACCTGCAAGAACATGAGCAAATAAAATGGTTGTTGTTTTAGGCTGCAAAGTTTTAGGGTGGTTTGTTCCATAGCAATGGATAACTGCTGAGATGTGCACATTTCTTTGTGAGCTGCTTGCACATATTTCCCTTGTCAAATGTAGTTCTATTTTCCTTCTAAATTTGATTGCTCTAATGAATGGGTTCTTTTTCTCTACTACATTTTATAATTGTCAATTACCGATTTGTAGAAATGCACTAATTTTTATACTATTCTTCTATATAGCAAGTTTCCTGAACGAAATTTCTTATTTTTATAGTTCGATAGATTTTGTCTTGTTAACAAATTCTCTGCAATTCCTAGTTTGCCAAGACTTCTTTTTATTTATTATGAATTTAAAAAATCAAAGAATATTTGATGTTTATTTAATGGTTTTCCAGCACTTAAATGAGCATAATAATTAGCTAATATGGTGTAATTCATTAAAAGATTTTCTGATGATAAGTCAGCCTCACATTCCTGGATTAAAGCCTATTTAGTTATGTTATATTTTTCTTTATACACTGATATATTCAACTTATTACTCAGTTAATTCAGAACTATTGTGTCCGAGCCCATACATGAGCCTGATCTTTGCTTTTCATTCTTTGTATCGTCCTTGCTTTTGGAATGAAGGTCATATTAACCTCACATGATGAATTAGTTGGTTTTCTTACTTTTTCAGTGCCCTCAAAGAGCTTATATACGACAGTAATAATGTATTTCTCCAAGTTTAATAAAATTTATGTAAAACGACTTTGGCTTGTCATTGTCTTCTCCTCATTCTCCTCCTTCTTTTATATTTTGAAATGATTTTTAGACTAATGGAAAAATTGCAAAATGTTGCAGAGAATTCCCATAGACTCTTCACCCAAGCTGAGTCAGAATTTTTTCATGGAACACTACAGTTCCACGACACTACCCGAGGGAGTAAGCCTCCAGCCAGTTCCTTTAAGGAGCTCATTTCCTCCATCCTCAGGAGTCTTTAGATCCTCCTAATCCCACCCAACATTTTTAGAGACTTTGACTTCATGACTGCTTGTACTAACATGCAAGTGACTGGTAAAACAAACAAGCAAAAAAGCCCAGTATATTACTGAGTGATCCCTGAGCAGCTTCCATGGTCCCGATAGTACTGGGCTCTGTGTTGGCTGCAGTGAGGACCTGATACAGTCCCCAACTTCAAGGAACCTGCCATCTTCCTCTTGGAAGGCAGATCTGCACTCAGTGACAATACGAGGTGGAGTTCAAACTCTGTTACCTGAAAAGAGTGGATCAATGCTAATATGATCAGGGACGACAATTCTCAAAGCTGTTGGGAAGCTTTCATGGAACAGGGGGTTATTGGTGGGAGAAAGGGTGGGGCCATGAGGCAGGGGAGTGGAGAAAGACTCAGATCTGTGGCAGGCAGGTGGGATCCCAGAGGAAAGTGTGGATATGTCAGAGGACAGAGTGCTAGGGTAGGATGTGTGTGTGTGCTGCGGGGGTAGGGGAGTGGGGATGGAGAGGATGATGAAATGGAGCGAGTGACAGCAATGAACACAAACTTTCCTGCTGCACAGTTTTGCCCAGGGCCAGCCCTGGGCCTGTGAGCCATCTGGCAGGACCTGCAATTCTACATGCATAAAATTGTCTACTTTGCCTTCCCTTCCCTTCTCTCCCTTACTACCACCCATGGGTGTGTGTGTGATTGCAAGATGCAATTTACAAAATTAGATAATTCTCTCTGACCTCACCCTGTGCCGCCCTCCTGGTGGCCTTGTGATTTCACTGGTGACATGTTTGGAAAGCCCACGCAGTGCTGAGAGATGGCAGGGCCTTCAGAGCAGGAAACCCACAAGGGTTATGGATTCTTTTCCCTCTCTCTCCCCAACCTCAAGTCATCTCAGCAAGCATGTTATTGAGCACTGAGTGTGTGTGAGGTACTAGCCAGGTGTTGGAAGGAGACAATGAGGAAGAAAGGGTTGAATAAGAAGATGAACAAGATCTGATCCCTGTCCTCAATGTTCTCCTGGCTTTTTTTTTTTTTTTTTTGAGATGGAGTCTCACTCTGTTGCCCAGGCTGGAGTTCAATGGCACGATCTTGGCTCACTGCAACCTCCACCTCCCGAGTTCAAGCGATTCTCTAGCCTCAGCCTCCCGAGTAGGTGGGACTACAGGCGCCCGCCACCATGCCCGGCTAATTTTTGTATTTTTAGTAGAGATGGGGTTTCACCATATTGGCCAGGCTGATCTCAAACTCCTGACCTCAAGTGATCCACCCGCCTCAGCCTCCCAAAGTTCTGGGATTACAGGTGTGAGCCATCCCCACCTCCCCAGCCTGGCCTTTCTGAAGAAAGTGGTCATGTGTGTAGGGCACTTTCCAGTTATAAAGCACTTCCTTTTTGAACTTCACAATATTCCTCTGAAGGAGACAGGGAAGGTAAAATGATCCCATTTTACAGGTGAGGAAAGCAAGCAATATATTCAAGGTCATGCTGCTGGCAAGCAGGAGGCTCAGGGAAGAACTGGAGCTTCGAGTTCAGAACAGAGGGTTACCACGTCCCAGGCAGGAAGAACTGTTCAGATCGCGGCCTCCGAGGCTGTCCACAATCCACCATATCAATCTGGTAGAAAACTGCACTCCTTCTTCCATCGCACAATTGGCTTCGGGTGTTTCTTAGAGAAAGAAATTGAAAAGGCCAAAAAATGAGATATATAAATAAGGGGTTAATAAATAAGGGCTATAAGCACTAGGAAAATGACCATGTGCCTCTTTCTCTCTCTTTTTTCTCTTTGGCCTTGTACCTCCCCCAGTTTTTCCACATCCAGCATTTCCTGCAAGTCCTGCAACCTGTGAGATAATAGCCAACATTTATTGAGCTCCTACTCTTTGGCAGCCACTGTTCAGCCTTCCTCACTCGTAATACTTCAACTCATCTTCAATGACCCCCGTGAGGAAGGCACTTTATTGTCCCCATTTTGTAGTTGAGAAAACAGATAAGTTGTGCCACTTGCCCAAGGTCACACAGCTACTCAGTAGGGGAATCCAAATTTGAAACCCAGGTGGTCTTCCCTGGAGCCCAAGCCTTCAGCCCCATGTTGGCAAGGGCGGTAGCCCCTACTCACGGCAAGGTGAAAGGACTTGCTCGAGGCCCCATTATTAGTTAGCTCCGAACTGAGACTTCGCCTGGTCTTTGTGGGCGGAGCTCCTTTCCTTTCCTTCACACTACACCATTGCCAGAGGGAGAGGGTGTGGTGTGCCTGCAGCAGGCAGGCTCTTGCTCCAGCTTCGTGGGATGGGGAAGGCAGCTGGCTGGGAAGCATCATGAGGAGCAATGCAAAGTGGGTGTGGGGAGAGGGAGGGAAAGCAAATTGAACAGGTGTCTGCAGGCCTGCTGCTGCTGTGGTGGGTTCTGGGCTCTGCTAACACAGCTGGGTGATCAGGGGGCCATCTGACTCAGAGATCCAGCACTCCAACAGCTGTTATACTGGTTGTTGTGCAATTGTCTTGTGATTGTGGTATTGCTGCTGTGTAGCCTGGTTGGACAACTGATGCTTCAGCTTCATGCAAACTCTAGAATCAATAAAATATACTGGCATGTTTGTGCAGGAGAAATAGAGATTTCTTCCTGAATACGTTTTAGATTTATAGAAAATCTTCCCAAAGAAAAACTTCTCACTCCTTTTTTTTTTTTTTTTTTTTTTAGAAAGGGTCTTGTTCTACCACCTAAGCTGGAAGGCACTGGTGCAATCATAGCTCACTGCAGCCTTGATTTCCCAGGCTCAACGTTCCTCCTGCCTCAGCCTCCCCAGTAGCTTGGAATACAGATGCATGCCACCACACCCAGCTAATTTATTTTATATTTGTAGAGATGGGGGTCTCGCTATATTGTCCAGGATGGTCTTGAACTCCTGAGCTCAAGTGATTCTCCCACCTTGGCCTCCCAAAATGCTGGGATTAAGGGCATGAGCCACCACACCAGCCTCTACTAATTTTGAATTGTTAATTTTATCTAAAAGATAGAGAGCTTGGAGGAACAGAGAGAAGAAACAAGATGCCAGGATCCTGTTGCTATTGAATACCAAGTCTTCTGATTCCAGCATACGTCAGACAGAATGAGGCTTGCTCCATGGAGGAAAACCCTTACATTTTCCAGATGAGGAGAAGCATGGAGCAGTTTATTCACTAGAGCTAATGTTAAGTTGCTCATGAGACCAGGGCAAACAAACAAACAAACAAAAAATGATTAAACTACCAGAGCATTTTCACTGGTACAAGAAAACCTGGCTTTTGGCAATAGATATGGTCCTGAAAAGCTATGAGCAAGCTCAATCTTGGGTTAAAAAAGCATTTTAAATGTATGAAGGAATCTTGATGATATGGTTAGGCTTTGTGTCCCCACCCAAATCTCATCTTGAATTATAATCCCCATAATCCCCACATGCCAAGGGACAGACCAGGTGCAGGTAATTGAATCATGGGGGCTGTTTCCCCCATGCTGTTCTCATGATGGTGAGTGAGTTCTCACGAGATCTGATGGTTTTATAAGGGTTCAGTAGTTCTTCCTGCATTCATTCTTCTTCCTGCCACCTTGTGAAGAAGGTGCCTGCTTCCCCTTTGCCTTCCACCATGATTGTAAGTTTCCCAAGGTCTCCCCAGCCATGCAGAACTGTGAGTAAATTAAACCTCTTTCCTTTATAAATGACCCAGTTTCAGGCAGTTCTTTATAGCAGTGTGAAAATGAACTAATACACTTGATTTCTAAAGGGATACTGCAGACAAATGATTTGCAGGGGAGCTCTCTGTAAAGAATACTTTGTAAAGCAAAGTTTCTTTGTGTGTGTGTGTGTGTGTGTGTGTGTGTGTGTGTGTGTGTGTGTCTGTATTTTCTTCAACTAGGGCCCCTGTCTTTTAATCAGTCCTCAGAACATTTTCAAGGTGAAAAATTTGTCTTCAGTGTTTCTCCTCTATCGTGGTGTCCTGACTTTCACTCTATGCCTGGGTGTCCCTTCTGTCACCTCCTATTTTTCTTTGGGAGGACTGACTGGGATGACCGGGTGGGGCAGACCAAATCATCAGATAATAACAACCTAAGTATGACCTTGGCCAGGAGCACTTTGATTTTTATGGTGCCTTTTCACAAAATGGAAACTCTTTGAAGATCACTTAACAGAGGCTTTTGATTAATTTCTGCCACACACTGCTCCTTGTATTAATATTTTGATTTGTGGGATGTCCTGCCTATGGCCCAAGGTGACTCAGAGAACTTAGCTTCTTCTTTGTGTACTGATTTTACAAGTTTAACTCTTAGGGAGGATCTATCTCCAACTTCTTGGATCCTGTAGTGGATTGAATGGTGGCCCATAGAGATAGGTCTACCCAGAACCTGTAACTATTACTCTATTTGGGAAAAGGTCTTTGAAGATATAATTAAGGTAAATGGATCTCAAGATGAGATCATCCTGGATTGGGATAGGCCTGAAGTCCAATGACAAGTGTCCTTAGAAGAGGAGAGAAGGGGAAAAGACAGAGGGGAGAGGCAATTTGAGGATGGAGGCAGGGCTTAGAAATGCATCTGAAGCCAAAGAATGCCAGTGACCATCAGGGGCCACTGAAAGCTAGGAGACAGGCTCAGAAAGATTCTCCCTTGGAGCCTCCAGAAGAAACCAGTGCTGCTGACATCTTGATTTTGACTTCTGGCCTCCAGAACTATGAAAGGATAAAGTTTTGTTTGTGGTAATTTGCTATGGCAGCCACAGATCCCCTTATTTGTAGCCACATTTATAAATGGCAATAATAAGGACCCAACTGCATGCATGGTATCATATTATGGGCACCCAGAGAGGGTCCCCTGCTAAAAACAAATCATTTCTCCCACCCAGTATCACAAGTGCCCCCAAGTCTACAATGAGACCACCCTGATGTATGTAGCCAACAGAATTGTGTATGCATGTGCACATACAAGAATGTTCACAGCAGCATTTTTTGTTTGTTTGTTTTGTTTTTGTAATCACCCAGAATGACTATCCATGATAGAATAGATAAGTACATTGTGGTATATCCATACAATGGAGCACGACACAGTGCAAGTTAATGAACTGTACCCTGTACAGCATCATAGATGAAAGGCAACAAACACTAGCGAGTTAAAGAAGTCACACCTGAAAGAATGTATATTGAATAAGTGCATTTATATCAAGTTCAAAAGTAGGCAAAGTTATTGATGGTTTTAGAAGTCAGGATAGTGGCTAGGGAAGGAGGGACATGTAAGAAAGGGCGGAGGCAGCACAGGGACTTCTGGGAGCACTGGCGCTGTTTTATTTTCTGTCATGCGTGGTGGACATGCTGGTGTTCACTTTGCAATAATCCCTTGAGCTGTACATGCAGAAAGTGTGCATTTTATATGTATTATAATTCGTAATATAAAAGTTAAAAAGTCTACCATTAGCGATTTCAGAAAAGCAGTACATATAAGAAAGCAATAATATAATTGTCTTAGTTTGGCCAGGAGCAGATGCTGAGACCAAGATTTCAGCACAGCAGCCACTGGGAGATGTGCCCAGGAAGCACTGGTTAGGGAATGGGGAAGTAACATGGGGAAGAGAAGGAATCCAATAAAGAGTATTATGGGGTGTGGCACCAGAGTACCTCTGATGGCGAGTGGGTTCATCACTCTGGAGAACTCTGGCAGACAGAATCAAACATGCCCATGGTCCCCCACACCCCCATGCCCAGAGATGTGAATAAGCTGAAGAACTTACCTTCTAATTCCCATCCACCAGGGCTGCTCCCAGTAGGTAGAGAGGGAAACATTACCTCCTTGTCACTTTGGCTAAGAAAAAGTGCTCAGGTGGAAAGTCAAGGGGGACTTAAGATAGGAACTGGAATACTGAGTGCCCAGAGCATGTGTGAGCTTCTGCTCAATAATCTATAACATTAACACATAGAAGCAAATTAAGTGTCAGAAGAGGAGTGGTCTTTCTGGAGTTTAGAGAGAGGAACCTAAGAGTCAACCTCTTCAGGTGTCACCAAAAATCTTCAGGCAAATGGGTGCCTAGGTTGGCGGACATGCTCAATCTTATCTTGAAGACTTATCTTTAGGATGGCTAAATGCAAGACAGGAAAAAGAAAAATGATCACAAAACAGGTACAGTCCTCAGAGTTCAAGGCATCACAACTTTAAAGATGCAATGGTGAGACAATAGGCATGGCCAGGAGTTGTCACTCTAGACTGGGTTACACTGTCTTATGTTCAAACATTCCAGGATGTGACAGGCATGGTGCTAGGTGTGCAAGATTCAGAGAATAAGGCAGTATCTGCACTAATGTGGTTTCTGGCTATTAAGGGAGCAAAAAATGGGGCCATCACAATTCACCAAATCATTATTTCACTCAACAAGTGTTTATCAAGCTTACAGTGTGTGCACCAATCAGTACACTTAACATACATCAACACAGATGAAAAACATCTATGTTTTTCTAGCTTACTGTATGTGCACTGTCCCGGAGACTTAACATGAACAACATAGATGAAAAAACATGCACTGTGGTTTTATACTCTAATGGGGAAAAATAGACCATAAGAATAAGCATCATAAATGAGTGATTTACAAAGTATATTTGAAGCCGATAAATGCTCTAAAAATAGAGCATGGTCTTGGTGGGACAAGAGGGGGGTTGTATTTTTAAATGGAATGGTCAGATCAGGCCTCACTGAGACATCACCTCCCAACAAAACGACTTGCAACTGGATCCTTGTCTGCAGGTATGATTCAGGGGAAGCCAAACTAAGAGTTTAATACACTTCTGTTCACAGAAAATGAACCCAGGTAGAACCCAGCTCTGGGGAAGTGTAAGCTGGCTTTTGCAGATGTTGTGTTTGAGATGCTTGTGCACTAGACAAGTGCAATGTCAGCCAGCACCATAACCTTGAGGGAGAACACCACATCTTCACCTTCATTTCCTCTTTTTCCTGCCCCTCCTTGAGCTGAAGACCCAACTCATCCTTTCCCTCCTCCAGGGCACACACACCTCTAGGAGGAGAAGGAAGATGATAAAGAGGCCAGGGCACAGGTCAGCATTCCCACCTGTACTTTTTTATTGTGATATAATATGTATAACATAGATTTTACCATTTTAACAATTTTGAAGTGTACAATTAATGACATTAAGTACATTCACAATGTTGTAAACCACTGGTACTATCCATTTCCAGAACTTTTTTTTATCATCCACAAAAAACATTCTGTACCCATTAAGCAATAACTCTCCATTTCCTTCTTTCCTCAGCCCCTGGAACCACTCATTCTACCTCTGAATTTGACTACTGTAAGTCCCTTATCTAAGTGGGATCATACAGTATATGTCCTTTTGCATCTGGTTTATTTCACTTAGCATAATGTCTTCAAGGTTCATTCATGTTTTGTAGCATTTTCAGAATTTCATTCTGTTTAAGGCTGAATAATATACCATTGTATGGATAGACCACATTTAGTTTATCCATTATTCATCCATTGCTGGCCATTTGCATTGCCCACCTGTTCTTTTTGAAGTGTTTCTGGATAACCCATTTTGAATCCAGTCGAGTGGAGAGAAAAAAATAAACTTCAGACCTCTAGGTGGACGGGATCTTCTCCCAACTCACGAGTGACCTAAACCAGCAGGAAGCAGGGGGCATGGGAGTAGTCCTTCGAGGCTACAGGATGAAAGAGAAGGGGCGGACAAAGCTGATCTTCAAAGGGAAGGGAGTGGGTGGGGAAGGGAGGAGGGGAATGAGCAGAGGGCGAGGTAGAAGGCTGTGGGCGGGGCTCTGTGAAAGCGGGAGGGCGAGGAAGGAGATGAAATGCCCTCCAGGAAAGTAAGTGGAGAGACTGACAGCTCCTCTCTTGCTCTTGATTAAGGAAAAGAAAGGCAGGCGGGAGGAAGAACAGGGAAGGAGGAGAAACTGGAGGGAAAAGGGGCGAGCATGTGTATGGAGGGTGGTGAATGTGGAGGCTAAGGAGGCAACCAGCCCGCAGGAACTCAGATGTTGATGGACAGCGAGGACCCTGCTGGCTATGGAGTGGGCGGTGCCGGTGCAAAATGAAAACCCAGGGGCGAAGTGAAGTTAAAGGTACTCAAATACAAAGCTTTTTTTCCTTCTGTAATCTCTCCCAATTTATGTTTTTTTTTAACGTTGCTATTGTGACTATAAGTAACGAAAAATAAAACATAAATTATTAGCATGAATTTTGCCATTTATCTTTATATGGTGCCATTGATTGATTGATCGCAGTAAAATGCCCATAACATAAAATTTACCACTTTAACCATTTTCAAGTGTATGGTTTCAAGTGTATGACATTAAGTACTTTCACCTTGTGGTGCAATCGGCACCATCATTCCCCAAGAACTTTTTTCATCTTTCCAAACTGAATCCTCTGTCCCCATTAAGCAGTAACTCCCGAGTCTCCCCTCCACCCGGGCCCTGACTGCCACCCTGCGACTTTCTGTCTATGAGTTTGACTTCTCTAGGTACCTCGCTCATCCCTCGATGGATACCTGTGTCTTTTCCTCCTTTGGCATAAACGATGCCGGTTTTAAGTGCAAATGTAAAGGCATTTAACTCATCTTTAGAATCACCAAAATTATGCAATTCATGTTTCATACCCCATATATTCATATGTGTTTTATTCTTATCACAATAGGGGAGATGCTGGATAAAACCAACTCAACCCTGTTTATTTCACGTTTTGATACATTCCACCTCTACCTTCAGTTCACTGACAAGTAAGGAAGGACTTACAGGACAAGGAACTTGGGCTGCCTGTCTTTTCCTTTCTTTGGATGTCACCGTTTTCAGTATAAGTGCCTGGCTAACATAGAGAAGCAACGTTAGTAAAAAAGGATATGATAGGGTTCCTTGGTCATTTGTGCTTCTTAGAATGTCATTGTCATCTTTCTAAATTGGAAGCAAGCTCTGGTTTGAATGGAAAGCTGGCCTCTCTGGGCTGTCAGTTCCCTGCTCACTCAGTTGTAGACGAGCGAATATGGAACATGAGCACAGAACTCCTGTAGGCTCAATGCATGGGAGTCCAGGAGACTCAAAGGGAGGGCCTCGTAAGGGTGTCATGAGAGCAGCACAGTGGGCACAGCAGGCACTATGTGTGAGCGGGGCAGCCAAGGGCAGATGACATGGAGCAGCTCTCCTCTGCTCACGTGCATGCTTCGTCGTCCCATGGGACTTCACATATAAAACACAAATCCAAAAATGAGATTATTATTAGGAATTTCAAAGTGGAGGGCGGTGGCTGCCCAGTGTAATCCCAGCACTTTGGGAGGGCAAGGCAGGTGGATCACTTGAGGCCAGGAGTTCGAGACCAGCCTGGCCAAAATGGTGAAACCCCATCTCTACTAAAAATACAAAAATTAGCTGGGTGTGTTGGCAGGTGCCTGTAATCCCAGCTATTAGGGAGGCTAAGGCAGGAGAATCGCTTGAACTTGGGAGGCAGAGGTTACAGTGAGCCGAGACTGTGCCACTGCACTGCAGCCTGGACAACAGAGAGAGACTCTGTCTCAAAAAAAAAAAAACCAAAAAAAAATCAAGACAGCTACAGCAGAGTGTTAAAGCAAGTGTAGGGCCCTCCTGAGTATGGGGCGGGGTAGGGGGGCGCTTGTGTGACTGCACAGCTTTTATGTTAATGTGTTCATGGAGCTGATCCAATAAATGACCTGGGTAAAGGAAAGGAAGCAGAGAAAAGCACAGAGGTTTACCCAGAGTGGCCCTTTTGAAGAGTACCAGGTGGGAACAGCAAAAAAAAAAAAAAAAAAAAGCAGGAAGCCAGCAAAATGAAGAAATGACAGCCCAGCAAACAGTCTGTAGTAAGAATAGTGGGTATGTAATATGTTTCAGAACGCTTTCTTTCATATATATATATAATATGTATATATTTTAAGTTCTGATGTCTGAGGATTAAGTTTTAAATTTCTAGAAAATCTGCTTCCATGAGATGCTGTTACAGCTTTGACAGCCCATAAATATGTTTAAAGCTCTAGACAGTTGTAGAGCTCAATACTTGGAGGGCATGGGTTGTGTATTCCATTGCTTTTGTATCACTGTTGATACTTGGCTAAAGCACAAGTTAGATTGTTGGTAAATTCTTGTTGAAGGGCTGTGTGTGGGTGGGAGAGGGATTTAAAGTCCAGTGAACCTGAGTTGGGGAGTCCTGCCAGTTCTGCCTACATTTAAGGCTGGTTTTGTCTAGCAGCTCACACAAATATAAACTAGATATCAAAACATTAAGAAGTATGGTTTGCTCTGTGTTATTCCAAAAATTATCTATAATACATTGTTTTTATTAAATATTTTACTCTAAAATACTATCATTGAATGAATAAATGAATGAAATGGAGAGAGGAGATAGAAGCTCTGTCAATGATTAGAGTCTCCGTTTGTTAATCTGTCAAGTGTTTTAAACTGTATGGTACATTCTGACAAAATTCTATGATTTGATTAATATTTAGAAATTGAATTAAGGTCATCACTGTTTGCTAAGAAGAAATCAGATACATTTATGTGAGATGGGAATCCATTGACTACCAGATGCTAAACCAAATGAAGAGTGTTTAAAAAACAGAAGAGCAAATGACATTGGAGAGTCAGAAGATGACACATTCATTCATTTAACCAGGAATTACTAAGTGCCTCTGGGTTCAACATTCTAGGTACAGTGTAAGTTAGAGGAGAAGCTACCATTGCTAACCTCAAGTTATTAATTTGGAGACATAAAAATAAAGCTATATAAAGACATAGTCAGACAACATGTCATCAGGAATAAGATTACAGGAGAGACCTCAAGTGCCTAGAGAAGGAGCGGCCTCCCCTGTGTAGGGCTCAGGGAGGCATGGCTGGAGGAAGTTGAGTTTGCATAATTACTACTTGTCAACGGTTAGGCCACATGCATCCGCTTCTCATGCTATGAGAAGGATTATGGAGTCTTTTAACCAAACATTCATTCAGCAAAGTATTTCCTGAGCACCTACTAAATGCCGGGCACTATGCAAGGTACTGGAGATACAAAAATGAACGAATGGAATCCTGTCCCCAAATTACTTATATGGTGATTGGCGGTTGGGGCAGGGGGTAGTCGAAGTAACCAAGGGCAGTGCAGTGTGGTAGTCTGAGCAGGCAGCCATGCGGTACCTGGCTGTGACCCACTGCAGCTGCCTTTCCTACCAGGTGGTGGCGAGACTTCCTGCTGTGCCTGCATGCGGCCTCAGCTTTCTTCTTGAGACAGCTACCAGACAATCACTACCCATCAATTGGGCTTGGCACAGAAAAATAGAATGTATTTTCTTTTCAGGTAACAATGGCTATAATAACACTATACACATTTGCTGTGGGAATTCAGAGTGCTTTCTCATGGAGTTTGGTTGTATTAGTCTGTTTTCACACTGCTAATAAAGGCATGCCCGAGACTCGGTAATTTATAAAAGAAAAAGGTTTAATTGACTCACAGTTCCACATGGCTGGGGAGGCCTCACAATCATGAGGGAATATGAGTGAGGAGAAAAGTCACATCCTACATGGCAGCAGGCAAGAGAGAACATGTTGAGGGGAATTCCCCTTTATAAAACCATGAGATCTCATAGGACTTATTCACTATCAGGAGAACAGCACAGGGAAAAACCCACCCCCATGATTCAATTACCTCCCAGCAGGTCCCTCCCACAATACGTGGGGATTATTACAATTCAAGGTGAGATTTGGGTGGGGACGTAGAGCCAAATCAAATCATTGAGTAAGGAGTCACAGGTGGATGACCAATTAACTAGACCCCAGTGGATGGATAGATTTCTGTAGGCCAGAAACTTCCAGGTCCCCTTTCGCTTCCTGTGCTGTTGCTGCTTTACTTACAGCTTGGAGAGAAGGTCACGGTTCCTGGTAAACACAACTTCCTTTTGGTAACCATGGACTCTGCTCACGAGTTCCCAAATAGGGGCCCCAGTGGGAGTAACAGACCCCTGGGAGGACAGGGCCTCCAGGTGTGGAAATGGAGCTGGGCCAGGCTTTTGGAGAAAGTTCAGGTCATTGGCCCAGCCTCTGGGTTTTCCTTGGCTGAAAGAAGAAGTTACAGCCTCTTTGAGTGGCTGGTGCCAGGCAGGCCAGGCAGGCCAGGCACATGAGCTCACGGTGTTCCAGGAGTCTGGCGCTAGAGACTGGGGTGGAAGGAGGTGGATGGCTGGGGTGGCTGCAATGGCTCCAGGTTTGCAGCACACAGGGCATCAGGCCAAAGAGACAGGAAATATTCTGGGCTTTCAGACATTGTGTCATATGATTGTTTATTTGGGAAGAGGAAGCCACCCAGGGAGCACTGGTGCCCATCAACACTTCTTGAGAGAGAAATCCATCGGGCACATGTGCCATCCTACTCACCCACACATGCCTATGGCACAGACACACATAAGAGCACGTGTCCTCATCCCCTGCCCCACTGCGCCTCCACTCCTTGCACACAGATGAGGCAATCTCATCATACTCCAAGAGGAGCAACATAGCTCCAGAGCCCTGCCCTCTACAACTCCTCCAGGTGCTGCAATGGGGACCTAGCTCCCCTATCGCTCTTGGGCAAGTCGCTGAGTTCCAGAACCTCAGTTTCTTCATCTGTAAAATGAACCTTCCATATGAGGAATCAACCTTCCATATGAGGAACCAGATGGAGAAGAGCTGGAGGAACAGAATAACATCTGCAGCCACATGATGAGAAATTTCTGTCCTCCTAACAATAACTCAGGCATGAGAGTTAGTCACCCCAGGTTCCTTCCCTCCTCTCCATACTCAGTCATTCTCTGAGGCCTGCTGACCCCCTCCTCCAGGTCTGTAGCAATCATCACCTCCTCTCTGGCCCCACTGCCACCATCCTGAGTCAGACTCACGGTACTTTCGCTTGAGCCACTGCAGTGGCCTTCTCACATCTCTCTGCCTCGTGCACCCAGCTCCCATCTGCTCTCAAGCTGCCAATGGTGTCATCAGCAGAATGGATGGCTCTCGTTGGATGCTTTCACTTCCCAAACCCCTCAGGTCTCCTCCTTGCCTACAGATTGAAACTCTAAATTTCAAATTCCTCTCGGATCTGAACTCACCTACATTTCCAGTTGTATTTTCTATTTCCCCACATGCTATCACCACACTAGGTCGCTATTTCTTGAACTAACTTTGCAAATCCTTACCTTTGTGCATTTGTCTGTTCTATTTCTTTATTCCAAGATGTGCTTTTGTTCAATATTCATCACGTCTACATCACAATTCAGAAAAATAGAGCAAGTTCCTTACCTCAAGCAATACTCTACATAAATTCCAAATTAATTCCAGATTTAAATGTGGAAAAACAGATGAAATCATAAATACATTGGAAGAAAATATTGGTGAGTATTAATATACCTTGGGGCAAGGTCTAATATGACACTAGTCATAGAGTGGATGACATCTCCACCAAGCTTCAAGAGACGAATAACTTAACCAAGGGAAGTTTAAAATGCTTGTGCATCAAAAGGAATCTTAATAGAAATGCATGGAACAGGGTTTGGGAAGCAGTCAATAAATTGTGAAAAGCAGTTATCTCTAGGGAGAAGAGGAAAATTCTTGTGTGTTATGGGTGTGAAAGGGAATTTAATTCTTCTTTTTTTTTTTCTTGCAGCAGGAGTCTTCACTCTGTTGCCCAGGCTGGAGTGCAGTGGGATGATCTTGGCTCACTGCAACCTCTGCCTCCCGGGTTCAAGCGATTCTCCTGCTGCAGCGTCAGGAGCAGATGGGATTACAGGCACATGCCACCATGCCTGGATAATTTTTGTATTTTTAGTAGAGACAGGGTTTCACCATGTTGCCCAGGCTGGTCTCAAACTCCTGACCTCAGGGGATCCACCCACCTCAGCCTCCCAAAGTGGTGGGATTACAGGTGTGAGCCACCACACCCAGCCAGAAGTTAATTCTCTTAACCTGAAATACTTATGTATTATTAGAAATTAATAGAGATGACACATTAGTTGTGTAATTTAGAATATTAGAGACATCAGTAAGAACAAAATATAAAAGCTAATGGCAAAATGGTAAAAATAGTTGTAACATATGTGACAGTTATAGGGTTAATATCCTCACTATGTGAAGAGCTCTTACAAGTAAGTAAGAAAAAAGAGGAACAACCCATTAGAAAATGGGCAAAGGGCACAAGCAAGCAATTACAAAAAAAAGAAATATTAATGGTCAGAAAGCTTATTAAAAATATCAGGCTCATTAATGATTTTAAAATGTGAATTAAGACAAGAAGTTTGTCAAAGACATCTGCCAACATGTGGCTGTCACCCATACCCTAAGTAGACTCTATGTCACTGGTCAGGCTGTCCTCTGGGGGTGGCATTTGCTATTTCCTCTGATGATTTTTGAGACCACTGTTCCACAACGCCTATGAGTCTTTCTCTTCAGTGTCCTCTTTTGCCTCCAAATGATGTGGTGCTGGCGTGTTTTTCCAGGTCAGTCTTATACCATGCTGGACCAAGGATGGACATTCCTTCTCACTCTACCCATGGGCTCCTGGCCCATCCTTCTCATTGAGTCTGTAGAAAGCAGGGTGTATTCATTTTCTAGGGCTGCTACAACAAATTACTACCCACTTGGTGTCTAAACAGAACAAAGCTTTGTTCTCTCACAATCCTGGAGGCCAAAAGTTCAAATTCAAGGTGTCAGCAGAACCAATTCCTTCTGGAGGCTCTGAGTGAGAATCTGTTCCATGCTTTTGTTCCAGCTTCTGTTGGTTGCCAGCAATCCTTGGTGATCCTTGGCGCGTAGACGTATCTCTCCAATAGCTGCCTCTGTCTTCACATGGCATGTCCCCTGTGTGTCTCTGTGTTTCCAAATTTTCTTCTCCTTATAAGAATACCACTGTTTGGATGTAGGCACGCCACCCCCATCCTGCATAACCTTACCTTAACTTGATACATCTATAAAGACCAAATATTTCCAAATAAGTTCATATTCACAGGTTGCAGGTGGATATGAGTTTTGGGAAAACACTGTTCAACCCAGTACATAGGGGTCTTGGCCAACATGAAAAGAGACCACATTCTAGAAATACAGTGATTACAGCCTAAAGAGCTTAAGAGAAGACATAGGTAGAAGATGTGTGGTTTTATATTATTCTACATAATTCCAAATGGTAAATTTAACATGAACAGAGGTTAAACCATTGGTAACCCCTTCCTGCATACTCTGGCTAAGACTTGCATTTGAGGTCCTCATCTGCAAAGCATAGTCACCTTTGAGAGTCATCAGAAGCCAGTATTCGTGGACTGCTGGATTTATGACGCAGCATCATGAGCAATTGGTAGCTGGCAACTGCAGAGGCAAGGAAAGCTATATTGTTTCAATACAAACAGGTTCTAAAGAGCCACGACATTATGAATAATAACAGTGTTACTACTTTTTCTCAAGGTAGGAGATAGAAAGTTACTGAAGAATAGTGCATTTGACAACACTAAACATGAAAAAAAAAAAAAAAAAAGGAAAAATGGGTTCTGAACTAGAACAGAAAGAGAAAGTGCCTGGACATTACAAAGAATCTTTACTGGCTGGGCATGGTGGCTCATGCCTGAAATCCCAACACTGGGAGGCTGAGGCAGGTGGATCACCTGATCACCTGAGGTCAGGAGTTTGAGACCAGCCTGGGCAACATGGTGAAACCCCATCTCTACTAAAAATACAAGAATTATCTGGGCATGGTGGCACATGCCTGTAATCCCAACTATTTGGGAGGCAGGGGCAGGAGAATCGCTTGAACCCGGGAGGTAGAGGTTGCAGTGAGCCAAGATCACACCATTGCACTCCAGCCTGGGAGACAGAGTGAGACTCTGTCAATTAAAAAAAAAAAATTTACTACAAACTGGTGGTATTGACATAAATACATATTTTCTACTCATTATTCTAAGTCTTCACTGTTAAATCATGATACTTCATATGAGCCATGAATTTTGTGACACATTTTAAAATCAAATTTTTATATAGGCGGGTACTCTGCAACTAATATTTGCTTGGTTCCCTGTACATCCTGAATAAAAGCAGCCCTCTGTTCCTTCTACACAACCTCTGAGTGTGGCCAGGCCTCTCTGCTGAAAGTTTAATCACACCCTCAGCCTTGCACAGCTCTGACCAGGTGCTTGGCTGACCAAGAGCAACCCCATTGGGTCCCTAACTCAGTGATTCTCATTCCTTATTCTCACGGGAGGAGGGGAGAGGGACAATTAGACAATATAAATTCAGGGGAAGGAAGATGAAGGCAAGGAACTAACACGACTGCATTTTGCAGAAGTTGAGATAATTAGCAAATTGTGATCCTCATAGATTTAGAGTGAATTTTCTCCATCTCTGAGAATTGTCTTTGGAAGGAGTGTGTTGAAGTGTACATGTGTAGACACTTGGTTCAACAATTACTTGCTGAATATTTGGAAGAATACATAGGCATACCTATAACTCAGACAGCTGGGCAGTCTTGAAGGGGGCTGGACTTGCCTGTAGACCCAACCTTCCCTGGCTGGTTTAGCTGTTCAGCTGCACTGGGGATGCCAATGGTCACCATTAACATTTGTGTTGGTGACCAGCCAACTACCCCAGAGTGTTTCTTTAGGTGACTAGATGACTGAGGCTTAGGAAATGCATGTTTGAAGGAGGAAGGAGCGGGATCCCAGAGAAGTCCTTTCCTGAGATTTGGGGTTGGTTCTCTCCTGTGGAGAGTCATGTCAAAAGGTAGATGAATTGCCTGTGAGGCAAGAAGGTCTCCTGAAAGCTGGGGAGCCAGGTTAGAAGCAGGGGTGTACCATCAAGTAATCCTGTATGGAGAGTTCAACCCCTGGTTGCTCTTCTCTGGAATATGAGGGAAGTCATATCTCATGCACAGCTTCAAGTTGTCCAGTGTTACATTCTAATTCCCTTGAGCTACTCCAAACCCTTTGTGAAATCTGTTATCTAGTAGAGCCTTTGTAGGCCCTGGTGTGGCAAAGAAAAAAGAGGTGTATAGAAGAGGCATGGCCTATCTCCACTAGCTTCTTCATGGGGGCTCTTGGGGATGCAGCATTTTCTTGAGGGAGATGGTAACTGGAGTCTGGGGTGAGGAGCAAAATGGTGAGGTGGGTTATGGCTGAGCTAGGGACAGCAGGATCATGCTGGACACTGAGGAAGAACTTCAGGAGGAACAGAAAGTAGAACTTCCATATTCTTGGTATTTTCTAGGGGAAGCTGGCCCCTGGAAGGGAATGGTGGTTGTATGGTTGGATTACACATGTACTTTTTTTTTTTTTTTAATGATTAATGTTGGTTATAGCTGGTGAGTGATTACAAGTGAGTTTTGATTTTTCTATATTTTCTTTGGCCCTTTTAAAGAAAATATTACTTTGACACTTGTAAAAATGGTAGGGAAGTGGTAGACTTTATTCAAGACTATTGCAATAGGAGTGTTGCAATGGCGGGGAGAGACTGGGCTCAACAAGGGGAAGTGGGGATTTATAGCCAAGGTACAGAGTAAGGGGGTCGATAGATGGAAAATTACTAAGAGGAGACATTAAGGGTAGGTGCATTCTTGCTGGACTAACCTAACAGGATTCTTGCTAAAGGCAGGCCAGGGTGCTCGGAGATCAAGGGTCAGGGGGGTTTTCACTAAACTAACTTAGAAGGATTCTTTCTACAACTGGACTTGGCTGGCTGAAGAGAGGGCCCAAGGGTGGGAGCCCAGTGGAAATGAAGCCTCAAAGGAGCCTGCCTCAAGTGTGGTCAAGGAGAAAGTCTTTGTCATCCCATATGGGCTATAAATGTATGGCCACTAAAATGAGAAAGAAAAATTAGTAAAATAAAAAATACTCTCCCAAGAGATATGATAACTAAACGCAATATGCAATCCTGAATTGAATCCTGCCTAGAATTTACTTATTTTTTCATTTTTGCTATTGGTGAGACAGTTGGTGAAATCTAAATATAGTTCAGACTAGATAATAGTGTTGTATCTATGGTTAGATCTGGATTTTGATTATTATATAAGAACGTCCTCATTGTTAAAAAACATTCACTGAAGAATTTATCAGTAAAGGAACATCATATCTTCAGCCTATGCTCAAACAGTTTAGAAAAAAAGAATATGTATATACAAAGAAACAGCAGGGTAAAGCAAACATGGGCAAATGTTGGCACATGGAGATTCTGGGTGAAGATATATGACAATTCTTTATATTATCTTTGTAACTTTTCTGTAAATCTGAAATTATTTCAAAATAAAAATTAAAAAACGAACTAAGAAAAAATAAAAAATATCATGCAAACTTAGGGACTGAGTCCAGTGCTACCTTTTCCAGGAAGGCACTTCACCCAGTCTGCCTTATGGTAGGTAATACACACCATGATTTCCTTGAATTTCTCTTCTGCTCTGATTTATTCAAAGCCTCTTCCCTCTTTCTCCTCTAGAGGCAGCATCGCAGGGGAGGATGCTCGTGAACTTCTGAACTCACGAACCTGGATCCAAATGCTGCCCCTGACACTACCCAGCGGTGGCAACATGGCCATTACCACCACTATTGATATCAGATTTTTCATCTATAAAACGGTTACAACAAAATATATTGCATACAGTTGTCATGAGAAACATATAGCAATGGAAACCGTAAGTTCTAATCTAGAAAGAGCTCTGTAAATGTTAATTCCCCTCTTTTTTCTTGAATCAGTCTTTCAACATCCTCGGGAAATAGGTAAAAATTTGATCCCAATTCTCAGATAATTTATTTAGAGTTTATCACCATAACTAATATTGACAATTTACAATGTGCTCTACAGTGCTTAATACACAGTAACCCCTTAATGAATGTTGTTCATGGGGCAACACTTGCCCTCGCCTTTTCTCACCCGACCATTCCAGCATCTCTATGGAGTAGAAAGGGACCTACTATTATCTCCCTTTTTACAGATTTGGAAATGGAGGCTTTAGAGAGTTGAATGACATGCTTTTTTTCTAGGATACATGGCTGATAACTGTTAAAGTTTGGCAGTAAATTCTATTAATTATTGCAAAGCAACGTTTACCATTGCACTTACATCCAAACTAGTACGTTGCAAATAAATCTTACAGCACTCACTGGATCTCCATGCTTACGCTATTCCATGAGCTAAAGCTATAGAACATCTACTTTGAGCCAGAGAAGAGAGGAGAAACTTTCTGATTTAGAGCCACATTTATATTAGAGTCTATTTACTATTTACTAGACTCTTTACTATTAGAGTCTAATTTACTGCCCACATCCCTCTTTTCTCAACCTAAATGCCCTTTTTATGGCTGTAGCTGCCCTCACCCCCAGAACTACATTTCTATTTCCTGCAGGTGTCTGGGCATTTGCAGGGCTGGGATCCTCTAGGTGCTCTCTAAATGCATCCGCATGCTTGGCATGAGGCGCAGCCAGACTTATGGCTTAGAAGCGGGGCCATATCAGCTGGGTCAGCAGCATTCCAAGTAACTGAAAACCCTTTAATGAAGGGAAGCAAGACAGGCAACTTAATTTAACAGAGAGACAAACCTAATATGAGAGGGCAGTGGCTGCCACAGCTGCTGAAAGCGAGATATATTATTTTGCCATTCTGGAAGCTTTAGCAACTTGGAAATCTGACATCCTGAGCCTGAACATACCTTAGGTTCCACGATAGACTATCCTAGATTTACATGTGCATTTGAATAGTTTGGATAAGATGGCTGTCCAAACTGTTCATTTGGTGAAATTTACTTAGTAGGAAAAACCAGATCTCTTTGGCAAATTAAACGTGACATAATTGTACCCAAACCCTACGTTTCAGATCCCTCTATTCATATCTAGTTTTCCACTCTTACATCCTATTCCAGAGCCCGTTTTCCCTTGTTTTCACTACTCCCAACGTACTATCTTGCAATGTGCGTTTATTACACGAATGAATGAAATGGTTTAAAAAAAAATCCCAATAAGTGATATTAGGAAGAGGCACCAAAGGTTCACAAACTTATTTTTGTGAATTCTGTAAAAAATGTCATCCAGTGTCTTCAGCATTAAAGGACACAGCAGCAGCCCCACTGCCCTTTTATTAATCCGTAGCCAGAATGGGCACTAGGCGGCCGGGATTCGCCATCTCGCCTCTCCTGGGCGCCAGGTGCGCCTCAGATAAGCGCAGCCGGGTAGGAGTTTGAGGACGACAAACTTTCCCGCTTCTGAGGGAGGAGCCCCGGAGAGGACCCGCTGACGTGCGAGGGTGCTGCCTCCGATGTACTACCAAGGAGGGCGAGGGTTCCTATGTCTGTCTGGAGCGCAGAGGGGTGGACTGCAAAAAGGTAGGAGGCAAAGCCAGCTCGAGTTTCCCCGGCCCGTAGCTGGAGGGAACATCTGCCCAAGTGTCGCCTCGCCCGAGAACGCTCACGCCCTCTCCAGGGCCAGGACCCTTCCTCCTCCCCTCGCACTGGCCCTTCGTGGCTTCCAGCACCGCTGAGCACTCGGCGTCCCAGCGAGATTCTCCTGCCCCGACAGACTCCGAGGGGGCGGGGCCCGGCGGGACGGGGCGGGGACAAGCCCTCCCCGGGCCCGCCCGTTGGCATTGTTGCGCGGTGATTGGACGCTTCGGAAGGCCGCCTTCCAGGCCGACCCGGGGAGTGACGGGCGGCCAGCGGCTGCTCCCCGGCGTGTGGGGTGCGGAGTGCGGGGCCCAAGGCTCCAGAGGGGTGGGGACTCCGGGCCGCAGCGCCGCCGAGCGCGATTGCCCGCTGAGATTCGGCGCCCCGGGGTGCGGCAAGCTTGCGGTTTCAGGTGCTGGCTAGGCGTCTTGGTGCGCTCGCTGGAGTGCCGAGAGCATTTGGGAAACTTAACTTCTCGCCCCCACTCCTTGCTCCCGACTTTCGGGTAGAAAAGCAGTTGCCGAGTTGTTTTATTTCCTCCCCCATCGGACTCTGTAAAAATAGCCGTGCGCCGGGGCGGCAGAGCCCATCTCTGCCGCACCGCTGCCCCGGGTCGGCAGAGCCCATCTCTGCCGCACCGCTGCCCCGGGTCGGGTGTGGACCTAAAAATACCCGGCGGTCCCAAGCCTGCGCTGGGGGTGCGGGCGGGTCCGGCCGGGCCGCAGAGGGCGTCAGGAGACCGGAGAAACGGCGGCCGCCTGGCCCCCTCGCCTCTGCCGGGGCTGTCCCTTTAAATCCTGGAGGAGGCAGAGAGAAAAAAGGAAAGAAAGAGAAAAGACGCGGAGCCCCGAGCGGTTGGTGGCGGTGCCCGGCCCCCCCACTCCGCCTCCGCGTCGGGTCCTGACTCCCGCCCGCAGCCTCCGCCAGTCCCGGGCGCCCCCCGCCGCGCCGCCCACTCGCCACAGTTACTGTCAAAATAGAAATTAGCGGAGCCGGGCGGGGGCTGCGGCGCAGCAAGTGCATGTGCCGCGCGGCGGGGAGGGGGCGGGCGCGAGCGACAGGCGACCGCACACATCCGGGCCCTTTAGCCCTGTGCGCCCCCCGAGCCGGCGGCGCGGGCGCGGGGCGCGGGGCGCGGGGCTGACAGCCGCGGCGCGGGAGGCGGGGCGCGGGGAGGGCGGAGGCGCGGCGCGGGGAGGGAGGAGCTGCCCGCTCGCCCGCTGCCGCCGCTCAGCTCCATACCCGCCGGCGCAGCCCCGCCACGAGACTCTGACAGCGGCGCGGCCGGCGAGGCTCGGGCGCGCAGGGACCGGCGGACACCGGCGGCGAAGGAGGACGCCAGGACTGCGTCCCGGAGCCAAGTGCGGGAGGCGCGCAGGGCCGGCGGCGCGCGGAGGTGAGCGGCTTCGCGCGCCGGGCTCGGGCGCCGGCTGCCGGGGTCGCGATCTCCACAGCACCTCGGCAGCCGAGGCAGTTCGGGAGGTCGCGGGGCGGCGGGCGGGTGGCTTTGCTTGGGCTGCGCCGGAAAGCGATTGCGGGGGCCGTTGCTAGGAGGCCGGCGGTCCGCGCGCCTTGGGGCGCCGGCTGGAGCAGGGGCGCCCTCCGCGCGGTGGGCAGGAGGCGGGGGGCTGCGGTGGCTATTCAGGGGCTCCGTGCGGCAGCCATGCAACGGAGGAGGCGGGAGGAGGGAGGGAGGGAAGGAGGGAGGGGAGAGCCAGCGGAGAGCGAGCCAGCGAGCGGGCGCCGCGCCTCCTGGCTGGCACCGCGGCCCGGAGCGAAGTGGCGCGCGGGGCTGGAAAGGAACTTCTGCGGGCGCGTGCGGCCCGGGGCTCGGCGGCGCCTGCGGGCCCGAGCGGGGCGGGCCCGTCGGCAGCCACAGGTGGTTTCTGCCAAAAGTTTTACCGCACTTCTGCCTGGAAGGCGCGGGAGCGTTTTGGTGAGTGACGTTTTCCTGGGACTTTTGCAGTCTCACTTCGCGCTGTCTTTTCTTGAAAATTGGAAAATGAGCTGGAAAGGCTGGGATCCAGCACCTCTCGATGAGATCTGAGCAGAGTACAGTCCTTGCCCGAGGTGTCGCTCATGCAGGACTCAAAGATCCTTGCTGCTGTCAAGTCGGGAAGCTGGGGGAAATGGGCGCACGCACACAGTTCCTCCAAGCCTCGGACAAGTGAAGCCGAGCCTGGCCCGGTGCCTGTCGCCGCGCGGGGTAGTGCGAGGTCTGTTCCCAGCGACACGCACGGGAACTGCGTGCGTCTTCTCTCAAGGTGTGTACGTCTCTTGCTCCGTTGAAAGCGAATTGTCTCTGGCCGCTGTGCTGCTTTGTTTTTCCGGTTGCTTGTCTGGTTTTACTAGGATGAAGGCCAGGAGGAGCCAAAGAAAAGCGAAGCGGCAGCTCCCGTTATCTTTGCAATCTGCAAAGCTGTGGAGGCTGGTACCCAACCTTCCGCGGCGCGGGCGCAAGGCCGAGGGGAGCTGGGGGTGGGTGGCGTGCGCTGCCTGTATGGGAAGTCTCGCTGGACCATGCGCAAGGCTAGAGCCGGAGTTTCTGGTGCTTCTAGGACAGAAAGAGGAGTGGGAGTGGGAAGGGAAGACCCCTTAAAAGAAGATATACTGTGCCCAGACCTGGGAGAGAGGCTCCGAGAAGTCCGGTGGCTTGGCCCTGTTCTTCATTGGCGGGGTTGAGGAATCCAGGGCAGCGAGGTAGAAACACCTCGGTAGGTCGTCCTGGGCTGAAAGAAATCATTATTCCCAGAGCGGGCCAGATACCCGGGTGTTGAAACTAGGTACAAAACTGCGTGAGAGGTGGAAACTCTCAGTCCTTCATTCTCCTTGGTCCGGTGGCTCCCGCTCCCTGCCCCCACAAGTACATGAGCAAAAAGCATGCCCTTTGCTTTATAGAAGGTCATAGGATTTTGAAGTTGAAAGAGACCCTAGAGATATTAGGAGCACTCATTTTACAGATGAGCAAACTCAGGCCCAAGGAAGGAAAGTGACCTGCTACAGTGGCTAGAGGCCCAGTGAGACTAGAAATGACATCAGCCTTCCAGGCAAGGGTGGAGAGACTTCCCTGGGCAAGGCCTGGTAGGGCTTGAGATCAGAAATGCCACCCCCACACCCCAAGCCCATCATGGCCTCTTTATCTGGTACTTTCTAAATCCATGCTTGCCAGCGAATGTGGTATATTTCCCGTCCCGTGCCCTTGGCTTAAAAAAACCAGGACTGTCACTGCAAAGTCCAGTCTGACACTATCCCAACTTTTCCTGCTCCCTCATTATCCCAAATTCCTCAAACTCCTTTTGTAACACAATGCAGCTTGATTAGCCAAGAAGAATTTGCAGCTTTTTTTCACTGAAGCACCCACTTTCCATAGGATGCCAGAACTCTGTTTTCCTGGTAATTAGATTTTACAGATATTTTTGAAAGGGAGCCCAATTTTGGATCAATTACACTTGGACACAAATGCTGTGCTGTTGTGGATACCAAATGAGAAAGATGAGCAATTATCTGGGGGTGTTGGAATAAATGTTGTTATGAGTATTTGACACAGCCATTAAACATCAATGAGTGGGTTTTCAGTAAATGTTTTTTACTCTGTATTTTATTGAGCAAACAAAGTGTCTAAATTAAAAAAGAACTACGAGTTGGCCACTTTGATTTTAGCCACTTATTTTGTACCAGTGTGTATGAGCAGGAAGGAATTGAATGATAACCAGAGTGATTGTTATGTGAACTTTTTCCTCCAAAACCATAATACTCTAGGGCGATGCTAGATTTCAGTCTATAATGTCATATACAGTCCAGCAGAATTTTATGAAAATAAGCTGGATGCAATGTGTGTCAATCTGTATTAGTCAGAAATGACTTGCAAGAGAGAATATTTTGTAAGTTTGATTGCTTTCAAGGACACAGAGTATCAAGAATTCAAGGCTAGTGCAGAGTTGCCGGGTATAATTCTTCTGCTTTCATGAACAGATAGAAATCAGTGCCCCCTTACTCCACATCTCCTGTGTTTAGGGGTCCTACAGAAGAAGTCAATGTCTGATATTCTGATAATAATACAGTGTTACGATGCCTTTCACTTTTTTTGCATGCTAATCTCATCAGCATTCCCACAAGATAGATAGTTCAGCTATTTGTTCATATTACAGAGGGAGAAACTGAGGCAGAGAGACGGGGAGAGTATTATTCCTATAACTTTTCCCACTGAATTAACATTCTCAGCACGCAACTTGGGCTTCCTGGGCTGACCAGGGTATAAGAGACCCCCTAGTAATATTACCGGCCTCTCACCCCTCTCCAGCAGGGGCGGTGTGAAGGGGGTATGAAGGAGTGGTGGGGTTGTAGTTACAGTTCACTGGAGGCTGTCACCAGGGCATTTTTGTTCCCTGCCCCCACCGAGGGTGGGCAGTTGTCCTCCCTCTCATAGCAGGCTGTGGGAACTTGGGCGCGGAAGGACCAGCTGGCTGAGGCTGGGGCGGGGGTGTGGGATCTGTGCCTGTGTAGGGCTGAAGGAGTCCAGGCTATTTATAACCCATCCTCCCCTCCTGGGAAGAAGAGACTCAAGGGTCTGGAACCATCTATAGCAGTGACTTCTCCCCAGGATGACTGTGTCCCACTGGAAGAAAACCTATCAATGAACCACACAGAGGGTACTGGAGTGAACCCCAGCCTGTGTGCGGCATCCTACAGGGAGGGTACCGGAGTGAACCCCGGCCTGTGTGCAGCATCCTACAGGGAGGGTACAGGAGTGAACCCCGGCCTGTGTGCAGCATCCTGCAGGGAGGGTACCGGAGTGAACCCCAGCCTGTGTGCAGCATCCTGCAGGGAGGGTACAGGAGTGAACCCCGGCCTGTGTGCAGCATCCTGCAGGGAGGGTACCGGAGTGAACCCCGGCCTGTGTGCAGCATCCTGCAGGGAGGGTACCGGAGTGAACCCCAGCCTGTGTGCAGCATCCTGCAGGGCTTCTTGGAGTGCCAGCTGCCCTAGGGGAATTTAGGACACAAGGATTTTCCACACTTTTATCTTATCCAAAAGGCTGAGAAACGATGGGTTACAAGGATTTTCTAGAGCCACCGTGTGTACTTTTTGTCAGATACTACTCTCCCATTTGCACAAAGTGAGGTACACCCCAGAAATCTCACAGGACAGAACTCAAGAACTCATTAACGTGAGGGTAGTTGGCTTTTCTAAATAATGACAACAATGATTCTTATGCAGGAGATTTTGAAAGTGGCAAATTAGATGTGGTTCCCTCTGACTCCAAGCTGAGTCATTTCTGTGTGGGGCTGGTCGAGGAGGTTTGAAGGCATGCATTCAAAGCTCTTTGCCTCCTCCCCTGACTCTGCCCCAAATAGGTCCCCGATGGCCCCTAACCCACCCACTCCTCAAACCAACACCAAAGTCCTCCCTCCTTTGTCTGGAGTAAATAGTACCTGCCATGCCATCAGTTACAACTTCATCCCTGAGGCCGAACAGATTTTTTCCCTGGGTTGGTGGAGGGAGGAATGGGGGTGGGGTGGGGTGGAGGAAGCTGGCAAGGCACTGAGCTTGTCTTTCTGTTTAACCCTTTGGTGTGAATTGATCCGCCCATCAGAACTGTCTCAGGGGCTCACAGCAGGTTTTACCAGGGGGAGACTTCAGTAGGAGGCTGTGGATGGAGAGGTCAGGGCTGGACAGCTGTGGCTGTGGGTGGCACCTGGCCAGCTTTTCACAGCCCTCACATGCTGGAGCTTTTGAGGGCAGGGCTGGCATGTTGCTCATCTTCACGTCCTCAGCATCAGCAAGGGCTGGACATGAAAAACATTTGCTGAATGAATGCTGCGGGCTGGGCATGGGTGGATGGGAGGACAGCAGTTGGATATGCATCTTATTTGCCGTACTCCATGGCACTGTGAAGGGGATGTTGGGAAGGCAAAGTCATAGAAGTAGATAAAAAGAGATGGGGTTCCCACAGGCATTGTGAGAACCCTGGGGCCAAGTTGATTGGCCCCTCCATACCGCTAACCCCAGTGGATGTTGGGAGCATCATTCATCAGTACAACAGGTAATGATGAAGTCGTCCTCTATAGGCTGTTATGGCACAATCCAGTGTCACAGAGCAGGCAGAGTGAGTTTTCTTTAGTAAGGCAGACCAGGCCACTCCCTTGTGTAACCAACCGTGGGCATGCGGGATCTGGTCCCTGTCTGCGTCTCTGACCTCCCCTTCACTCCCTGTGCCCACCCTTCCACCTCCTTTTTGTTTCTTAAACACATTGAGCTCATGTGTTTCTGGCTTGCCTGTTCTCTTTGTCTGGAAAGTTCTTCCTTCAGATCTTCCCATAACTGGCTTCTCACTGACACATCACCTGGACTATATTCTTTTTTTTTTGAGATGGAGTCTCTCACTCTTGTCACCCAGGCTGATGTGCAGCGGCACGATCTCGGCTCACTGCAACTACCGCCTCCTGGGTTCAAGCAATTCTCCTGCCTCAGCTTCCTGAATAGCTGGGATTATAGGCGGCCCCGCCATGGCTGGTTAATTTTTGTATTTTTAGTAGAGACGGGGTTTTACCATGTTGGCCAGGCTGGTCTCGAATTCCTGACCTCAGGCGATCCGCCTGCCTCACCCTCCCAAAATGGTGGGATTATAGGCGTCAGCTACCATGCCTCGCCAATCTTTTTTTTTCTTTTCTTTTTTAGAGGCTTCACATTATTTTTTGTTTGGCAATGCTTCCCGTATAATTTAACATACCAAATAGGCCTGTTTATTATCTCTCTTTTGGATGCTTCAGGGGCCCTTTTTATTTTAATTTTTTTATTTCATAGGTTTTTGGGGAACAGGTGGTATTTGGTTACATGAGTAAGTTCTTTAGTGGTGCTTACTGAGATTTTGGTGCACCCATCACCTGAGCAGCGTACACTGTACCCAATGTGCAGTCTTTTATTGGATATAATCTTGATTCTCCTTTTGTTTATTGTCTGTCTTTCCCCACTAGAGTGTAAGCTCCCTGAGAACAGGCACCTTGTCTGTTTTGCAATCTATTGTCTCCTCCTGGGCTATACCTGGGCATATTCATTTACCGACTATGTACTCAGACACTGCTGTGTGCTAGGCACTGTTCTGCTGTGAATAAGCCAGTTAGTGCTGTTGGGGTATGTGAAGTTGAGTCAGCCCAAGGCCCTGCCTTCTTGATCTCTTCAGCCTAGAGGCAGAAATGAAGCTTGTTCATACATACTCTCATGTAGGCAGGGAGGGAAGGTGACATTCAAGAGGTATAGCCCAGGAGGGCCATTGTTGAGAGATGTTAGCCCTGATTTGACAAGGGTGGTTGGCTTAGGTAGATGGAGTCTTCTTTCAGATGTTCTGTTGGGAGTCTGGGAGCTCTGGCAGCTGACTCACCTCCAGGACTGGAGTTCCTCTAGCTTGACTGGCTACCACCTCTGTCTCTGTTTATTTACTTCTTTGGTGGGCAAGAGCTCCAAGCATACTGCCATCCTTGGAGAGTCAGGAATGTTGTGTTTTTCCACCCGCTTCATTCATTGGCAGCCTCCTCAGAACAGCTGTGGACAGCTGTCTGCCAGCATGGATGCAGGGAGGGTTTCTCTTTGGGGCCAGGGGCACACTCAGCCCTGCAGGAGCAGGGAATTCATTGGTGGTTCACACCCTACTGATTTCCAAACCCCACTGAACTGGTGCCTGTAAAAACAGATTCATAAGGAAATTAAAAAACTATTAGCATTCAGTTTACTGCTTATTTTCTGATTATTAAAGCAATAAGACTCATAATAGAAAATTGGGAAAATATGGAAAAGAATAAAATCAAAAACATCCTACAACACCCACATTTTGGTATATTTCCTTCCAGTCTTTTTTTTCTGGAACCAGCAACATGCGCACATATACACATAAACACACACATAAAATATAATTGGGAAAAACATTGTTTTCCAAAACTGTTAAAATCCATGCCATCTTTTACTAAACAGAAAGGTTCCTTTCTCTTGAGAGCCTGATACTCATGTTGCCACTGTGAATCACTGACACTTAGAAGAAAATGTCAAGTCTCTTCACCAAAGATTTTAGCAGGCTTTGCTTCTGTACTTTGCGTAAGGAAAACAGTTGTCCTTCCCCCCTTCCAACACATTGTGAATGTGCTTAGAAACATGCCTCTCATGCTCACCTGTCTCCATCAGTGTGTGTATATGATGTTGCAAGTTATCCCCTTACTGAGCATTTGATCACATTACTAAGTCATCGTGTTCCTTAGAAACACACTTGTAATGGATGTGTAGTATTCCTTAAAGTAATATACCATACCTTATTTAACCATGACAAGGAAAGAATCAGTCCCCATTAAGTAACCTTTTTTTTTTTTTTTACCTAAAAATAAGAGAGCAGGAGGAACTCAAGAAATATGAACCCACATCACTGGATTCATGTGTTTAGGGCATCACTGTTTGGGGGACGTCTTCACTCCTGCAGGAGCCCAGGACTTTGTTTCCTGCATTGCTCTGTTCCCAGGGCTTAGAGGAGTGTCCGGCACACAGTAGGACTCAGAAACTATTTTGCCCAGTGAATAAAATATAGAATTCTTCCTATGGGAGATGAGACCCTTGTTAAGTTCATGGAGGTCAAGGCTTCTTTTGAAGTGTGTGTTCTGGGGCCTTGGTGGCTTGAAGGGTGAGAGCATCATTGCATCCTGGGAAGAAGGGCATGAATTGGCAGGATGGGACGGTTGACTGTGAAATGATTCTCTGACTTAAGAATTTTGATGGGTTTTTGGAGGAGGTGAGGCCTAGGTGAAATCTTGATTTAGGGGGCTAGGAGCACTTAACTCCCTGGAGACAGAAACAGGAGGGACCCAGGCGGGAGGGTGGCATGGGTGGAGCCTCACAGAGTCAAGACTGGGACCGGGGGTGCTGCCTAAGCCAGGGAATGGCAAGAGATGGGGACTCTTCAAACTGTAACCTCCTCAGGGCCCAGAACCTAGTCCCAGGGGAGGAAGTGTCCTTGGGGATTCTGAGGCCCCTCCCTGCCTCCAGGCAGATACCATCCCCATACTGCAGATGGGGAAACTGAGGCTCTAGAAGTTAAGGAATGATGAGGAGCATAGGTTTTGGGGTTGATGAGACCTGAGTCCTGTAACTTGGTGGCTTTCCTGCATCACTTTGGGCACATCACATAAGCTCTCTGAGTATCAGTTTCCTCACCTATGCAGTGGTGATAATACCAATTTGATAGGGTGGCTGAGAAAATGAGATAAGATAATACATACAGGCACTTAAAATAGCTCTCGACAAAGAGTGAGGGGAGCCATACAGGGGAGCCACTGTTATTTATGTTTTGTAAATTTCTATTCCTAACATGAAGGGAGAGATGAGAAAAGACAGGATCGATGCCAAAAAATGAAAAACAGTTAAGGCTTTGTTGTCTTGCTTCTCCTCCCCAAGCGACTACCCTATCTCAGGGAATAAAATCCCAGCCTACAGGAATTCAGACTCTTGGGTGTCATGAGCTCACATGCAGGTAGAATTAGCACCACTTGAGGGGTGCTAGGATCCCTCCCTCCTTCCCTACCTTGAACGGAAGGAGAGATGCACTTGTTAAAATCATGCAGTGGCTTCAGGAGCTGAATCCAGATGTCACTGCTGGGGGCACACTCCTTACTCAATTAGCACCTGGGCATGGTTTGGTCTTTGTAGTGGATAATGTCTGGCCACACAAAGATGGGGCACGGGCCAGGTCAGTTCTGCTGACTGGGAGCTGACTGGATAAGTAGCATATGACCTGGAGCAGTGCAGCCTAATAGAAATATAGCAAGAGTCATCCATGTAACTTTAAGTTTCCTAGCAGCCACCTTTTTAAAAAGTAAAAAGAAGTAGGTAAAATTAACTTCAATCATATATTTTATTTAACCCAGTATATCCAAGATATTATCATTTCAATATGTAACACTGGTCATACTTCAAGTGCTCAGTAGCCCCACAGGACTAGTGGCTGCCTACCAGACAATGCAGTGAACCCAGGACACAGGTTGCGGGGGCCACCCTAGGGGAGGCTGTGGCTACAGGGGGACTCTGCATTGGAAGGGGAAGCAGCAGGGCCTCTAGGTGGGGACACATCAAAAGCAAGCAAACTAGGGAAGCAGCAGAGGGGCCTGAGACAGGACTTTTGTCCTGGCCCACTGATAGGCATATAGTTTATTCCCCAGGGAACCATTCCTCTTTTATGGGCCTGTTTCCCCATTTGTAGCATGAGGCTATCTTTAAGAGCCATTTCAGCTCTGGTGTTCTTTAACTCCTGAAAGAAAGACACAGAAAGCAAATTTAGTCCCTTCCCAAGTTCGAGGAGGGTGGCGGTAGAGCTTGGAGAGAAAGTGTGGGGAACAGAGAGGACCACTGGCCCTGTGTTTGAAAGGATGTCCTTACAAAGTTCTGTCTGGACCATTTATACAGTAGGTCTCTGAGAACTGACAGTGTTCAGCCATCACCATGAGTTTTTAAAACAGTGCGTTTTGGAGATGGGGCAGGGGCATTAATTGTTACTTTTGAAAGGTGACATGTTTTGATTGTTTCAATTCTGAAGCTTCCTCTGGTTGGTGGGTCATCCCAGATGGCTTTGAATGGCAGCCATAAAAGAGGGGAGGGGCCGCACAGGAAATATTAGAACAAAAAAGGACATTTTTCAGCTCTGTCATAAATGGGCACTTGGCCTGTCAAGAGAGGATGTGGGAAGAGGGAGGAAAAAGCAGCAGGTGTGTTTGGGGGAAAGGGTGTGTCCCCAAATGTATTTTAAGCTCCTGAAGTCAGCGGCACTGTTGTCATTGCACTCTGGTGAGTGGGGATTTGGGGTTTTAATCTCCCCACCAGCAACTTCTGGAGGGAAGGAAGCTTTCTTTCCTTTTATGGAGTGTCTCCTCTTTTTAAAATGAGATTGTCACTAAGTAACTGGCTTGTGTCTACCTGACGACCCCAACTCCCAGACAGGAAAGGGGCTTGCCTGCTCTAAGAACTGCTTCAGACGAGGCCCAGGAAGGCTGTCCTGCTCTCAGGTCCCTCCAGAAGGCAGTTGAGGAGCCCAGGGCCAGAGCCAGCTGCCACCCGCCACCCCACCGGCCAGTCCTTCTGCAGCCACGGTGCCTCCTCAATTTTTCTCCTGCAGCTAACAGGTGACGCAACAGGCTGCCTTGAACTGTTTTTAAATGAGGATTTCTCTTTTATGTTTTCCTAAAGCAGATTTTTTATTACTTTTCCAAACATTGTTTGCTTTGAATTTTTAATTTAATTTTTCCGAATAGGTCAACACCTCCATGGTTTAAAATTCAAAAGGTACAAAAGGGGTTTTAAAGTGAAACATCTTTCTCTCACTGCTGTTAGTTTCCTTACCCTGAGGCAGCCACTATTAATGGTTTCTTCAGTTTAAAGACATTTTGTGCAATACAAAACATATGTGTGTATGTGTGCATCCATGCGCATGGTATTTTTAAAAAATTCTTTACTCAAATGGGAGCTTATCTCACGCATTGAATCTCACTTTGCACTTAACGTCTTGGAGATATCTGACTGTCTGACAATTATACCTTGACTTATCTAACCAGCCCGCCTACATGGATATTTCAGTTGTTTCCAGTCTTTTGCTGATACAATACCCAGTGATTTTTGTATGAAAGGGATCCTTGATTTTTCTGAATACAGGAAGATTTATAGCAATCTAAGAATAATTTTGCCAAGTTATTGTTCACAAGACACTTCAAAGGATAAAATTGCTTAATTGTTTAAGGATTAAGGTAGAATAAATAATTTTTGGTTGAACTTCTTAGAAAACGAATCATGTACTCAACACTGATTTATGAAATCAGTGTTTCCTGAGCTCCCACTATGTGCTGGATGCTAGGCCAGGCAAAGGTGGGGGTGGGGGAACAAAGAAAAGGGCATGAGGGATGGTGCTCACGTTGTGGGGGTGGGGAAGCGGTGGGGTCTGAGATAAGCCAGTGACTTTGATGGGAGAAGAGAACAGATGCAGCTTCATGCTGGGGAAAGGAGGTTAAGGCAGCATCGGGCATAGCCTTGATCAAGGCAAAGAGAAGCCACAGAGGTCGTATTGGGCCCTTTGACTTGGGGTGAGGTGCAGGGTATCAGGGAGGGGGCTCTGGGCTGATCAACTCTGTGGGAGCTTAGGCTTTCCTGACCCCAGCTTGTGGCACCATGTCCTTGGTCTCACTTGGCTACCTCAAGGTCACTGCCCATATGCAGGGTCCTCCAAAGGGCAGCTCACCTTGAGGGCCCTTGAAATTCCTCTGGCTTCAGAGTCTGGTAAGCAAAACTCTTTCTCTCAGGCCAATCCCTTCGCAGCAAACAGGCAGCAGTGGCCGAGCAGCCCTGTGGACAGAGGGGGCTGTCATCCTTGCTGTGTGGAAGAAGGCTTTGCCTGCCTGACCTGCAGATCCCAGGACTTGTCCCTGTGTGTACACAGCTTGATGTTCCCCTTCTGAGTTGAGGGAGATCTGCTTCCAATGAATGCTGTCCCTAATCCCGGCAGCCGGCCCTTTCAGGGGCTCAGGATGCTTTTGGAAACAGACTGCAGGGTCAGAGTGTAGACCTCCATCAGCAGGCTTGAAGGTGACAAGCTGAAGTTGCTGAATAGTTGTGGATTGGCCCTGGAAATACCTGGTCACGCAGAAGCTTTGCTGCTTTTGTGTGTGTGCAGGTAGGGAAGCTGTGATCCCACAGGGAATACAAGGTGCATTAGGATTCTGATGGAGTCTTTGGTCCCGGGTGAGGTTCTGCAGGGGATCAGGAGAAGCCCAAGACGTGGTCTTGCCTTCAAAGATGCAAAAATTTGTTTGTGAAAATATATGCAAGACATATATAAGCTTATGCTGAAGAGCTAAATGACATAGTGTAGCTTGTAAGATTTTAAAGAAGAGAGTCCTAGAATCTGTGTGCTTAGAGTTGGCAAGTTGTGAGACCTGTGATGAACTTGGCGAAGGGAGCTGGTAGGAGGATGAGAAATGACATTGCTGAGCAACCACAACAGGCACTTTGTATGTGTGACATAGCCGCTCATTCTCACAGCAACTTTCAATTTAATGTTATTATTCCAAATGAGCAGATGATGAACTGAGGCTTGGAATGTTTAGGTTAACTTACTTGAGGTGATACGGCTATCTGGAAGTGGAAGAGCTCTGATTCCAGAGCCCAAATTCTCTCTATTGCACCTAAATTGGCCCTGAAGTTCCTAGAGGGTATTCAGGTGGGGAACCGCCTGTACAAAGGAATGGTAGCGGGACCAACATGATGGGGGCCAAGCTCAGTGAAGAAATCTGTAGGTGTGTGTAGGAAGCAGGAGGAAATACATTTGGTTAAGGGGGTCAGGCATGGGGAAGTAATTGCAGCAAATCTTAACTCCCAGGCTGGTTCCCGCCCTGTGCAGTTCACATCTGGCTTTCTGCCTAGTTTAGCTCAATATGCTTTGGGAAATGGCATAATTTCCATTTTAGCCTTAAACAATAAGAATTTAGGAAGAGATTATCCACTTGATACCAAGTACTAAAACCGTTTATTTTAGTCCAGTGCCAAACTGGAATGATTTTTATTCATTGACCAATATCTCTTCTTAGGGCATTTTAGGAAATTGCTTTTGGAGCCACGTAAAGCACTGTTGTAAAAATGTAACAAACAGCACCAAGAAATATCAGATCACTAAATTCAGGTGATAAGACATCCCAGAGGTAGGCGTCCACCTATGCTTTATAATTCTATAGATGGATACTTGTATATTTCAACTTCTATGAGAGCCATGTGACTTGCTGACAACCACCATTGTGGCTCGTGGTTCAGCATAAGAATTCTTCTTGTATTATATTCACTCTGTGTGATGTGGGCCAAGTAATATGTGTTGTTGGGGTGATGAGTGGACAGGAACAGAGTGAAGGAGTTGAAGGCTAACAGATCTTGTGTAACGATTAGGCTGTGAAATGTGGCAAGGAGATTCAAGGACCTCATTCAAAGGCTCACGTTTGCATATGCTTCCTTCGGTGGATTTATTATCCATCTTTGTAATCTCAAGGTTTCTCTGTCCTAGTACTAGCTTACAACTAAATATAAACCACTTAAACAAAAAAAGCCCTCCTATGTCTCTGACTGTCTTTAGCCCTTGGGAACCTGTGCCTTGATGAAGTATGAGTAGGTGGTGGACTCAGAGCTCACCTGATGAGGTTTTGTTCATGTCAGGCTTCTTGTCTTGGCTTTTGCAGAGTATTTATTGAAAGCTTCCTGAAGGCAGGGAAAATGCTTCTGATTTCTCATGTAGCTCTGATGTTACATGTGCTTGTGCCCATTTTGCAAATCATCTCCTAATCTGGATAATTTCCAAGAACTCAGAAATCTTGCTCATCAGCTGGGTGGTACAATGACAAAGCAGAGGGCAACATCCTAGTTATTGTCCTTGCCTGCCATTGGAAAGTAGTTGTGTCCTTGCCTCTGTCTATACCTGGAATCCTTGGGTGTTTTTCTAAACTGCTTTGAGAGGGGGGTAGGGATGGAGAGAAAGGTTGTAAAAGTGAATTATTTGATAAAGTAATATTTCTGCTTACATTACAGAAAGCTAAATCATCCTGTGTTCTACCCCCGTTGCTTTGCTGGAATTTCTTGTGACAGATTCTGATGCACCAGATTCCACCACCTCCCTGAGAGTCACCTATTTGCAGAAGTCATTATAAGCCATTGTTTAACTAAAAGCTTTTTTCTTTTCTTTCCTTACAATTTTTAAGACCCTGCATCTGTATAGACCTGACTCAGCAGCTTTCTAGTTTGAGAATTTTTTACTTCTTCTCAGATTCTGGATTGCACTTCCCTAATGTCCTGTTCTTCATTCAGAAATGGCTAAGACTGGCCCAGACTTTGGCTCCAGGTGGGAAGTAGTTTCACCACAAAAGGACACATTTTTGTATGGGGACTCTGCCCCCAGTCCCTGGGTACCTGGTGACTGAGCTCTCCTTCCCGCCTGCTTCATGGGCAGACTAACATTTTTACCAGTGTAAATGGTTACATTCCCTGGGAAAGTAGCCATTTGTCAGGGTGGTAAAGCATTCGCATAGAACACAAGTACACAGATCCACCTTCATACACATCACCCCCAACCCCTCTGACACACACACACACACACACACACACACACACATTTGAATAGAACACACATGCACACATCCACATTCATACACATCACCCCCAACCCCTCTGACACACACACACACACACACACACACATTTGAATAGAACATACATGCACACATCCACATTCATACACATCACCCCCAACCCCTCTGACACACACACACACACACACACACACACACACACACACACACACACACACATTCTCTCTCTCTCTCTCCTTAAACGAGATCATGGATGAAAAGCACCCAGCACAGTGACTGTCACAGAGGCCAGAACTCAGTAAATATTATTGACTATCACTAATATTATAATGACCATGAGCAGGAGGAAAATATAGCCCCCAGACCCTTTGTTGTCATGCTGGAGAATCAGCAGGCACTCTTCCCTAGCTTAGTGACCCTTCCTGATGCTTTTTAATACTCCATCCTTCACACACACACAGCACATTAAGAGTCAGTTCATTCTTGGGATGTGTGCAAAATTCCAATTCCTGTCAGGAGAATTTATATGTGGTTTTAGAGGGGATAATCGACCAGTTAGTATGTGCGCGCTGATTTTATACACATACGCGTCGCCGTTTACAGCACACATTATAACATCTTCAGTCTCTGCCAAGAATTTGCATTTCTTAGCCCCGTGCATTTGCATATTATGGGTTCATAATTTCAAATAGCTGTAAAGATCTCTACAGAAAAATCTAGTCACTGTACTCTGATGTTCTAAATCTCAATATAGTAGTAGAACCTGGCTAATTTTTGCCCCTGCTAATGTATTAGCCTTGTAATTTTTACACACATACGCACACAGACACACACAAACCCCTGACGTTACCCTACTTCTAAGCAAAGATTTAATAGCTGGGAGCTGAGTTACACTGCCTACTTCCCAGACTTCGTTACCTTTCCAAAATATATCATACACATGGTGCAATGTACTATGGTCTTACTACAGATGATTAAAAAGAAAAGATTTATCAAAATGAATGAACCCACTGCATCTGATCTTTCCCTGGTTCGGGTCCCTCACCCCCTACCCTTCAGCTTGAGTCATCTGCTGAACCTCTGGCTTAGCTGAGCGCTGTGAATGAGGCAAAGAGCTCTTCAGAAATTGCTCTTTCAAGCTAGTATCACTAGAAAACCCGGCTACTGACACCGCCCCCTCTAATCAATCATTAGAGAATCTGCCAGAGGCAGCACTTGATTTGACCAAACAAAATAGAGCAGCAGGACAGAAATAAATTTCTGGGACATTTCTTAAGGTCTTGCAGGTACAACACACCTGCATTTTAAAAATGGTCACATGGAGGTTTTGGAAGTTCAGGAAAAAAAGAATGCCAACTTGAAGTCTATTCTACCCCATCTCAGTGTAGGGAGAATTAAATAGCTGAACTATGGAAGTTTTCAAGTGCAATGGCTGTGATAGAAATACTTCAAAATCCACTGTAGCATTGTTGACCTGGGGCCACCAAGACTGGAGACTGGCCAGGCCTGGGAAGGGGAGCCAGTGATTGCTTCATTGTGTCCTCTGCTTTGCTCTTTTGATGCTCAATTAGAAAGTAAATGCTGCAAAAGGCACCTTGAAGATTAGGCACTCTATGCCTTTTTGGCTATCTGGGAGGGTCTCGTCTTCCTGAAAGCAAAGAAACATCATTTTCCAGTGACTGAAGCAGCATGGTTCCTGACTCTGGTGCCTGAGGTTGATGATTTCAGGTTGGTTATGATTATCTTGGTGCCTCTCAGATTTTGCCCTTTGTGGTTTATTTTTAATTAGGGGCGATGGCTATAGTCCTCTGTGTGCGTGTGTGTGTGGATGTGCACATACATGCATGTGTGTGATCATTTGGAAGGTGTCCTGACCAAAATGCCTTTAGTTTCGATTCAGAGCTTAACCAGAGAAGAATCAAATGAAATCTTTATATTAAGACATTCTTTTAACATTTTTAACAGCTTTATTGAAGAATAATTTACATGCCATAGAATTCACTTTGTTTTAGGTGTACAATTCAGTGACTGACTTTATAGTGAGAGACAGTCAGGGAGAGAGGGTGTTGGTGAGGCCGTGACTCTAGAAAGGGGAAGAAAAGGGAAAGGAATCCCTTTGTTTCATGCCCGGGCAAGTGCGTCATCTAGCTTCACCTTCCCTGCAGAAGGGAGCCAAGGGGGCAGGAAGTGTGGTGGTTGGAGCAGGCCTGGTGGGATGGCAGGGGTGGGGGGTGGGGAGGTGGGAGTGGGGATATTGGGGGGCAGCCATACTCTGGGCAGGGCCCCGCTTGATTCCACTCGAGTCCCACCCTGGCAGGTGGGCTCTTCAGGGCTTGGATAAACAACATTTCCTCCCTGGTTATTAAGAGTTCACAAATGCCAAGGTATTGTCACATCAAAAAGCATAGTTATCAGCATATTTAGTGAAAACCACTTCCAGTTCTCACTAATAGACAGTGCTGAAGCGAATTTCTGAGGTCATCCTGGCCAGTATCTTCTATATGTACACAACCAAATACTGTCCCTGGAGCTGAAGTAAGAGGTCTAGGGACACTCACTGGTCAGCAGTAGAGCTGAGACTGGATCGCGGTCTCCCAGCTTTCCAGGCCTTTTTCACTGCACTGTCCTGCCAGAATGACCCTAGCGTGGGCATTGGAGGAAGAGGTCAGAAAGGCAACATGGAGGTCACCAAATACCCATTTTTCTCCTTTATAGGTTTCTTGCAAAGCACTTCCCTCCCTCGGCTCCAGAGCAATTTTTGGCTGCCCAGAGCAATCTTAGTAAGGACACTGTGCTTTCCCAGTCTGATTTCTTTATTGTTTGTGGGATAGGGGAGAGATTCTGGTAAAAGCTGGAAAAACTGCTAGAAGAGTTCTGAAAGAGCTGTAACACTCACTGATTTTCAGGCAGTTCTTACCACTTAGCAATCCTGAAAGGATTGGAGCTCAAGCACGGAACTTCCTAACTTTGGCCTTTATCCAGTAAGCAGCAATCTTGATTATACCTAATAACTCCAAGCAAGAAATGAGGCCAAACAGAGAAACACAGCCATAGCTTGCACTTGGACTTCTGGGCAGAAACCACAATTTTAAATCCCAGTTACATTCTTTTGGGGTGTGTCTCTGTGTTTTGAAAGGAAGTTCTGAAAAACTGTATTTTGGGACAAAAAAAGAGCATTTCATCTTTAAGAATTCAAAGCTTTAAAAAAAGTTGGTGAAGAAATCAATTGTGTGTAGATACAAGTATTTATTAGACACCCAATGTGTGGTGGGAAGGGAAGATCTTGTGCTTTGAAAGGGGACCAGTCTTGCCCTCTGATTTAAGGGACCAGCACAGAGAATTCACCCTGCTGGGATTCTTACTTAGAGGCCTTCCCTTTCAGCCTTTGCCAGCTGGTGTGGAGCAGAAAGCCAACGAATGGGGCAGAAAGCCAAGCTCTCCCTTGCACTGAGTGCCAGAGAGAGGAGAAGTAGGTACAACAGACCCTAAACAGAGGAGCAAAGTCCTCACAGTGAACGATGACAGTTGTGGCCGGGACAACTGAAAAGCTGTAAGAATTTTAACTTCTTGAGGAGATAGCTTGAGGTCTTAGAGCTTTCCTTGAGTTTCTACAAGCTGGGTGAGCCAAAGAGACAAGAGTGCTTGAACAGTAGTTCTCCAAGCGAGGCCCTAGGCTACAACACCAGCATCTGTTGGGATCTCGTGAGAGATGTGCATTTTGGGGTCCCACCCTACCCAGACCACCTGAATCAGAAACTCTAGGGGTGGACCCAACCACGTGTAGTTCAACAAGCCTTCTGGGAGGTTCTGATAAACTCTCAAGTTTGAAAACCACAGCTGTAGAAAGAAGGAGGGTTCACTTAAGCAGTGATTGTTAACAGCTGAGGATCAGAATACTGATTTTGTATTATTTTTGTGAACATGGTAATTCGTTAAGTCATGTCTGGTTAATTTAATAAAGGGTTTGATATTCTGTAGAAAATATAGTTGACTGACTTGCATATCAAACATTCAATGAACTCCACTCAGAGCATGAAAGAAATGTTGACAGTCAGATAGACTGGGCTTTCAACCCTGGCTCTGCCACTGGACCATTTGAAGTTGAACATGTTACTTCAGATTTCTGGGCTTCATTTTTCTCCTTGAGTAAGATCAGAGTAACATTGACAACTTCATGGAGTTCTGGACAATAAAGAAGACTGAGAGACATCTTCTAGGTAGAGCCAAGCTCAGCACTTCAGCCTGCCGGGGCCCGTGGAGAGGATGTCCCTTCACTTGGCTGGCTCAGTTCTGAGGCTGCTGCGTCACATGGCGGCGGTCACCCAGATGCCATGGTTTTACTTCTCTGGAGTGGAGCACCAGTGTTGGAAGGAATTTTGAAGCTCCAGTTCACTCACTTCATTTTATAGATGAGGAAATGGAAACTTGGAGGTTTTAAGCCATACAACTAGTTATTAGCAGAAGGAGGGTTGGAGTCCAGGTCTGCTGCAGCCAGCTCAGTGGCTTTCTCACCCATGGCAGTTGTCTTCATGCATTTTGGCCCTGTAGCACATGAAGGTAAATGCAAGAGTCATTAGCAGGAGCCAGAGAAAGGGTCTTTTGTCAATTGCAAAGCCCTCAGGCAGAGGAGAGGGAGACCCAGTGACTGCACAGCCCTCTCCAGCCGCCACGGGGACCAGGCTCTTAGTGCCCCTGGAGGGATTAGCATGCAATCTCTTTTGAGATAGGCATGTGGATGGCAGAACTGTGGCCCGCTGGGGCTGGAACCACACCTTGGCGATGCTGGGACGCAGCATCTCATTTTACCTGTGGGGAAGTGGAGGCTCAGAAGTGAAGCCCCTGGTCAGGGCTGGAATTTACTCTCGAGGTGAGGCTGCTGGCAGGTTTTAAGCAGGTGACAGACAGGAAATCATCACCAGCAGCTATTAAAAATTGGGCTCCAAGTGTTACCTCTTGGGACCGTGACTGGGCATGACAGTGGGAGGCGCTTTTGCTTTGCATTTTATTTATACCTTTGATATTGTCTGGATTTTTTGTTTATGTCTTACTTTTGTTATATGTGTGTGTTAAAAAACTAATTTAAAAAATGACACTCTTTTCTAGATCAAAGAAATGAATTCTGTGGAGCAGAATATGTAGTACTTTGGAAAGATGATCAAAATAAATTACTAAGCAAAAAATGATACTTTTGGGGGTATGATTCCATTTTGATTAAAATGTATCCATGTATTAAAAAAGTCTGGAACAATGAATATTAAAATATTATTAACATTTTCTTGTTTTAGCCTATCTTTATCTTCTATTTTGTCTAGTGTGAAGATATATTACTATTGTGGTTAGATAAAAATAATTATTGATTTTAATTAAAACAGAAAAGCACAGGTATCTCAGGACAAGCCAGCAGATGCTCCTTCGTTCAGGGCTCCCGATCCAGCCCTTGTCCCTTCATATGGATGGCCGGCCATAGCTTCATTTGACACCAGTGGTGACATCTTTAAATACACTGAAAAAATTTTTCTATTGGAAATCCTCTGACACCAGCTAAGTATAGGACATCTCCTGATGTGGAGATGGGAGTCTAGAAAAACCCACAAATAGATAATTCAGAGAGCATTAGTTCATTAATTCATTCAAAAATATGTATCAAGTGCCTCTTCGTGCCAGGCACTGTACCGGGCTCTTCACATTCAATCGTGCCTTACAGGGCATGGTTGCTCACTTTCCTCTGAGCGTTCTCCTTTCCAGTGTTGATCCAGTTCTTTGTTTTTATCAGGGAGAGCCTCACTGCACAGGAATGTGGTTTCAGCTGGGGTCTTCAGTAATGAGCAGGCTGGGGTTTGGGCTTAGGGTGGCCTGGATGGAGGGTGAGGCTATGAGTATACCCTGGGGAACACCCAAGAGAAATCCTGCCCATTACAACCATTTATTGGTGTTTTCCTGTATCAGGCACTGGGCCAAGTGCTTATACATATTTTCAATCTCTACAAGAACCCTTTAAATGCAAAAAAAAAAAAAAAAAAAAATCCAAGAGTCATGAAAGTAAAGGGCCTGACTCTGGGTCACACATTAGGAAGTAGCAGAGTCAGGAATTGAATCCACTTTTTTTTTTTTTTTTTGGTCTATCTTTGAAGCCCTCTGCCTTCACCCTGTTCTCCTATAACCCCATCTACAGGGTGGTATAGACCCTCAGGTGCTCACAAGGCCCAACACACACACACACACACACACACACACACACACACACACACGAGAGAGAGAGAGAGAGAGAGAGAGAGAGAGAGAGAGAGAGAGAGAGTTAAAGGGCTCTGAACATCACTCCATGAATAAATGACAGAATGTGGTTTTGCAGCCTGCAGTTACCCTGCTACTCACAGCCCGAGGCTTCCACATTAGTTCAGACTGCAGGGCAATTATTTAGAAAGTGTGATGACTCAGAAGGGTTGGGCTGCAGTGGAACCTGGTCCAAATAAAGACTGGGGGGCAGAGGAGAGGTCAACTTAATCCTGTAAACAAGACGATACAGAACAAGGTGGAGTGTAGTCTTTGAACTCTTAAGAACATAGAACTGATTTGTACTTCTAAGGAATCTTTTTGTCCCTACTTGTTCTAGATCAATCAACTATCCATGTACTACCAATTACTTCCATATAAGATGATCTGTGCAAATATCTCTCTTCCAGCTCCAACTTCTGTGATACTAGTGTTTGCCAGTTTATTTTTATTTTTATTTTTTTCTAAAGAGGGGCATTGGTCTGTTGCCCAGGCTGGAGGGCAGTGGTGCAATCATGTTTCACTGTAGCTTTGACCTCCTGGGCTCAAGCAGTCCTCCTGCTTCGGCCTCCCAAGTAGCTGGGATCACAGGCATGTACTACCGCGCCTGGCTGTCAGTTTAAATAAAATATTTCAAAATCAGTTTGCTAAAGCCAACTTCTCTCATGAATTTCCCATTATAAAAAAGAGAGCAAATATAAGCACTGCAATATTTTGAAAATACGTTTTCAATCAGTTACTCAGCAACAGTTTATTCCATTCTTTCTATATACCCAACACACTGCTAGGTGCTGTGGGGAAGTCTGCGGGAAACATAGGACATAATTCCTGACCTTAAGGAACACATTCCTCGCTAGGGAGAAGAGATGAATGTCCATTGAGACAAAATGAAAAAAAAATGCAAGATAGATTCGTATTTATATTTGGCATTGGGATTAAGTGGCAAACTGGTCTTGAAGATGTTCAGCAGAAGGACACCAGAGAGGGCAGGGATAATTAGGGTGGTTTTGTGGCTCAAGTGAGTTCTGAAGTGTGCCCGGGATTTCAGTTGAAGGGAGGCAAACAGGCTCATAAAACAAACCTACAGAGGCCAGGTGCAGTGGCTAACGCCTGTAATCCCAGCGCTTTGGGAGGCCGAGGAGGGCGGATCACTTGAGGTCAGGAGTTCGAGACCAGCCTGGCCAACATGGTAAAACCTCATTTCTACAAAAACTACAAAAATTAGCTGGGTGTGGTGGTGGGTGTCTGTAATCCAAGGTACTCTGGAGGCTGAGGCAGGAGAATCGCTTGAACCCAGGAAGCGGAGGTTGCAGTGAGCTGAGATCGCACCACTGCACTGCAAGACCCTGTCTCAAAACAAACAAACAAACAACAACAACAACAAACCAAACCAAACAAAAAACCTGCATAGCCAACTAGACCAGCATAGAGGGCGAAAACCATGCTTTTTGTCAAATGGTACTGTTTATTCTGTTTTGCTGTCAGCTGGTTTGCCGCTTCTGATAAAGCTAGCCCTTGCTGTGTGCATGCAGGTTATAGTGCCCAGGCTCATATTTCCTCTTCTTGCTGCACCTCCTCTCTGGCCCATCTTCATGTTAGTTTCTCTGTCTCAAAGGAAGATAGAGGCAAAGAGACATGAAGGTCAAATTCATCTGTTTTGCAACTTAGTGAAGTTCAGGGAAGAGATTCATGGTAGGAGGCAGCTAGCTGTAAGTGATGATAAAATGAGACCTGGCAGCTATCTGTGGATTTCAGATGACCGTGTTTTCCAGTAGTCTCCATTACAACTGCCTGTTAGAAATAAAACCCCATTCATTTTGAGCATCTATTAAAGTGGAGGCTGGTTTGGTAGATTAATGCAGTACATTCCTTACTGGTCTCCTCCTCTCTAATCCACCCAGTGGGGCTTCCTGGAATGCTATTCGGCACACTTTACCTTTCTACCAAAAAACCCTCCAATGAGTTCAGAAACCAGACCTCCAAATCCACTCTTGACCAGACTTCGATTGCCTCTGTAGTCTCATTGTCTCTGCATCTTTGCATACCCTGACTCCAACTACTTTGCTGTTCCTGAACATGACATGATATGTCATTCCCCATCCTGGTTTTTGCTTATTGTAGCCCCTCAACCTGAATGTTCTTTACTTCACTTCTATTAAAATCCAACTCATCTTTTGAAATTCACCACACATGCCTCCTACTCCGAGAAGTCTTCCTAGATTATTCCACTGGAACTAATTACTCCTATAGCACCGTGGAGTGAGAAAGCAGAGCGACAACAGAGTAGCTGCATGCTGGGCATCTGGGAGGGTTTGGAAGATTTGGCAAAGGACAGACTCCAGAGAGGTGTGGGAGACTTGGGAAGATAGAAAGCGCAATTTGAGTAATATTTCTATTGGTTATCAAGTGGTGTCTGATAACATTTTTTTGAGATGAAGCACAATAAGGCTAGAATTTCCTTTCAATTATCTTAGGTTGCAAAACTCTGCATCTTTGACTGAGCGTCCTTGCAGAGACGGGGCAATGTGTGGCTCTTGAATTTATTCACGTAACCAATTGCATTCTCCCAGCACATCTGTATACATGGCTGCATCCCATCATCCTACACTCAAGGTTGTTTTTGTATATCTCCTGCTATTCTATGGGCTGGATTTTCCAGAATGGCTCTGATGTGTGGTTTGAAAAATATGGTCGCTGTGGGTAAACCCAGTCTCTTCAGCTTAGATGGCATTCATCTCTTTGGCAAGTATCAGTACCACTTTGTTGACATCCACTCACTGTCTAGGGTAAGCACTGTACTTGCTGAGTGGATGGAAGCAATAGGCTTAGCATCCGAGTTCACCTGGACCTTGGGCTGGTGCATGTTCTTCCCCTGTGGACGCTCAGCATTTGCCCTCTGCTCTTCTCTGTCTGTTATTTCTGCCTTTCAGCATCTAGCGTGGAAGATTCTTGCTATTAGTGATGGTTGAGCAGGGGGCTGTGGGGGCCAGGGAAGAGGGCAGATTGTCCTGAGTCAAGCACAACTGTACTGATTATCCTTGGGATGGATGGAGAAGCCTTTTTTGACAGTCAGAGTTCAGCCTACAGTGTGCTAACCAAAGAGAGCAGCCTATTCTTAGTAGACAGTCTTCCTGATTGCACTCGACAGGGGTGGAATGGAGGATAATGGGTAAGGAACCAGAAAAGGTGGAGATTAGGTGTCTTAGACCTCTGCCTTCTAGTTCACATATTGTATAATATCTGTGACTAACCATAAGGGGTTAAAAATGAGTGGATTTGTGGGGAGGGGGAAGAATCTCCCCGTCATGGAATCAGGGCAGCTGAAAAGGCCACTCTGAGGGAGCTTTGTAGAGACACATGGGCCGTGTGTCTGCCACCCTGGCTGCCAGCAGCACGTCGTGTGGGCTGGCGAGGAGTGAGAAGCAGGCAGCCTTGTGCATGTTTGAAACCACAAATCACGACTCGGCAAATATCGAGGGTTTCCTGTGTATTTCTGAACCGCTAGCTGGAAAAGGTTAAAGGGGCCTTTTGTGTGCTTCAGTTACTTCTCTGCATATGTCCATCTCTGCCCTGCTACCTTACACTCTGAATGGTGCATGCGTTCCGGGCGGGCCTGCCTTTGTGCAGGGCATGTTTGCCCACTTCACAACAGCATGTGCATTTAGACTTGCAAGGGGGGTGACTTTCTGTGGTGCTACCCACTCTCTCCAGCTGTACCCCCAAATGAGATCTGTCATGGCTGGGCTGGGCATAACCAGTTGGCTGGGATAGGAACTGAGGCCTTGACTGTAGCTCCTCCTCATGGTGTTCTCATCAGCGACCCCCATCAGCCTCAGCAGAGGTCATCGCCAGCTTTCTAATGGCCACGCACTGCAGGACATTGTAGGTACTGTGATTTGTGGCCTATAAAAATACTTTTGGCCCAAACAGAAAAATATTGACTCTAAATTGAAAAAAGAGCTACAGACCAGAAAGTAGTAAAGACGGAATAAGGTATATACAAAATATCATATGAGGTCCCTGCTGCTCACCTCAACTCCAAGGCCATCGCGGTAACCCCATCTGAAGGATGTGGGTGCATTTGGGTATGTCAACCATGATGTGAGGTTGCACCTAGCACCATGAGTCATCATCTCACATGACCTTCTGCTGCTTAGGGGTGTCCAATCATTTGGCTTCCCTGTGCCACACTGGAAGAATTGTCTTGGGCCACACATAAAATACACTAACACTGGCTGGGCGTGGTGGCTCATGCCTGTAATCCCAGCACTTTGGGAGGCTGAGGCAGGTGGATCACTAGAGTCCAGGAGTTTGAGACCAGCCTGGCCAAGGTGGTGAAGCCTCGTCTCTACTAAAAATACAAAAATTAGCCGGGCATGGTGGCGCATGCCTGTAAACCTGGCTATTCGGGAGGCTGAGGCGTGAGAATTGCCTGAACCAAGGAGGCAGAGGTTGCAGTGAGCCAAGATGGTGCCACTGCACTCCAGCCTGGGTGACAGAGCGAGACTCAATCTCAAAAAACAAACAAACAAACCAAAAAACACTAAACACTAATGATAGCTGATAAGCTAAAAAAAAAATTGCAAAAATAAAATCACGTTTTAAGAAAGTTTACGAATTTGTGTAGGGCTGCATTCAAAGCGCATGTAGCCCACAGGCTGTGGGTTGGACAAGCCTGTACTACATCTTCAGCAATCCCTCTCCCAACTTTCTAACCACACCCTTCAGTCTCCAATAGCCTCTATTCTAGGAATGTATTGAGAGGGAGAAGGGGCAGACTGCCCTTTCAAAAACAAGTCTCTTCCTGCCTCTATATAGCTTCACCAGTCGTGTTCTGAATCCCTCAGTTCCCAGTGTGGTGGGAGCTCCAGGGAGCAGTCTGGCTCCTAGGTATGAGTGCGGATAGATTTGTCTTAAAGCTATGCTTGCCAAGTACACTTCAGAAGACTGAGACAATGGACAAAGTGCCTTCTGCCTTGTTAGAGGCTGTGGGTGGGGCTTGTCCTGGGATGGGGACTAAACCCAAAGCTGACCGTTGCTCAAGCCTTGTATCTTATTTCCATCCTTCTTCCCTTCACCTTTGTCAATGAAGCAGTTCTCTAGTCTTGTTGATTTGACCCCCTGAATATCTCCTGACTTCTTCCCACTGGCTCCACGTTTGTTGTTACTGCTCTAGTTCAGGCTCCTGATTTCACATGAGGCAATGCACAAATAACCAAGCACAGAGTATCTGTCCCCACTAGTTCTGATCCCTAAAGTTATTTCGTCCCCAGGATTATCTTTCTAATACCCATGCTTAGGTCGAGGCTCCATCCAGCCTGGCTTCCAGAGCTCCCTTCCAGCCTCACTTAGGCACCACAACCCTGATCACACTCTGCCGTGTGCTGAGGGAAGTCATGAGGCTCCATCCAGCCTGGCTTCCAGAGCTCCCTTCCAGCCTTACCTAGGCACCACAACCCCGATCAAACTCTGCTGTGTGCTGTTTCTACAACGTGCCAGACTCAGGTGCCTTTCTCCCCACCCCACCTTTTTCGGTGCCTTAAATATTTAATTTTAGGCAATCCAAACATCAAAAAGTATGAAAAGAAATGTAGTGAAAAATATTCTTCTATCCTTAAGCCCCATCAGTTTGAAAAAGATTGCACTTGGCCAGGCACGGTAGCTCACATGCCTATAATCCCAGCACTTTGGGAGGCTCAGGCAGGCGGATCACTTGAACTCAGGAGTTCGAGACCAGCCTGGCCAACATGGTGAAAACCTGTCGCTACTAAAAATACAAAAATTAGCCAGGGGTGGTGGTGTGTGCCTGTAGTCCCAGCTGCTCGGGAGGCTGAGGCAGGAGGATCACTTGAACCTGGGAGGTCGAGGCTGCAGTGAGCCGAGTTCGCGCCACTGCACTCCATCCTGGGTGACAGAGTGAGTGAGACCCTGCCTTAAATAAATAAATAAATAAATAAAAGATTGTAATTGAATTAGTTTCCTACAAAAGTTTTTGTTTTTTGTGAGGGGGATTCTGTAAGGGGTTATTAATAAAGGGGAATTCTGTATTGACCTAGGCCAGTAGGCTGGTGGGTTTGAGGGTCGGGCTGACAATTGGACTCATGGTCTTCTGAGGCTAAGATGCTGTTACCTCCAGTTCTGCTCAGGTTAGGGAAGCAGGCGCAATGTCATGCCTGTAAATGAAAATTCACATGTGGCCTGGCAAAATTAAGGAGAAAATATCACGCCAAATTTGAGTTCCTGTTACTCAACAATCAAAATGTTTATGTTGCCTGTCACTTTTACACTTTTCAAGTTGCAGGGCATACCTTGAGAGTATAGAAGGGGAAAACGAATGTTAACTCCTGGTCAGCTGCTTACGTTTTATCATTCTAGGTAGTTTTTTACTTCTAAGCTCTGTTATTCCATGGGCCATTAGTATAGTTTGTCCTAACCTAATCTGTATATAAGCAAAGAATTTAAGTGTTAGCTGGAGTTATGCATACTTAGTAGGGCAAATTTCCTGCACAGCAATAACATGCATGCATGCAAAGTCATTCGTGTGACTTTTGAGTTATATTCTATTAGGGTTTCTGCATCATCAACCTTCTTTTGTGGCTTGAATAATACAGAGTTGACTGAGAAAAGTAAAATATTTAGGTTTCTCTTATGTAGGAAGGAGTGTCGTCACCGAGGATGTGGGACACTAAGTGGTAGGTTTTGAAGAAGCGTTTTTATAATAGTAGCTGTCGACAACTTCACTTTCTTTGTTTTACATTAAAGAGATTTATATATTAATACTTCTTGCTATCAAAAACAGAGTGGAAATAGCCGTGGCATAGTGAAGTTTAGCGATATTGGCTTGGCCTCATTATTTGTCGTTTTTTAGTAATTCTTAGCAAATGGTTTTTAAAAACGTATGAAAAACAATAATCCCCTGCTTTCCTAGCCTATCTCCATCTTCAGAAGCTACTCTTTTCCATTCTTTCTCCTGAATTTTTGTGCTTATAGCCATATTTCTAAATCACATGTGTAAATGGCTACATCTTGATTTTTCAGTTTTAGGCATTGGCTTCCCACTAGTATTGGCTTCCTACTAGTGGAAGGTGAAAATTTAGCTCTCTTTCATTGCACCTACCTACCACTTGCACTACAGTGCACGTATGTATTAATCAATTGTATTATTGTTTCCAATTTATTTGTTTTCCCCCATCAATGGATAACAAGCCTTTTCCGTAGTTATATGACTTTCATTCCTATGGAGGGAATAATGCAATTGACATTGAGCCTGGTCGTGTGATCACTTGGTCAGTGGCATGTGAGTGGGACTGCTATATGCCGCTTCTGATCAGAAGCTTAAAAGCCATTGTGTGATCAGGTTAAGTTACTCTTTTCCCTCTGCCAAGAAAATGGACATGTCCCAAAGAGTGGCCAGTCCTTCAGCCTAGATCCTAGAGTGAAGAAGACATGTGGAGCAGCCACAGCTGACTCCTAGCTGTCCTTCAATGTCACATGAGTGAGAAATACTTTTGTTCTTGTAAGTTATTGTGATTTCTTTTGTTACTGCAATATAACCTAGCAAAAGCTAACTGGCCCATTACCTCCCTCATCCTCCCAACATATTTATGTCATAATTTTGGTGAAATAAATATTGAGTAGTTACGTTGTTGTGACTGTGTACACACTCTTCCCAGGTAAGCCATCCAGTATCTCTGTGATTCTGTTCCTTTCTTGAATTACTCTTTGTTTTCCCTAGAGTTGATTATTACATTATTTTATTTGCTTATGATTCCATGTACTTATTACTACTTCAACCTCTGGATCTCTACCAGTTATCTAAATCTCTTCTTAAAATGTTCAGATTATTTTACAGAAATTTCTCTGTGTCTCTGATGTGCTCCAATCTGGACTGATTGATACCTGTGCCTGGTGCATAGCTATCATCTTGGGGCCACCTTTTACCATCATACCTGGGATTCTTTGATTCTCTCCTGTGTTGGATCTTCTGTTTCATACATCTTATGGCCTCTTCTTTCTTGGTTATCCCTCTGTATTTGTGGAGCATATCCTCCAGGAGCTTCCTAAGAAGAAGTACATGGAACATACATTATTTGGAACTTTGAATGTCTTCAAGTATCTTTATTCTACCATCACCCTTGATTGATAGTTTGGTTGGATATAGAATTTTAGCTTGGACATAATTTTCCTTCATAATTTTAGATTTCACTGAGAAATCTGGAACTATTCTGATACCTGATTCTCTGTACATGTCCTGCTTTTTCTCTCCAAAAGGTGGTAGGAGTTTTTTTCTTTTAAATAAACTATTTTAGAATAGTTATAGGCTTACAGAAGTATTGTGATGGTAGTTCAGAGAGCTTTCGTATACGTCATACCCAGTTGCCCTATTCTTAATATCTTATATTAGTATGGTACATCGGTCACAACAAATATTGGTATGTTATCATTAACTAAATTTCATTCTTTATTCAGATTTTCTTAGTTTTCCCTTAATGTTTTTCTTGTTTCAGGATCCCATCGGGATACCACATTACATTTAGTCGTCATATCTCCTTAGACTCTTCTTGGCTGTGACTGTTTGTAACCAAGGCTTCTAATAATTAGGTGTGCTCATTGCTACTGGGTTGTCATTGCTTCTAGGCCCCCTCAGATGACAGAGCATGGATATATATGTGTGTGTACTAACCACTGTACATATGTATGTCTGTAAATATTTTATATGTAACCACTTGTATTTATGTCAAGGTAAACATGAGTTCATACCGATGTCTCCGACTAATCCATCATCTCATGGATTGTTTTAGTCTCTTCCCTTTGCTTATTTGTAACTTCCCATTCCAACAGTGAGAAACCTGGCTCCCACCATCTGCCATCCATTTATTTAATATTCAATTCCCATATACGCATGTAGCCGTTTCAGAATTGTTAACCTATATCCTCATGGGAAAAAACTCTATCAAACTAGAGTATGGTTCCTTTTGCCTTTAGTCTTATACATTCTGCTTATTTCCAAAACTACTAAGGTCAGCACCTTATTCCCTGACCTCTTCAGTGAGCTTGTTTCATATATTTCTAATACATTTAGATTTTTTTTGTCAAATTATACATTCCATCCTGGGCTTCCTCCACCTCCTAAATGATTTAAAAACAATTTTCGTACATTAAGGTTTACTCTTTGTGCTATAAAGTTCTGTGGGTTTTGACAAATGCTTATTCTCTGTCTTATATTCACTGTTACAGTATCATATAGAATAGTTTCATGACCCTAAATAGCTTACAGGTGTGTGGCAGTGTTTTATTGTTGTTTAAATGCACAATTTCCTTACCAAAATTATGTTGAGCATCTTTTCATGTACTTATTTGCTATCTGTATGTTTTCTTTGATGAGGAGTCTGTTTGGATCTTTATCCATTTCTTAATTGGGGCATTTGTTTTCTTATTGTTGAGTTTTAAGAGTTGTTTGAATATTTTGGATACATGTCTTTTTTCAGATGTGTGTATTGCACATCATATTCTCTTTTAATCTGGGCCTTGTCTTTTTATTCTCTTACCAGTGTCTTTCATAGATCTGAAGGTTTTTATTTTAATAAAGTCCACCTTACCAATTTTTTTCTGTCAAAAACCTGTGCTTTTTCAATACCTTAGATAAAGATAAAAGCACAACTGATAAAAATAGATCCACTATGAGGCAAAGCACAGCATCATGACGTTTCAGAACACTGGGGTAAAAAACAAAACCGAACATGTTCATGGATAGGAAGACTCCATAGTAAGATATTGGTTCTTCCTGATTTTATCTACAGATTCAACACAATCTCAGTCAAAATCCCTGTAGATATTGACAAAGTAATTCTAAAGTTTATATTGAAAAGCAAATATCTGGAATAACTGATACAATACTGAAAAAGAACAAAGTTGAAGAATGCATACTACCCAGTTTCCAGGCTAATTTAGGCTATGGTAATCAAGAGGGGGTGGTATTAGCAAAAGAATAGACAAATAGGTCAATAGAACAGAATAGAGAACCCAGAAAGAGGCCACACAAATGTAGTCAACTGATCTTTGACAAAGGAGGAAAGACAACTTAATGGAGAAAAGATAGTCTTATTAATAAATGATACTGTAATGATTGAATGCTATACAGATGCTCCTTAACTTACCATAGGATTATGTCCTAATAAACCCCTCATAAGTTAAAAATATCATAAGTTGAAAATGCATTTTTGAAAAGCTACTGAACATTATAGCTTAGCCTAGCCTACCCTAAACATGCTCAGAACACTTATATTAGCCTCTAGTTTTATTGACTTTTCTCTCCTCTTTTCCATCTCTGTCTTTTGCTTTACTTTCTGGAAGAGTTCCTCAATTTTATATTCCAACTCCCTACTGAGTACTTCATTTATTATATTTTTAATTTACAAGAATTTTTGTTTCTATTCTCTGAATGTTCATTTTATAGCATTCTGTTCTTGTTTTATGATTGCATATTGTCTGTCTGAGGAAATTAATGGTAATTTTTTTTAAGTTTTTTTTCTTCCTGCAGTCTCTGTTCTTTCCAAGTTGTTTGTTTTGGTCTCTGTTGTTTGATTTTGAAGCTTTCTTTAGTCATCCAGTTATTCTTGTTTATCTGCATATATTTAAAAATCTCCGAGTGCAGGTAGGATGTGATGGCAATGGGTTTTATTGGAGAACCATCTGGTTGGGCCTTTTTCTTGTGGAATCTTCAATGTCAGTATTGTAAAGTCTTTCTTCTTAGCTGGGTTGGGGTCTTCAGAGAAGGCTCATCCACCTTCTGCCTGGAGGGTAATGTGCTGAGAGTTGGTGCTCTGAGTGCCTAGTGGATGAAGACTGGAGCCTCAGTAATGGGAATGTAAGTGAATGTTCTTTAATCCCCCTGTTTTCAGTGTGGCAGATCTCTCCTCAGTTCTACTTGGTGTTTCCCAGTCCAGAAAGCCTCTATTTGGTCTTTCCAAAGAATAAAACTCCATCTTCTGCTGGTCTGGGCAAGGGACAGTCACTAATCAGAGAAGAAACTCTAACTTTCCTAAGCAGACTGCTAACCAACCTTCCTTTTTTTTTGAAACGGAGTTTCACTCTTGTTGCCCAGGATGCGATCTCGGCTCACTGCAACCTCCGCCTCCCGGGTTCAAGTGATTCTCTTGCTTCAGCCTCCTGAGTAGCTGGGATTACAAGTGCATGCTGCCACGCCTGGCTAATTTTGTATTTTTAGTAGAGACAGGCTGGTCTTGAACTCCTGACCTCAGGTGATCTGCCCACCTCGGCCTCCCAAAGTTTTGGGATTACAGGCGTGAGCCACCGTGCCTGGCCCGACCTTTCTTATTTTACCTCTCTCCTTTTTACTCTTGCTTTCAAGAAGGATTGGTACCACCAATTTCTGAGCTGTTAAGAGGGTTTTGCAGTTTAAATGGGGGTGGTTCTCAGCTTCTTCCGCTGCTGACTTAGAATTCAGCTTTTTGGGATTTCTGAGCCATTTACCACTTGTCTATCTGATCTCCAGCTTCCAAAAGCGGTTATTACTTTGTTTCTTCTCCAGTTCTTCCCATTCTTGTGTATTTATGCTTAATTTTTAAATACTGTTGTTCTAAAAGGGTTTGGGGAGGAAGTAAAAGTAGTTGCAAATGTTTAGTCATATTTAATCAGCTTCTGTTCTGGTTGGGCCCAGTGTGGGCCTTAGCAGTTGTTGAAGATTTTGAATATTACCTCTGTCCAGACATGTTTTCTCTTATTTGTCCTTTAGGACCAGTTCAAATGTCACCTCCTCAGTAATGCTCTCTTGCTTCTCCCACCCCCTTCCCCAAGCAGAGTTAACTCTCTCCTGAGTTCACATAGACTTTGCATTTATTTCCCTCACTGCATTTTTTATGATAATTCGTACAGCTCTCTCCCTGTGTTAGATCAGGAGATTCTGGGGGCTACCTCTTGTTCATCTTTAGATCTCCAGCACCTGACCCAATACCCAGACTGGAGTAGACTCTTAAGAAATACTTGCAGCATGAACAAACAGAACAAAGTGGTCTGTGGAATGATGCTCTGTTGGGGGGTGGAGTGGGGTTGCCAGAGCATCGCCTCCCCCATCCTCTGGAACCTGCAGGAGGCCTGGTGTGGGGGCCCAGGCTGAGTCCCTGAGGGCTTGATCTCAGCCCTGCTTTCAGCCCCTGGATTCTTTCTGGGAACCCTCTTTCTCAGACCTTCTCCCTGAAGACCTTGTCCACGTACTTGAGTTTTTTGCCATTAGAAATATGGAGACTGTGGTGGGGATGGAGGTGTTACTACCTAACAATGTCTGCCCTCTTTGCGTTTCTGTGCACCAGAGGCAGAAGGCCCTGTTGGGCAGGAGACAGGCGAGAGGCTGAGGAGGAGGGTGTCATTACTCTCTAATTGATGCCTGGGGTAGCTCTCTTCCCTGAAGCAAGGCCCAGAGCATCAGCAGAATGACAACAGCATTTACAGAGTTTGGCCACCTGGCTGGACAGGCCTTACAGCCACAGGAAAGCAGGAAGCAAAGCCGCAAGGGGTTGTACACCCAGACTGCAGAGCCACTGCAGAGTGACAGCCTCCAGGCTGCAGGCCCTGGGGTCTGCCGTCCACCCCAGGCAGGAGGCTGCTCTCCAGAGCCCTGAGAGAGGAGGGGTGGGAGGGGACTGAGAATGTCACCGGCTGAGTGACAGTCCTGCTTCCAGCAATAGGGCCTGGCCATGGGCTGATTTTAGGCAACCGGAGACCTTCCCTTGGCCTCAGACATCGTGCCCCAAAACAGTAATTAACCAACTGCAGCTGAGTCACGTGGGAAGCTGGTTTTTCAAACGATCTGCTTCTTAGAGGGCATCTACACAGCGTGGCTGGAGAGGCCCGGAAAACCCTTCCTTCCGAATCATCTTTTCTGTCGCAGACTCTAGGGCTCTTTTGTACCCAACTTAGAAGTAGATGATTGTGTTAGGTTAAGATATTTAAAATGCGAATGGACATAAGAAGAACATATTAAACAAGTGTCAGTCACAACAACTTAATATGGATTAGTTTAAAATACTTATTTAACCATTAGAACTGGAAACAGTTCTTAGATTCAAAGTGTGGTCCCGGGACTAGCAGCATCCACATCACCTGGGAGCTGGTGAGGAAAGCAAATTCCCCAGTCCCACCCCAGAACTGCAGAAGCAGAAACTTTGGCCATCTGCATTTTACAAGCCTTCCAGGCAATTCTGATGCACACTACCATTTGAGAAACACTGCTCTTAAAGATTAGGAGACAGAAAAACACAGAGGGTAAATGACTTGCCTAAGGTCTCCAAGCTAGTAGTTGATGGCAGAATTGGGACCAGAAGCCAAGTCTTCAAGTTCCTAGTGTGTCATTTTCAAGTGACAACTGGTTGCCAGGATCCGAGAAGGAGTTCACATTTATGGAGAGCCCTCTCCATGCAAATCTCATAGCAGGAGCTTTGTCTCATTTAATCCTCACCACAATTCTGCAAATTATCTCCAGTTTGCAGAGGAGGAAGTTGAGGGTCAGTGTGGTTAAATAACTTGCCCAGACAGGACAGCATTTCAACCCAATCTCGCTTTTTCTCTGCCACTCCTACCTGCAATTGCTGTGTGTGTGTGTATGTGTACACACACAGAACATGAAGAACTACATCCAGAAGCTGCCCAGAAAGGATGCAGGTATGCTAAGTGGTCATGGCAACCTTCCGAAGGCTCTCTTCGCTTGAGGAGGCAGGGAACTGGAAGGTTTTCTTCCACCCACCAGCTTCCCAGTGTTGCTTCCAGTTTAGTCCTGACTTCAGTCTAGAGGGAGAGAGGGAGAGACCCACCCAGCTTTCCTTCCCACTGTGTGTCCAGCTTGGCCTGGGAATTGGGTTTCCTGGTCGATCTCATGCTTCCAGGAGTCCTTACTGCCCAAGGGAGAGCCAGAGCCTTGCCGAATGTGGCCAGCACACCAGGCGGGGAGAGACTGCGGGTGGGTTTCCCCCACATCTGGGTTGGGAAGTAGCTCTGCTTTGCAGTTAGAGCCCAAGGGCACAAAAGACTATAAGTAGGGTGGGTAGGGGGAGTGCACACAAGCAAAACAGAAGAGGAAATTAAAAGAGGCTCGAGTCTCCTTCTAGCTTCCTTCCAGCTTGTGTTGCTGCATTTTTGGCAGGGATTGGCAAAGCTGTCCTGTAACTTTCCAGTCTGCCTGCTCATTGTCTTGCCCAGAAATACCAGATAAAAGAAACCATGGAATGAGGAATGAGGAATGAAGAGCTTGGGTCCCACCCTCAGGATATTCCGCCAGTATGAACTCTCTTCCAGGCCAGCACCCTGCCGGCTGTCTGCCGGGGTCTAGCTGGCCTCACAGCTCTTGTGTCTGCTATGTGATGGGTGGTGGGAGAGGTGGGTACAGGGAAGGCATGTTTCCAAAGAACCATCACCACTGACCAGATGTCTGTCCCACTGCCTGTTTGTTGGCTAAAATCCCCCCATTAGCACCCATCCGTTGGGTCTTAGTGGCACTGTATTAAGGTAAAATACCCAAGGAAGAGTAATACCAGGCTGGTGAACACCTTATCAGATTTTGGTTAAACAGATAAGAGGCTCAGTGGAAATGAGCCAAGAACTCTGAGTGGAGGCTTCTGGGGAAGAGAGGGACCAAAAGAAAAGCAGGGAGAATGGCAGAGGCATCCTTGCCAGTGCTCAAAGCTGCATCACTTGGTGCTGGGAGGGACCCCAGAGATGAGGAAGAATGGACTGCCTCACCCAGGGGCATAGAGCCTACGGCAGACAGCCGGCCAGATCAGAATAGAGCTTTTTCTAGAGCCCAGTGGGATGATGGGTCATTTTGTTCCTCACCTCAAGCCTCTTCCTTTCATGAAGAGTTCCTGCAACTTGATGCCTCTCTCCTTCCAGAAGAGGTGGCCTTCTCCAGAAAGATTTTAAAGTGGGCTCTATTTGTGTGTTCGTAAACATCCTCTGATGGCTTCTAGGAACTGGACACTGAGGTGAGCTGTATGAGGCCATGCTTACATTGCTATAAAGAAATACCTGAGACTGGGTAAGTTATAAGAAAAGAGATTTAATTGGCTCACAGTTCTTCAGGCTGTACAGGAAGCATGGCACCAGCATCTGCTTCTGGGAAGGCCTCAGGAAGCTTTTACTCCTGGTGGAAGGCAAAGTGGTAGCAGGCACTTTTCACATGGTGAGAACAGGAGCAAGAGAGACAGAGTGGGAGGGAGGAGGTGCCACATGCTTTTTTTTTTTTTGAGACAGAGTCTTGCTCTGTTGCCCAGGCTGGAGTGCAGTGGCGCGATCTCAGCTCACTGCAAGCTCCACTTCCTGGGCTCACGCCATTCTCCTTCCTTAGCCCCCCGAGTAGCTGGGACTACAGGCCCCCGCCACCATGCCTGGCTAATTTTTGGTATTTTTAGTAGAGATGGGGTTTCACCGTGTTTACCAGGATGGTCTCGATCTCCTGACCTTGTGATCTGCCCGCCTTGACCTCCCAAAGTTCTGGGATTACAGGCGTGAGCCATAGTGCCCGGCCCACAGACTTTTAAATAACCAGATCTCATGTGAACTCAGAATGAGAGCTCACTTATCACCAAGGGGATGGTCCAAGCCATTTATGAAGAATCCGCCCCCATGATCCAAACAACTTCCACCAGGCTCAACCTCCAGCATGGGGATTACAATTCAACATGAGATTTGGGCAGGACAAATATCCAAACTATATCATTCTGCCCTGGCCTCTCTAAACTCTTGAAATATCTGAGACTGGGTAATTTATAAAGAAAAGAGGTTTAATTGGCTTATGGTTTTTCAGGCTTTACAGGAAGTATGGTGCTGGCATCTGCTCAGCTTCTAGGGAAGCATCAGGAAGTTTGCCATCATGGTGGAAGGTAAAGGAGGAGTAGGCACAAGCAGGAGCAAGAGGGGTCAGGAGGTGCCACACCTTTTAAATGACCAGATCTTGTGAGAACTCACTATCACAAAGACCGTACCAAGCCGTGAGGGATCCGCCCCCAAGATCAAATCCTCCCACCAGGCCCCACCTCCAGCATTGGGGATTACATTTCAACATGAGATTTGGATGGGGACAAATATCCAAACTATATCATGGGATCTGGGGAGATAAAGAGGAGGAAAACACTGTTCTTGCTTGTGCAGAGTTCACAATTTAGTGGGTAACACAGAAAAGTAAAACAAAAAAGCCACAATGCAGTGTGAAGGAATCTCTTGGAGCTCTTAGTGCCTCTGGTCAGGAGGAAAGGCCCCAGCATGTCCAGGGAGGGTTGGACATGGAGACATGTAAGCTGGGTATTGAGGAACGATTGCCAGTTTGCCAGACACATACAGGAGATGGGAGTAGGGAGAGGTAAGGGGATTCTATGTAGACGGGACCTCTCAGGTGGGAGGGGGCATGGTGCCTCCAGGACCTGCATATAGGGTAGAATCATGATTATTGACAGGGTGTGTTTAAGGAAGAGAAAGGGCCAGGAGACAGTCCAGAGAGGGAGGCTGGGCAGACCATTAACGGCCCTGACCATGGCCATGTTGAGGAGTTTGGCACTTGTCATATCCTGAGGGCAGTGGGGTGCCACTCTGAAGTTTTGTTAGTCAATCATTGCTAACTGTCCAGTAAGCAACTCCTAATGTTTTAATAGCTTAACCCACGTCAAGGTTTAATTTTACTTCTGTGAAGTCTGATGATTCCTCTAGAGTCACAATGGCAGGGAGGAGAAAGATGGAGAAGTCACATCAGCTTTTAACTCCCTCAGCGCGGAAGTGACACGGTTCCACTCATAGCCTATTGGCCAGAACTGGTCACATGGCCCTGCCTAACTGCAGAGGAGACTGGGAAATGTCAGGAGGCACATGCACACTTGCTGAGCACTGACTTTAGATTTTAGTCAGAAAAATAAGTAGTCTGATGTGTGATTTGGGATGTTCCTGTGGCAGTGGAGTATAGAATGAATTAGAGGGCTTCAAGCATAGAGGCAGGGAGGCCAGGCAGAGGCTCTTCCTATTGTCCAGTGAGGGCTCTTCCTGCTCCAAAATTCTTTTCAGACTGCAGCCAGGTGAGCACTGGGGCTTTGGAGAAGCCATAGCTGGCCATGGCAGTGAGGGAGGAGAGCAGCCCTGGGGTGAGGGGAGGTCAGTGAAGGGCCTGTTGACGTGTCAGACACAGGGTTATGGTTGCACCTGGGCAGAGCCGCTGGTGGATGTTATTGGCATCTTCAGAGTTCAGGATGGACCATGTCTCCTGGCCTCCAAGCCCCTGGCACTCAGTAGGTCCTCAGTTAACATGTGTGGAGTGAGTGATCAGCTGGCGATTGGAGCCATGGGTGCTGGAGGCAGGATGGAAACCTTTCTGGGAAACAGTGGTGATTAATGGCCTACCTTCCAGGGTAATGAAATCTCTGCAGTGTTCCTAATCTTCGCTACCACCTATTTGTGTCTTTTAGGAATAATGAAACCTGCCACATCAGAAGTACTTCTAGGGAGTTTCAGGGGAAGCTTTTGCTCATTAACGTCTGCATATCTGTGCTGGTTTTAATCTGGTGCCTGGCCATGCTCTCACTGAGCTCTGCCCCTGGCAATCATGTGGCATGGAAGTCCTCCTGCCCAGCTCCCACTCTCTTCCTGGTTATCCTGCCCATTGGCAGGCTCTTATGCCAGGCTAAGGGACAAATGTCCCAAAACCGGCAGCCAGGAGGAGGAGACTTGAGCTCTCGTTTAAATTTTGCTGCTAATTGTCTGAATGATCATGGGAAGTCATCCTGTGTCCCTGGGCCTCAATTTCCCTTTCTGTAAGTTGGGTGGGCATAGGCATTTTAAATGAGATGATCTTTAAGCTCGTTCCCAGCCCTGACATTTCCAGTTCCACAGGATGGAAACAAAATATCATGAGGGTCCAGCAGTCTTCAGAGCAGTATTTTTTCAGCTGGGGACAGAAACACCAGGAGGCTTATGAGGAGTTTCTAGAAGGTGGCCTGCAGCTTGATAGAGCTTGTCAGTTGTTCCTGGGGCTGCAGAAACTGTAGGTTTTGGGTATTGAGTGTAGGCTTCCTCCTCTCGCCTCTTCAGGAAATGAACCCCTTTGAGAGATAAGTGAAAGCTAGGTACTCTCTCTCCAGAAAAACTTGAGACATGCAGAGAATCACGTATCACACACCTACCCTTTTGTACACTTACTTTCAGGGGCTTCGTGTCCTTCCAGTAATGTGTCTTGAATCACCTCCTGCCTCGTGCCTGCTTTTCTCTCCTTTGTGGGTTCTGGATTTCTTTTACAAATTCAGTGATTGTTTCCATGGAAAGAATCACACTGTGGAAGATCCTGAAGAGGCCAAGTGAAAGATCTCAAAGGTGCTTTCTCTGACCTTACAGGAGACTGGATGAGGCCTCTCCAAAGAGAGACAGAAAATCACATCAGACTTAAAAATCAGTGCAAATTTATATGGTGACTGCTGAAGGCCTTCGTAGGCAGTGTGTGTGTGAGTTTGTATGTGCGTGTGTGTTGAGAGTGTTACCTTGATCGACACATCTTCTGGGAGGGATTTTTTTTTCATTAAGATTATTATTTTGCAATAATTGTAGATTTGCATGCAGTTGTACAAAAATAATACAGAGGGATTCTGTGTACTTTTAACCCAGTTTCCCCCAATGGCAATATCTTATGAAACTATAGTACAATATCACACCCAGGATATTGATGTAAATATAGTCAAGATGGAGAACATTTTCATCACTACAAGGATTCTCTCCTGTTGCCATTTTGTAGCTAACTGTTCCCCTCTTGCCCTCATTCCCTGCTTTACCCTGGAAACCTGTTCTTCATTTCTGTAATTTTGTCATCTCAAGAATATTATATAAATGGAATCATATAATACTTATGTAATCCTTTCAGATTGGATTTTTTTTCACTCAGCATAATTCCCTGAAGATTCGTCTGGGTTGATGCATGTATCAATAGTTTGTTCTTTTTTATTGCTAAGTAGTATTCCATGGTATGTAGGTGCCACAGTTTGTTTAACCATTCACTTGTTGAAGGGCATCTGGATTCCTCTTTGGCCCATGGATTGTTCAGAAGTATGTTGCTTTGGTTCTAAGTATTTGGAAGTTTTACTCTTATCTTGCTGTTATTCATTTCCAGTTGATTCATTCCACTGAAGCCTGAGAACACACTGTATAATTTTAATTTTTTTCAATTCGTTGAGGTTTGTTTTATGGCCCAGGATATGATCTGTCTTGGTATACATCCTGGGGCCACCTGAGAATAATGCATATTCTGCTGTTGTTGGGTTGAGTGTTCTGTAAATGTTGATTAGATTCTATTGGTTGATGGTGTTGTTGGGTTATTCTGTATGCTTGCTGATTGTCTAGTTGTTTTATTAATTGTTGTGAGAGTAGTATTGAACTCTGAACGTGTAATTGTGGATTTGTGGATTTCTCTTTTTAGTTCTTTTGGGTTTTGCTTCACATATTTTGCAACTCTATTGTTTGGTACATATACATTTACAATTGCTATATATTCTGGTGGATTGACCATTTTATCATTATACAATATCCCTCTCTGTCTCTGGTAACTTTCTTTGCTCTGAAGTCTATTTTATCTCATATTGATATAACCACTTCTATTTTCTTTTAATGTTTGCATGACATATCTTTTTCTTCATCCTTTTACTTGTAACCTGCCTATATTGTTATTTTTAAAGTGAATTTTTTGTAGACAGAGTCATGTTTTTAAATTGGTATCTTTAGATCATTTACATGTACTATAATTATTGATATGTTAGGGCTTAAGTATGCAATTTAATTTTTTTATCTATTCTCTCTGTCTTTCATTTCTGTTTTCTTTTTCTTGCCTTTTATAGGTTACTTAAACATTTTTTAGAATTCTACTTTGATTTATGTATATATTTTTTAGTTTATTTTTGTATAATTTTTTAGTAGATACTCTACATATTACATTATGTGTACATTATCACAGTCTACTGGTGTCATGATTTTACCAACTTGAGTAAGTGTAGAAACCTTATTGCCTCTTATATTTCTTTACCCTCCCCCACTTACAATGTAATTGTCTTAAATGTTTGTTCTACATACATTTAGAACCACATCAGACAATATTATGATTTTTGCTTCAACTGTCAAATATAATTTAGAAACTCAAGAGGAGAAAGAAAGTCTATTGTGTTTGCCTATGCTCTTGCTTACTGTGTTTCTTCCCTCCTCTTGTCCTAAGGTACCTCTTTTATCTTTCTCTTTGGTTTAAAGACCTTACCTTAGCCGTTTTTCTCCAGGGGATGGGGAGAGAAGTGAGTCTGTTGGTGACAGATTATCTTAGTTTTCCTTTATCTCAGAATAACTTGATTTTCCCTTCATTCCAGAAGGGTCTTTTCACTGGAAATAGGATTTCTTTTCACACTTGAAAAATGTGCTGCTTCCTTTTCATCTCCATGGTTTCTGATGAGAAACCTGCTGTCCTCCTAATTGTTTTTCCCCTAATAGGTAAGATTTTATTTCTCTCTGAACGTTTTCAAGACTTTTTGTTCCTCTTTAATTTTCAGAAGTTTGACTGTGACATGTCTTGGCATGGGATTTCTTTAAGTTTGTTATGTCTGAGATTTTCTCAGCTTCTTGAATCTGTAGGTTTATCTTTTTCCAAATTTGGAGGTTTTCTACTATTGAGCACCTTTTCAGCTCTACCCGTTTTCTCCTTTTCTTCTGAGACTCCAGTGACAGAAATGTTAGAACTTCTGTTATAGTACCACAGGTCCCTGAGGCTTTTATTTCCCCTAGTCTATTTTCATTTTTCAGATTGAGTAACTTTTTTTTTCTATCTATCAGTTACTGATTCTTTCCTCTGTCTCCTCTATTTGGCTATCGAGCTCATCATTGAGTTTTGTGTTTTGGTTATTGCATTGTTTGGTTCTGAAGTTTCCATTTGGTTCTTTATATTTGATTTTTTTTTTTTTTTTGCTAGGCTTTCTTCCTTTTCATTGGTTGCAACAGGTTCAGAGTTGCTGGCTTAAGCATTTTTTTGTGATGCCTACTTTAATATCTTTGTCAGATAATTCTAACATGTCTGTCATCTTGGAGTTGGCATCTATTGGTTGCCTCTGCTCATTCAGTTTGGGATCTCCCTGGTTCTTGGTATGATAAGTAATTTTTGATTGAAACCTGGAGATTTTTGGTATTGTGTTTTGAGGCTGTGTACTGTACTTAAACCTGCTTTAGCTTTTTTTTTTTTTCTCCTCCAGTGGAGGGCTGGGGGCACCATGTTATTACTGCCAGGTGAGGGTTGACGTCCAGGTTTCCCACTCTCCCTCCATGGATACCTTCCTGGAAGGAGTTGGAGTGCCTCATTACAACTCCCCATGTGACCCCCACTGACACCACACGGGGTTGGGGGTTGGGGTAGTCTCCTTACTGCTGAGCGTTAGCAAACATCCTGACTCTATTAGGCCTCCTCTGACACCATCCCAGCAGGGAGTGCTGGGTTGGAGTGGAAGTCTAGGCTCCCCATGTGGCCTTTGCTGACATGGGGAGGGTGGGCCGCAGTGTTTCCTGGGCTGTTTGGCTGAATAGAGCAGTTATTGTCCAACAGATTCATCTTTTTAGGCTGCCTCTTTCCTAGTTATTTGGCTGGAGAGAGCAGGCTTTTGTTAGGCTTTTCTTGTCTGTGCGCATTGATATTTCCAGGTTGCTGGCTTCTTCATCTCCAAGTCTGGGATAAATGAGACCAAAAGAAGACTCAGAAAACTCACCATCCTGCTGTCTCCCAGGTCACATGATCCCTAGCCAATAGTGTTCTTCTTGTTACCTTTTAGAGTCTTCTGTTTGTATTTTATATATATATATATATATATATATGCACACATATATGTATATATATACACACATATATGTATCTATACATATATGTATAGATACATATTTACATATACATATACATATATACTATATATGTGTGTGTGTGTGTATGTATGTGTGTGTGTGTGTGTGTGTGTGTGTGTGTATATATATATATATATATATATATATAAAACTTGGGGAGAAGAACAGGGGAAAGCATGTCTACTTCATCTTCCCAGAAGGGGAAGCCCTCTCTACTTCCTTTTCTTTATTATTTTTTAAAATTGCTGAAGATGTCATAAATACCCTTGGAAAAATTTATATAGTACAAAAGGAATAGAGCAGTGAAAAGTGTCCTTTCCACTCCTGTGTAGGGGCAGTAGTCACATGGTTCCTTTAGCAGAGGCAGTCTCTGTCACCAGTGCGGTGTGTCCTTCTCAAGAGAGTCCATGTGTATATTCACATATGTAAGCATGCACATGTATGTGTATGTGTGCCCTTTCACATATATGGTAGTGGCACTGATTTAAACTTCACCAGCTGTAGATAAGAATTGTTATACACTCGCTGGTTTAGAAAGCACTTAAATTTATTGATATTTGCCAACCTGATATATGAAAACTGGATCTTCTTGTAGTCTTAATTTCTTGCATTGTTTGAGCACGAGCACCATTTCAAATGTTGAAAATGCATTTATGTTTCCTGTTTTGTAGATGGACAATTTCTTCTTTATTTTACATTTCCCTTTTGGGTTGCTGGCCTTTCTTATGGACTTGTACGTGTTTGTAAATGCACAATAATTACGTAGCAAGGAAATTAGTCCACTGCGTGCCATGTATGTTGCAAATATTTTTTCCTATTTTGTCATTTATCTTTTGGCTTTACTTTATTTTCTAGTGTTGTATATTTTAAAATTATTGAACTCAGATGTAGCCCTTTATTAAAAAATGATATCTGGGCTTTGGTCATGTTTTGAAAGTCATTCCTACCTGAATATTACAGCTAGTCTTTCACATTTTTCTTCTAGTTCTTTCTATAGTTTCATTTTTTGTTTAGGTCTTTCATACATGTCATCCAAACTTTTTTCAGATAATTCCTGAGTTGTCTCAACACAATTAGTTGAAAAGTCTATCTTTCCCCCACTGGTTTGAAATGTCACCTTGATTTATTATGGGTCTTCTCTGTGTGGCTGCTAATCTGCCTTGTCAGCAAATTGCAGATGGCAGCTGGTGGCCTGGGTAGGCTGCATTGAGGTAATCTCAGAGCCATCTATAAGGGAAGGTACACTTTTAGAGAGGAATAAGGTGGAAGGATATCAGTTTCTCCACCTCTTAGACTGCTGTGTGATATAATCTCATGAAAATTTATTGAACCTGTTTCAGGGACATTGGCCAACAGTCTTGCCCCCTGATAATAGGAAGCCCCTCTGACTGCCCCTCCATGAACCTGCAGGCCCTGCCCTCTACTAAAATATCTCCTACATCTTCTCCCTTATCCCTGTTACCATTTTCTGCCCCTGTTCACTTCAGGTTTTCACTATTATGGCCTAGTTTTTGAGCACCCTCCTAAATGTTTGTTTTTGTTATCCATGGCTGCCTAACGAATTGCCACAAATGTAGCTGCTTGAACTAATACATTTGTTATCTCAGAGAGTTATTTTTTTTTTCTGTGGGCTAGGAGTCTCTGCATGGCATAGTTGGGTCCCATGCTTTAGGGTTCCTTATAAGACTGCAATCCAGGTGTCAGCCTGGGCTGGGTTCTCATCTGGAGGCCCAAGTGGGGAAGGATCCACTTTTCTATTCTCATGGTTATTGGCGACATTCAGTTCCTATAGCCGTAGGATTCATGGCAGCTTGCTTCTTCAAAGCCAGAAAGGGAGATAGAGAGTCTGTAGTGCCACTCTACTAGCCAGACAGAGTCTTATATAATATGACATAATCACAGAGTGACATCCCATTACCTTTGCTATATTGTATTGGAAGTCATTCACAGGTCTCATTCACACTCAAAGGACAGAATTTATCAAAGGTATGTTCCCCAGGATGCTATCTGGCAGTATCTGTCAAAATTGCCAGTGTATATACCCTTTGACCCAGACTTTATCCCAGATCTGTACTTCCACATGAGTGAAATAATGAAAGCACCAGTGTAATCCCTGCAGAACTGTTTGAAACAGTAAAAGATTGAAAACAACCAAAATGGTGGGGATGGATTAAACACATCACTGTATATGCAAATGATGGACTACTACACAGCCATGAAGATGAATAACTGTAGCTCCTTGTAAATCCATGTAGCATGATCTATATCAGGGTTCTCAAAGTGTGGTTCCTGGACCAGCAGTACCAGCATCACATGGGAACTTGTTGAGAATGCACATTCTCAGGCCCCACTCTAGCCCTGCTGAATCAGAGATTTTGGAGTGGGGCCCAGCAAACTGTGTTTAGTAAGCTGGCCAGGTAATTCTGATACATGCTCCATTTTGAAAACTTTGGGTTTATAATTTATATAATTAAACGGAAAAAGGCAGAACAATGTATTACATATGGTATGCTACCATTTGTGCACAAAAGGTAAAAGGTGTATACATACTTCTGTTTGCATACAATACCTCTGGAAGGATATACAAGAAATGGAAATAGGAAAGCTAGGGGATAGGGATGGCAGGATGACTTTTCACTGTATCCTTTTGTGTCTTCTGAATTTGAACCATTTAATGTATTACTTATTTTAAAAATTAAAATGCAAAAGCCCCATCAATCTGACCTCAGCCTTCCTCATTAGCTTTTTTCCTCACCTCCTATACGGCCTCTTCATGCCAGTCAAACTGGTCTCTTCAGTGTCTCTGGGATTTGGGTCACATTTCTCGACCACAAGCCTTTGCTTAATTCTGTGCTCCCATCTGGAATTTCCTGTACTCTTTGCATAATCAAAGCCCACTCACCCTCAAAGGTCAGGCCCAAATGCTGCCTCCTGTGGGTGGATTTTCCTGATCCTCTCTCTGCATGGGTGAACCAGCCCTTCTTTGCTCCCGCAGCCTGTCCCTCTGCTGTGACCCACCGTTCCTTTGCTCGCTGTGCGTCTGTGTTCTTTATTGGACTGTCAGCTCTCTGAGGGCAGGGACTTAACCTTCCATTCTTTGTGTCTCCAGCACCCCCTGCAACCTGCAATTTGGCACCTTGGAATCTTTTAATAAATAACCAAGGAGACAAGTGAGTATTGGGCACAAAGACAGGGATATGAGGACACAAGGGGGCCTAGACAGGAACCAATGTGAGAGTGGTCATTGCCCCAGAGGAGAATGAATGGTCAGGCAAGGTGGGGAAAGCCTGCAGGAGAAGCTGCTGGCAGCTGGGCTTTCTCCTGGGTGGGTCTGGTTTTGGGCCATCATTGGTGCCCTGAGGGGTGGAGTGGGTATGGGAGGGTACCCTTCATCTGGGAGGCTGTGGGGTTTTGTTTTATTAAGGGGGAGAGAGTTTTTTAAAAAGACAGATGTGCTTTGTGTTGGTGGGGTAAGATTGAGGGGTGGGATGTTTAAAAAGACATCACGTAGGCTGGCAGAAGGGCAGGTTGCCCTACCAGTGAGGTTTTTCTGATTAAAACCAAGTCAGGGGTAAAGCTGTGTTTTAATATTAAAAAGAATACACCCCCAATGGCCACGCTGTCCCTAACCTCCCTCCATCTCGGGAAAGCATCTGACATTTCCTGCACATTTTAACTTTCTAACCAAATAATGAAATAATCATATTGGCTCCTCAGTCACAGGATTCATTTTATCTCTTTCCTGGGCTTCAAAATTCATCTCATATTTTAATCTGTTTTGAGCTCTTTTCAATTGCCTTGGAGATAGAGCCAAAGGTTCCTTGAACTCATGTTGCCGAGAGTTGTTTGGTTTAGGTTCCTGTGGGGTATTTTCTTTAATAACATGGTCTATCCTGCAGCAGCAGCAGGAATTCTAGGTGGGTGGGGGCTGGGGCTGGGCCTTGCACTTCATGGCTCCCTGACAGTAAATTAATGTCCACATTCCAACTCCGGGACTTCTCATTTTCTGGCTTCCTCCTAGATAGTGGCCTCCCTTCTCAATTGTATTCATTCTTAAAAGGCCACCCTCCTATAGAAACACTCTCCAAACTGCTCTAGGCAGGAGGGTCCCTCCCTCCCGAGCAGCAAGAACACAAAAACCTCAACAGCAATAGCACTAGCCTTAGTGAGCCTCAGTATCTTTCAGGTGCGTTCTAAGCACTTTACATGGATTAATTCATTCGATCCCACACTGCCCTCTAAGGTTCTGGCATTCCTGTCCCCATTGTTTTGAAGAGGATGTTGAGGTAAAGAGAGACTAAATAACTTCCCCAAGAGCTGGAATGCATCTAAGATTAGCTTCGTCCAGTTTACCTGTTTGCTGTGTGCGTGTCATGTTTCCCAGCTGGACAGTGGGCCCTCAGGTGCAGCGGCCACACCTTCTTGGCACAGCTTAGGTTCTCAGTTGTGTCCTGGTAAATATTTGTGGGTCGTTGAAGCCCCTTGTCTCACAACAGACCATAGAAGGTGCTAGTTTAGAGTAGGAGGTAAGGAACTCCTGTACCTTCTTCGAGCCAAAAGGCTGGTTTTGGGGGTGTGTGGAGTTACCTTAGAACTAACCCATGCGTCTTGTTTTAGAAAACGAAAAAGGGCCACAGCAATGCAGGTGACAAGGACTCCCCCAGGGAGGCTTTGTCTTTGCCAGTTTAGGCTGCTATAATAAAATGCCATAAACTAGGGAGCTTATAAACAGCAGAAACTGATTGTTCATGGCTCTGCAGGCTGGGAAGTCCAATACCAAGGCAGATTGGGTGTCTGGTGAGGGCCTGCTTTTTGGTTCAGAGAATGGCACCTTCTAGCTGTGCCCTTACACATGGAAAGGGATAACTCTGGTCTCTTCAGCCCATTATAAGGGCACTAGTCCCATTCATGAAAGCTCCACCTTCGTGACCTAATCACCTCCCAAAGGCCCCACCTCCTCACACCATCACATTGGAAATTAGGTTTCAACATAGGAATTCTGGGGAGACAGACACAAACGTTCAGACCATGGGAAGCATGAAACCATGTTTGCTTTGAGTTTGTTGGGGAGAAAAGGGACTGTCAGCTCACTGACAGATGCCCAGCTGCAGGAAGGCCTTGGCAACTGAAAGGGACCTGAGATAGCTCTGTCCCAGGGGCTCTGCTCTGTCAGTGAGGTCTTGTCCTCCAGTTGACTGCCTATAAAGATGGCCACACTTGGGGCTGGAGTTCCATGTCTTCGAGCCTCAGTCACTTCATCTGCTAGGAGACATGCCCAAGCCTGCCTTCCCTGTGATGGAGCTGTTGGGAAGGTGGAATGGGAGCTCACCTGAGAGAGGCACATGCTCCCTGGCAGGTAACGCTGGAGTTACACGAGGGGAGGCAGTTCCCCTCATTGTCTCCTCCTGCCGTGCTGGCTGGAGGGCTGTGTGTCTGACCACACTTGCTGAATCTGCACAGCTTCTGTTCCTTCCTCTCCCTGGCTTATCCCATGAACCTTCAGGGATTGTCTTTTCCTCCACCTCGGGCTTCTGAGTCCTCTCTGAGCAGCCGAATGCCCTGGATGCCTCTGATGTTTAGGCCCTAGCCCCAGAGATTCTGATCCCATGGGCTGGTGTGCAGCCTGGGCTTGATATTTCTTTAAAGGTTTCCCAAGGGATTCCAGTGTGCCCTGGGGTTGAGACCCACTGCCCTCTCAACAGGGCATCAGGGGAGAGAGGAGAGAAGACCCATCAGAATTTCCAGAGCAGCATATGTACCTAGGAGGACATTTAGGAAGCATGTTTATTAGATGCCATGATATGTTTTAGGCCTGATCCTGGGTATATTTGGCAATGTCAAATAAAAGAGTGCATTAGATTTCTATGTTTAGCAAAAGACTATACGGAAGAATCAACACGAGCCTCCTCTGGGCTCTGAGACTCTGTGATGGGGCTGTGTAACTCTGGGGCTGCTACCTACCCTCTCTGAACTCAGCTTCCTCGTCTGTCAAACTGGAATATTAGTGCCTGTCTTATAGGATCATTGTGAGGAAGAAGTGAAATCATGAATAAAAACATTTTGAGAAGCCAAGATTTCCACACAAATGAAAATATTGCATAAAGCGGTTGTGTTCTGTATTCTGTCACCTGTGACTCTCTGGACACCAAGCCTTGTGAATTTGGCCTGACGCAGGGAGATGAGATGTTCGTAGTCCTGGGTCTCCTGCCCAGGCTACCCCACCATGCTCATTGCAGACCTTGGCCATCCTGGTACCACTAACCAGCCTTCCTCCCTCCCTAGCCTCTATCTTCAAATTCCATCTCCCTCCACTGGCATCTTCCCCTCAGAACAGAAACACACTCATCATACCCCCAGGAAAAACAAAACACACCTGTGACCCTTGGATGCCCTAGCTTTCATCTTTCTGCCTTTGCCTAACAACCAGCTTTCAGGGACACATAACCCACAAGGAGACCTCCCTTTCCTCACCCTTCCGCCAGCGACCCACCACCACCAGCTGCTGCATCTTATCTACCTGGGGTCTCTGCCACATGCCTCCTTCATGACACTCTCCTTCCTCGGGCTCCTCCACACTCTTCCTTCCCCTCACACTCACCCCTGCCTTTGGCTGGTCACTTGGTCTAGGGATTCCACTAGACCACTCAAACCTGCAGGCTCCCCTCAGTGCCCGTCACTATTTTGGTTCAGTCCCTCGTCTCTCACCTGGGCTACTCATCAGCCCCTTACCGTGTTCTCTCCCTCCCCTGGCTCCTTCTGTCCTCCTGGGTCAAGTCCAATTCAAAGCCCCTAGTACTCTGGCCCTGGCCCGCCTGCCTAGGGGCATCTCTTCCCACGCTCCTCTCATACTTGCATTCATTCCTCAAATCTGTCGTGGCATGTCATGGCTCTGTGATTTTTCACATGCCATAAGTTTCCCCTAAAATCCCCCATGCCTACCACCATCCCAACCTCATATTTGAGAAATATTCATTGTCTAAATCCCAGCTCAACTGTTGACTCTGCAGGAGTCTCCTCTAACTCCTCTGCTCTGTCCGCAGTTCGGTTACGCATTTTCTCTTCCATGCTATTGCTCTCAAGTCTGAAGTGCAAGGAGGTGCAAATGTTTATAGAATTGAATTGAATTGGTCCATTTAGTGTCATATTGTTGTAGTATTCCAGTGCTTGCAAATGCAAAGTAGTTATTCTCGCAGGGGATCTACTGCTAATTCACAGATAGTGAGAGTCAACATTTCCAGACTGGCCACGTTCTGACCTCAGCAGACAGCAGGGAGCTTCCTCCCTGAAGGGTCTATTCATGAACAATTCTAGATTCAAACACATCCAAGAATGCTTTGGCTGGGCCTATGGAAGCAACCAGAACAACTGCAGCTCTGAGACACAGGGAAACCCCAATGTGCTGTATGCTTTTCTGGAGACTTTTCCCGAGTCAAAAATCTCCCAAGTCCCCACAGATGTTAAGCACCCCTAGAAGGGCAGGGGTCTCTAGCCTCTCGCTTCCCCTCCTCCCTTCTGCACTGCCCTCCCAGAGCCCTGGCCTCAGCACAAATGACATCTTGTTCCTCTTTTGCACCATCCATGGCTTCCTTTCCAAGTTCTCTCTCACTCTTCTCTCTTTGGGCAAAAGGAAAAGGACAGCCTGTTACAGTCACAAAGTGACATCGCAGAACTAACACCACCAGCTTTTGATGGGCTTTCAAGGGGCCATTCTTGCAGGGCAGGCCTTCTCTGGCCTCCTTTCGTATGCTTGATCTGTTGGAAGGTCCAGCAGCTGTCAAACTCATTCTTGAAATTTTCCTTCGTACATCTGGCCTGTCTGTCTCACTGTCATGGTGGCATTGTACCTGTCATGTTGCCATTACTATAAAAACTTTGTTATATTTTATATTAGAGTGTTGTTATGTATTATAAGATTGCTGTGTTACATATTATAATAGTGTTCCCTGTCATTTTCTTTGAAAGTCATGTTTTGATCATCTTCATAGTTTCCTCTTTCTAGACCTGCTCTGAAAGCTTTCCTTCACCCTAGGGTGAAAAATGACACAGAGAAAAAATTTCTCCTTCTCATGGGGGATGGAGGAAGGCCAGGCCCCAGTTCTGGGTGGCTGTGCGTGTGAGTTCATGGGGGTGATGGCCACCAGCTAGTTCTCTTGTCATCTGGCCCTTGGCAGGATTATCCTTCCTGTGCCCTTTGTTGGGGGCTGGGGTCACAGGATGTACTCCGGGCAGTAAGTTGTGAGTGAAGTATGGGTTTCACTTCCAGGTCAGAGCATCTTGTTGCCAGTACAAGGCCCTCCAGAGCTCACAGGACAGCAGGAAGCATTGGAGACAGGGGCTACTGCATCAGCCTAAACCTTGAGTGATTCCAACAGGAAGGCCCCTGTGGACCTGTGATCAACACCAGCCAGGCATAAGGGAGGAGGAAACCGGGACTAGTTTTTAATAGCTTTATTGAGATAAAATTCATGCCTCTCATTTATTGAGATAAAGTTCATCCCTCTAAGTGTACAGTGCAATGTTTTTTAGTATATTCACAGGCTTGTCACCACTCTCTAATTTTAAAACATTTGCATCACTCCAGAAAGAAGCCCTATATTTATTAGCATAAACCCTCAGTGTTCTCAGCTACTGCAATTTGGGAGTTGTTTGTTGTTACTGCAGCATGGCCCAGCCTATCCTGACTGGCACAGAAATCAATTCCATGCCTGCAAGAGTTGTGCTGCTGTGTTAGGCCGTTTTTGCGTTGCTATAAAGAAATACCTGAGGCTGGGTAATTAATAAAGAAAAGAGGGTTTGATTGACTCACAGTTCTGCCAACTGTACAAGCCTGGCTCCAGCATCTGCTTCTGGTGAGGCCTCAGGAAGCTTCCAATCATGGTGGAAAGCAAAGGGAGAGCAGGCAGTGTCACAGGGTGAGAGTGGGAGCAAGAGAGACAGGGCAGAGGTGTCACATACTTTTTCTTTATTTTTTTGAAGTGGAGTCTCGTTCAGTCACCCAGGCTGGAGTGCAGTGGCATGATCTCAGCCCATTGCAACCTCCACCTCCCAGGTTCAAGCAATTCTCCTGCCTCAGCCACCCAAGTAGCTGGGATTACAGGTGCCCGCCACCATGTCTGGCTAATTTTTGTATTTTTAGTGGAGACGGGGTTTCACCATTGTTGGCCAGGCTGTTCTCGAACTCCTGACCTCAACTGATCCACCCGCCTCGGCCTCCCAAAATGTTGGGATTACAGGTTTGAGCTACTGCATCCGGTCCCTACCACACACTTTTAAACAACCAGATCTCACATGAACTCAGAGCAATAACTCACTTATCACCAAGGGGATGGCACTAAGCCATTCATGCGGGATCTGCCCTTGTGATCCAAGCACTCTCACCAGCCCTCACCTCCAACGCTGGGGATTACATGTCAACATGAGATTTGGAGGGGACAAGCATCCAAACTTTATCCGCTGTGTAACAAAAACTTCTACTCTGTGCCGTTAGTTTAGGCTAAATTTGGAGATGAAAAAGCTGGATTGAGGAGAAGAATTAGTGGACATGTCCTATGAGCATGAAATCCACTTTTGTTGTCTCAGGCCACTGAAATTTTGGGGTGTTTGTTATTACCAGTCTACATGACTGGCTGGAGGAGGTGGGAGGCCCTGGTCAGGGTTGGGTGGGGCAAAGTTCAAATACTAGTGAGACCTTCCAGGAGTTCCCCAAAGCTCCTCACCTTGGCAGTCACCGACTGTGCTGCTGGGGAAAGGCAAATTGAGGAGTCCTACACTGCCCGGGGCACCTGGGGAGAATTCCTGGGCCCTCCAGCACCTAAACGACGCTGAGCGCTGAGCAGGCTTGTTTACTCCTCGGAGCTCTTCTTTGTCTCTGTTTCATTGTCACCTTTCCTATGTGTCAGGGAAGGGCTCCTGGGAGGGAGAGGTGAGGAAGTGTGAGCTCTGCGTCCCAGTTCCCAGCTGTGTTTCTCCCGGGCCTGGCTGAGCAAAATCAACAAGAAGGTGCAGTTTGTCTTTGTGGCATTCCTCCCTCCCCCTTCCCAGCCTCCAACAGGAGCACTGGCTTCTTGCTCTAACTTCCTCCTCCTGGCCACCCCCGACCTATTCTGCAGGTGGCCGTCTGCCTCCCATCAGAATCTATATGTTCTCTCACCCCTCTGGGACAGACCTTCCGGTGTGTTTCAAGGTGACAATCTGGTGATCTCATAGATTAATCTTAGCACATATGCTCATGGAGAATGCAGGCTGCCTCAGGGGATGGTTCATTCCTTCCCTGTGCCCTGAACTGAGCACAGTACTGTGGGAGGAGTCCTGTCTCAGGCCTGGTCCTGTCTCTAGTCCCTTCCAGTTCAGTGGGGGAGAAAGCAGGGCCACATAGGGCAGTGTTTAGAAGTTTAGTGTAGGATTATGTGTGTTAGGAACTGTGAGGGGGACCCAGGTGGTGGGTGCTGTGGGGGCTGAGAGGGTGGAGAGAATGCTCTGTGGCCTGGGATGGTCAGGGAATGCCAGTCACTCACTGCTTTGGGCCTCAGTTCCCTCATCTGTTAGATAATGCACGTCGGCCCATTGATCATTTCTTGAATTGTCCGATAAGAATGGCAGGGAGACTTGATCAACATCTGGATCCCCAGGTACTCCTAGCAATTCTGATTCTGTAAGTCCAGAGTGGCGCTGGGATCTGGCTCTTTATATCTGGTCTGACCTCCCTTCCTTACTCACTTCTGCCCTAGGAGATGGGATGCCAGGGGCTTTAGCCTGGGCAGACTGTGAAAAGGTGTGGGGACCTGGAGGAGGGCCTTCCTGTTGCCAAGTTCCTGAACACTGCCCTGCTTTGTGTTGGAAAAGCCCGTAGCACAGTTGGGGTGAATTGCTTGGTTGGGAGACAGGGACACTGTTAAACTCTACTTGGTTGCTGAATAATGTAACCACCCAGCTAGCAGGGCCCAGGGAAGGCTTGTTGAACAGGAGAGCCCTTTGGAGGAGCGCTGAAGCATCCTGGCTGCTCTGCGCTGTTGGCTGGCAACCTTGGCATGATAGCACTTCAGGCTGCATGGAGGCTTTCTGAGCGAGTTCACTTGGAGATGCCTGAGAAATACCTGGGGATGGGGTCTCTGTAACAGTCCGACAAGATGATGCCTGCCCCTTCCCTAGCTGGAAAACCCTGTTGAATAAACCCAGAAAGGATGTTGAGGATCCTATAACTCAGTGGGTCTCAAGCCTCATGCGCATCGGAGTTGCCTGGTGGGCTTGCCAAAACAGGTGCTGGGCCCCACCACCAGAGCATCTGATTCAAGACTTCTGGGGTGGGGCCCCAGAATGTGCATTTCTAGCAAGTTGCCTGTTGCTGCTGTGGATGCTGGCCCAGGAAAAGTTCACAGTAGAAAGCCAACGTGAACTTCTCAGCCCGCTCACCTGGGGTGTGAGGTCTTAGGACTCAGTCACTGCCCTCAGGGCATTTGTGCTCTGATTGGGGACCTACCCCCACCCACTCAGATCAAGAGAATGTGAAGCAGGGAGTGTCCAGTGCCTGAAGTGAGCTGCAGGTTCTAGGCAACAAAGAAATTGAGAAGAGGAAGGTTGCAGGGGTGCACGGGAGACTTCCTGAAGTGGAGGCTATGGATGAGGCAGCACATGGATTGCCATGCTGTGCACTGCACACACACAGCCTGGCATGAGCACGGCACCCACTGGAGTTGTGCAGTGCAGTGGTGCTGGTAAAGGAGCATGCTCAGGCCTGGGCTAGTGTGCAGGCTGGGAAGCCCCGAGCAGGTCTGCAGGATAGTGCGGAAGCGAATGGCTAAGTGGGGTTCCTAGGAGGGGCAGGAAGGAGAGCAGGCTTTATGGGAGCCAGAACGTGGAAGGTCTGGAGTGCTCGGGTGAGGAGTTCAGACTTTATTCCGTGGCGAACTGGGAACAAATCAACAGCAGTTTGGCTCCGCTAAGCAGACATCTGGAAATTGACTCTTTTAAATTTTGAAAAACAGATTTCCAGTAGTAGCTCATGGCTGGTCCGTGTGACATTGTTGTATCTCAGAGATCTCTCTGTTCCCCCATTACTGCCCTCCAGCCTCACTGGATTTCTTCCCCCACAGTCCTTGAAATTTCACAATGAAAGATTATTTCCTTTTGTTCAAAATACCGCCCTCTCCAAGAGGCTCATGTTATAAACCAGAGATGCCCAAGAAGGAAAGTAACTAACCTGAATGCACTGTGCTAGCTCACTGCAGGGGGGATTGGCATGGCTCTCTTCTCCAGGGCCCAGTAGGCTTTGATGAAGCTGCAGGCAGAGCAGGGAAGGGATGTCTGGCAGAGGTGGAGTACCACCATGTAGGGTCAGAGAGGAAGCAGGAAGTCAGAGTTGGTTCAGGGAAAGCCCTCCTCTGAGGTTTGGGCAACAAGAATGTTCTAGGGTGGTGTGAGGCCAGGAGGCCTGGAGCTGAGGGGCGTAGGAGGGCATTGGCGTGCTTGGTGGACTCCCAATGGCACAGCTCCGTTTATTCAGTCCCCTCTGTCTCCCTTCCTCTGCTGCAGATGTTGACTCAAGTATACCAGTGTGCTTGGACCAGCCCTGACACACCAGCCCTTTCCTCCCTGCCTAACTGGCTGCAGGGACTGGAATTGCTGTTGGATTTGCTGCCAGGAAGCAAGAAATATCCATGTCTCTCAAGTCAAGTTCCTGAGTCTAGTAGATGGATATGTTCTGAAAACCACATGAATAGAGAAGCTCTATTCATGTGGTATAAAGCTGGGATGTTACCTTGATGCCCCTTAAGGCATATTTGGGGATGGTGATGTGAAAAGTACATCTGGGGTGTGTCCTTTTACCAGGTGATTAATTACCTCCCTATTTTCCTGTTTCCAAGTCAAGTTTGTCCATATTGGATGGTCTGTGAGAACGATGTTCGTGCACGTAAAGACTCCAACAGGAGACTATTGTGAGCAAATTCCTTAATTGTGTTGATGTTGAGATTGATAAGGTCAGCCTAAGAAACCTATTTGTAAAGCTGGACACAGTGGTGTGCACCTGTCATCCCAGCTACTCTGGAGGCTGAGGCAGTAGGGTCCCTTGAGCCCAGGAGTTTGAGGCCAGCCTGGGCAACATAGTGAGACCCCATCTCTTAAACAAACAAACAAACAAAAACCACAAAACGACAAAAACCTGTTTGTTCAGGCCTCAAAGAAAGATGGAGTTTTGTGTGCAGATGTGAATTACAGGTGTATTCCCAAGCAGTGGCACCTGCAAAGGATGCTTTCGTTGAATGAGGATCTGAGAAACTGGAGGCCGATTTCTGCTACCAATTGAGTGTATTTTGTTCCACATAATTCATTGAAGTAAGGAAAATATGGCAACCTAAGGAGGTGATTTAGAGTAGAGGTAAAGTCTCTATCTCCCTCTCCTTCCCACCCTGCTGCAATGGAAAATGCAGGATGGCCCTTTGGACCCCCCTCCTGGGCCTCAGTCTTGGTGCTACCACTTCCACGCTGTGTGAGGATGGTGGGCAGCTCCTGCAGCCTTTCAGCTCCTCATCTGTGTGAGTATCAACCACGAGGTTATCATGAGAAACGTGTGGAGTGCCTGGAACCTAGCGTGTGCCATTGCAACCAGGCCAGCCCCATCCGGCTTTTCATGCTGTCACAAAGGATTGCCCCCGCCACCCCCAGAAAGGCCCTGAGAACCTTTTTCTGGAAATGCTTAGATCAGGGTCATTAAGAGGTTTTAACATCAGATGGGATTGGAGAATACTGGGGGACAGGGACTCTTCCTTAGCCCCACAATGGATAAGAGGCTGAGCCCAGGCTGCAGCCTGGTTTCTTGTCCTCAGATAAAAACTCTGACCACAAACTCCCCCAAACAGTGCCATGACAAGGAGACCAGGGAAGCTCATTTGTCAATCAGCAAATCCACGGATGGATTGAAGAAGGAGGAGGAATCAACAAATCCATAGAAAGACTGAAGAATAAGGAGGGTTTTCTGTACAGCCAGAGCTTGTGATTTTAGACAATGGAGGGTACATCTTGGTGTGGTAAATAGAATACTCTATTTGCAGCAGAAGACCTGGACATAGCTGTCACCTCAGCCCCTTGTTATTGGTGTGATTCTGGGCTGGAACTATCTGTTCCTCAGTTTTCACATCTGTAAATTGAGTATACATATCCATACCTATCTCCCAGAGTTGTTTTGAGGGTTAGGAGGTTACTGGATAGGAAAGCCCTATACAGGCTGCAAGACACTCTGAAAAAGCAAATGATGATTGTTACAACAGTTTCTATTTCTATATTGCTTTTAGGCTTCTAGAGAATTTTCTCATCTCCTTTCTGATTTAATGTAGAGCAGTAGTTGTGCAAGGCAGGCAGGGCAGATGATGATTCTCATATTCAGATATCTAAGGTTGATGGCCTGCCCAGGGCTACCACTGGTGCAGAAGTGGGGGACTAGGGGTGGAGTAACTTGGGTCCCAGCCCTCCCAACACAGTGAACACTGTGCTTTCCACAGAGCTACCCCCTGCGCCTTTCAGCTCACCTCCAACCTTGACATCATTTGCTCACCTGCTTGCACATCTCTTCTGTCCTGAACTTAGCCCAGTTCTGCTCTTCTGAGGGTTTTGTTCATGTGTAAAGTTGGGATCTTACCTTGATGCCCTTGAGGCATACTTTCATCTTCTGGACCCAGTGCCCCCAGGCTGCCCATGGACTGCCCACCCCAGTGCCTCCTCCAGCCTGCTCACCCTGGTCAGCATCCTGGGCCCTAGATTAATCCTTCCCCTGAGCCCCATCCCTGGCTGGCCAAGCAGATGAAGAGGACCACAGGGTGAGACTGTGCCTCCTCTTGGGGATGGGAACTTTCTGGAGGTGATGCTTTGCTAAAAGAGTGGATTCTAACAGTGGGCCTTTGGGGCCTGGGTGGCATTTTAGGACAAGAAGCCCTGTTGGAATACTGCGGATGCCCCCAGGGCCTGGCCCAGTGGTTAGCAGCCAGCAGGGCTGTGAGCACTTGGATAAGCTGGCAGGTGACACTGGCAAGGCAGGTAGTCACTCTGTTCCCTGAGCTCAGGTTCCTCTGCCTTCCAAACACGTGCCAAGAGCTTAGTGGGCATCCAGCATGGTACCATGTGCTGCCCCCAGAGTGCTCACAGTCAAGTGGCTGCCATGCCAGGTGACAGGCAAGTCTTCAGAGTCAAAGGTGCGAGGATGGGGTAAAGTACAAGTGCTCTAGGAACATGTTGTGTAAAGGCACCTGCGAGTCCTGGCCTGTAGGGTCAGGGAAGGCTTCCTGGAAGAGGGGACCCTTGAGCTGACCATGGGAGACCAGGCCAAGGCTAAATGGAGGTGAGGAAGGGGGCTGGGCAGAGGGTGGGGTATCTCTAGTTCCTGTCATCAGGGCTCTCAGGTTCACCTGCTGGGACTTAGCACTCCCCTCTGTCTGCTCCAGCCCCCTCCATGCTCTGTCAGAGGGAAATCTCCCCGAGGGTAGGATTCTGAGCTTGGCTTGCTGCCAAGGAGGGGCCAACAGTGCTGGTTGGTGAGGGAACGAGCACTCTTTGGGTTCCGTAGGCCTGGCTCTGGCTGCTGTGAAATCTTAATCAGTCACTGCTGTCAAAGGCTTCCTGTCTTCCTGAATAAGTGATTTAACTTATCTTTTAGATTGCAGTTGACTTCAGCACATAAAAGGCTCCTTCAAGTTGAAGCAACATCTCCACCAGGAATGGATTAAGAGCAGGAAAACGGCGTTTTTCTTAACACGGTGCAGCTGGGCCATTGGAAACCCAAATGCATTTGTTATCTCCTCTTGTAGCACATCCATGGCGAGAGGCCCTCCTTTTAGACAGTGGTGGTATACTTTCCCCACTGGGGAAACCAGTTGGCTTGCAAGCCTGTAGAAAGTCCGTGAGGGAGGAGAAGTTTGCTGGTTGAGACACCCAAAGCCACGGGTCTTTTAACACCTTTGAACTTGGGCCCTCCTTTGCTGGCTGCCGGCTTTGTCCTCCTCTCCACTCCTGCCCCGTCACCAACAAGAGTCCAGGGGATTTTGAGTGGCAGCAATCCTCAAGGGCTTCCTGGGTTCATCCCTGGAATAAACACGGGGGCAGCAGGGAGGGGTAAAGAAGAGGTGTGAGCCGTGGCTTCTCTGTCAAAAAGGGCTTCCATCTCGCACTCACACATGGCTTGGGGTGGGGAGTGTGTGTGTACATTAGTTCAGCTCTGTGAAGGGCCATTCAGCAGTAGCTGGGGAATTTTAATGCAGATGTCCTTTGGCCCATGAGTTCCACTTATATGAATTTATTCTACAGACATCCAGGCACATACAGGAAATGGTATACATACGAGATTGTTCACTGCAGTGTTGTATGTAAGACCAAAAGATTATAAACAACTTAAGAGTCCATCAGCAGGAGACTAGATTAATCAACTATAGTGCATCCACAGACTGGAAGGGTATGCAGCCATTAAAGAGAACAAGGATGCTTTTATATACGGATCCAGGACAATCTCAAGGGTGTTATGATAAAAACAAGTTGCAGAACAGTATTATGGTACTGTACCATGGGTGTAAAAATTATACATACTGCTATTGCTTTAGGCATAAAACCTCTTGGGATAGAAACACAAGGAAATGTTAACAGGGAGGGGAACTGGGTGGTGGGCGACAGGGGTGGAAGGGCACCTTTTCAATCTATAGCCTTTTATGCCATTTGGGTTTTGAACAATGTGAATGTATTTGTTATTTGTGGTTGGCAGGAAATGGCCTCTCCAAAATGTCCACACTCAAATCCCCAGAACCTGTGAGTATGTTGCCTTATGTGACACAGGGGCTTTGCAGATGGGATTAAGGTTATAGATACTGAGATGGGGAAATTATCCTGGTTTATCCAGATGTGCTCAATCTAGTCGCATAAGCCCTTAAAAGCAGGAACCTTGCCTGGCCGTGGTCAGAGAGGGAGACGTAACTACGGAAGAACCTTCAGAGAGATGCTATGCTTCTAGCTTTGACGATGGAGGAAGGTGCACCAGCCAAGGAATGCAGGCAGCCCCTGGAGGCTTGAAAAGGCAAGGAGATGTTCCTCCCTAGAGCCTCCAGGAAGGAATACAGCTAAGCTGACACCTTGATTTTAGCCCAGTGAGACCCTTGTCAGACTTCAACCTCCAGAACTGTAAGATAATGAATTCATGTTGTGTAAACCACTAAGGGTGTGGCCATTTGTTACAGCAGTAATAGAAAGCTAATATTCCACTCAAAACAATAAACAAAGAAAACAGTTTTTAAGAGTCCCAGTCTAGTTAGAGTGGGACTCAGCACATGCACTGAGGAAACGCACTCATTTCAGTGTAGTGCCGTGCAGTGCAGCAGACTGTCAATGCTGTGGGACATAGCCCTGTTTATGAAGGGCAGGTGGCATTCCCATTACAGGCCAGGCACTGTGCTAGGTGCAGGGGCCACAAAATGAAGAAAATGTAGTCCCCATCCTGGGCTGAGTTTTGCAGTCTCTCTCCCCCTCCCTTTAAAACTGCCCTCCAGGATGCCAGTACTGTGTACCCCCACTGCATGGCCTCTGTTAAATGTGGAATTTCTAGGCCCTTTGCCATCTTGGGCCCTAATGGACCAGACTTTAGCTCATTCCCCTGCGTGTGGCTGGCCAACTAGTCTGAGTGGTGGTAGGGCTGGAGGATCTACCACCTCTGGAAAAGCTTGATTCTACTTTAAACTTTCCTCCTCCAGCGTTTAGCATGGACATCATTCATTTCAGCATCACTCCAAGATTGGGTGACTCAGGGTCTCTGCCTTTGGAGCTGTGTGCCCAGCCTCCTCTCACAAGACCACACGCCCCCTTATGTAGGGATCTGCTTTATTCATTTGTCAATGTGTCATCTCAACAGGACAGAACATATTATAGGGACTCCCTAAAACACATATGCAGCCTCTATAGTTTGCATCTGGTGGTGCTAGGTGGGCATTAGGCAATATGCAAGAAACTAATCAAAAAAAGATGCAGACTTGAACTTGGTCTTCTTGATGTAAAGAGAAAATTTATCATTGCTCTTCTCTGACATTTCTTTCATCCATGCCCATTTCATATTGGAAAATATACTGAGGGGAAAAATGTTTTCCTCCTTTAGTCCTCCCTCCCCTGATGGGTATGGCCAGGATGCTGTGACCTTTCAATTTGAAGGAGCCACTGAGCAAGCTGCTAATAGGTCCTGCCAGCCACCAGCCAGCCAGCACCATGCCTAGGGCTGCATTAAAGCCCCCTTGACCCTGTGGCCCCTACTGTGCTCTTCTGCCACCTCCTTGCCCCTCCCCCAGCTTCCATGCCTCCCATCTGTCCCTCAGGGCTTTTTCCCTTGGCCAGATGCATGTGTGTGTGTGAGAGCAGAGGGGCAGCAGGCACAGCCAGGTGATGCATGTCCACTCAGGAACTCTTGGAAACCGGCCCTCCCCAGGGGAATGACCTCACTGGCACTCTTAGCCTCTATGGCAGATCAGGAGCTGTGTTTTTTGTTTGTTTGTTTTTGATACAAAGTCTAGCCTTGTCACCCAGGCTGGAGTGCAGTGGCACGATCTCAGCTCACTGCAACCTCTGCCTCCCAGGTTGAAGCTATTCTCCTGCCTCAGCCTCCCGAGTAGCGGGGATTATAGGCATGTGCCACCACGCCTAGCTAATTTTTGTATTTTTAGTAGAGACAAGGTTTCACCATGTTGGTCAGGCTGGTCTCGAAGTCCTGACCTCAAGTGACCCTCCCACCTTGGCCTCCCAAAGTGCTGGGATTACAGGCATGAGCCACCACTCCTGGCCTGGAGCAACATTTTTATTTGTGAGATAGCAGGATCCTCTGGAACAAAACAGTCAGGCAGTCATGGTCCTTGCCCTAGTGGGGAACTGTGGACTGCAGGGAAGTGTGGCAGTGAAGAGGGTTCACTTTGGAATGAGGTAGGTGAGGATTTGTATCCAGGCTCTGCCTTTATAAACTGTGTGACCTTGGCTGCTTACCCATTGTAAGCCTCAGTTTACTCATCTGTAAAATTGGGAGCTAGACTCGGACCTAGGATGACATCAGGGATGTATAAAGCTGGGGTTGAATTCTAAATCTGAACTTGCCTTCTGCTCTGGCTCCTATGACGGCATCAACTCCTAACAGTGTGTAACATCCCCACCCCTCCACCCTGCAGGTGGCAAAGTGGAAGTAGGTGCCAACTCAAGGGCAGGGTTGTTGTGATGACTGCAGTGAGTTAGCCTTGGAAAATGCCTGGCTCTTGGTAGTTATTATTTTGCAAGGCTCATGCTATTTTACAGTCTTGGCTCATGTCATTGCTACCATGCTGCTCCCTGGGGCAGGCCAACAGGGCTGTGGGCTCACAGAAACCTCTGTACCTGCCTTCCAGGCCTCCTCAGCCCTGATTCCTGCCTTTTTGCATGTTGACCTCAGTGTCTTGCAAACCATTTCCCACCCTGGTCTCAAGGTGACTTCGGTGTTTCATCCCCAGAACCTCCCTTCCATGTGGCTGGAGCCTGGCCTTTTCATAGGTATTAACATCTCTCAGAATGGCCTACCTCCCTGCTGGAAAACTCCAATTCTCTTTTGTGACCACAACCTCCAGGCTCTTTGCTGGTTCCATCCCTGAGCAGGGAGTTCAGATGTTCCAGTGGAATCTTGGTAGGGTTGGTGAGAAAGCAGAGGTTGGCTGGGTCAGGTAAGGGAAGAGGCTGCCCACCCCATAGCATGTGAAGCCTTGGTGGAAGCTGGTGTGCCCAGGGGCCCAAGGCAGAGGCAGCAGGGTGAGGATTCATGCTGCTTGACGGGGAGAGGAGGGAGTGGGTGCACACGTGTTGCTCTGCCAGTCAGTTCTGCGTCTGAGGAAGCCTGCCTCTAACCTCCTGCCTCTGGAGGGCTTCCTAGGGGAAGCAGGGAAAAGAAAGCCTCAACTGAGGAATTATGGTATCTTTTATGGGAAAAAGCAACAGGCAAGAGCATATTGAAATTTGGGGATCACGGCTGGGAGTGGTGGCTCACGCCTATAATCCCAGCACTTTGGGAGGCCGATCACTTGAGGTCAGGAGCTTGAGGGCATGGTGGTGCGTGCCTGTAGTCCCAGCTACTTGGGAGGCCGTGGCAGGAGAATGGCTTGAATCCAGGAGGAGGAAGTTGCCGTGAGCCTGGGTAACAGAGCGAGACTCCGTCTCAAAAAAAAAAAAAAAAAAAAAAAACAAACAAAAACTGGGAATCACTCTATAGAAAAGGGTGATGCTGGCCCAGCGTGGTGGCTCATGCCTGTAATCCCAGCACTTTGGGAGGCTGAGGCTTGTGGATCATGAGGTCAGGAGCTCGAGACCAGCCTGACCAACATGGTGAAAACCCATCTCTACTAAAAATACAAAAATTAGCCAGGTGTGGTGGCGCGTGCCTGTAATCCCAGCTACTCAGAAGGCTGAGGCAGGAGAATCACTTAAACCCGGGAGGCAGAGGTTGCAGTGACCCAAGATCCCACCAGTGCACTCCAGCCTGGCAACAGAGCAAGACTCCATCTAAAAAAAAAAAGGAAAAAGAAAAGGGTGATGATGCTAGGGATGTAGAGTTGGAGTGAAATTCTAAATCTGATTTCACTTTCTCATCTGGCCTCCGTGGTTGGTCAGCTCCTCTGATGGTCTGTTAGCCCCGCTCTGGGGAAACCAGCCATTGAGACAGAAGGAAGCAGCGCCCAGTGACACTCTGCTTACCCAGAGACCAGCCTGCAAGCAACCTCTCCTATCCAGAACACAGACACAGATGGCAAAGTCAGGTAAAAGGGCCTCTGGTTAGCAAAAATGGCTAAAGCCTGGCACCTTATTTCCAAGAACACCCCTGCCCCCACCCTCACTCAGAACCCTGGGTTGCCCAGCCTTGGGGGAACCCATGTTCTGCATTAGAGGTACAGGAAGCGGCTTGAGGCAGGTGTTCTCAACCAGGGCATGACTCATGGGAGACTGACTATGAGGAAGGGGTGGATAGAAGAAGAAAAGCAGAGAGACAGAGACAAATGCTCAGCATGGCAAAGAGCCTTGTGCTGGTGGCAGAGGGTCAGCAAGACAAGGTTCAGTCATGTTCAGCATCTCAGCCCTTCAAGTGCTTTGTGGGGTGAAGCTGGGGCAGAAAGTACACACATTTTAGGGTTTGTGTCATTTGCCGATCACTTGAGGTCAGGAGTTTGAGACCAGCCTGGCCAACATGGTGAGGAAGAGAAGCATGTAAACATTAAAAGAATACTTTATGCAGTAGGTTTAAAAATCAAACACATTTTGTTGCTTAGTGGGGCAATGTTCAGTTGTTCAGTTGTCTAGAAAATCGTTGTATGTGAAATATCTCACCTGTATTACTAGATAAATGGTTATTTCCATGGGCATCATAGAGTATGAGAGCCAGATAGGACCAAGAGATCCCATAAACCCATTTTAACATTTTTATAGATCATGTAATTGAGGTTCAGAGATGGGAAATGATTTGCCCAAGTTCCCACAGCCAGATGGCAGCAGAGCTGGGCCTTGCACTTGGTTTGCCAGAGTGCAAAATGGATCCAGGAACTGGGCAGCAGGGCTGGGGCCAGACACTGCACCTCAGGCAGGATCAGCCAGACTGGGGCTGGGACCCTCTCCAGCCTCCCAGAGGTCGGAGCCAAGGCCTTGTTGGGACACTGGGGGACCTGAAATACCTGCCAAGGAGCATGCTGAAGAGACAGAAATATACTCCTGAAATACCCGCCCAGGAGCATGCTGAAGAGACAGAGTGGGATGGAGGTCTGGGGGTGTGGGGGGCGGTGCTGGTATGCCAGGAAAGCACAACAGAAGTGCGCAGGGCACCTTGGGGGTTGGGCATTTGGGAGTCGGGTGAACATGCCCAATTCCTAAGTGAATTCTGAGGCTGCTGTTCTAGAAGAGTCCACCTCTACGCATGTCAGAAACCAGTTTGAAAGGTAGCTGATAGCCCTGAAATAGGAAACAAAGAAGAAAATGCCAAGCACTCCTAGTAATCCTGCAGGAACCAGCTCCTGGAGTCTGATTTTTGCTTTCTATTTCCTGCAAGAAAGGGCTCCAAACCCAGCCTGTCCAGTGCACACCTACTGCAGCTTCTTACTGAACAGCTATCCACAGACTTCCTATTTTTACCCTTAATAACTGTAAGCTCGGGGTTACCAAGGTCTTCCTGTTGCTATAGTGAGAGGTGATAGCACCAGCCTTCCAAAGCGCTGGACCCTTGGCTTAGAGGAAAAACAGAATCTGGGTTGCTTTATTTTTGGGTTTGACTGAGAAGATTTAATGCACCATTTTGCAGCCTTTGCAACAATGGCAGTTTGTGCTTAAAATACAGAAAACCTCCATAACAAAGAATAACTGGTGATTTTGAGGAGTGGACATCAGAGAGTATATAGAAGATAAATTTTAAATTACAAAAATGACACAACTTCTTCCAGAAAATCCAGAGAATGACAAATAAATAAAAACACATGTCGTTACATTACCACAGCACAACCTTCATGGTCCTCATGACTTATCAGCTTTCCTAAACCTGCATTTGGCGGCGTTGAAGACATAGTATCCATATAATTGGTAGTCTGCTTTTTGAGTTAATATGCTATAAGCATTCTTCTGTGTTGCTGCATTATCTCAATAAGCATTATTTTTATTGGTTGGCTAATGTCATAATTTCATAAAGCGTTCTCCTACTTTTCCTCTTTGTCTCTTGAATCCACACTTGATCTCCATTATACCATCTTTGTCTAAATTCTACTCCTTCTCTGTTTTGGATAACTGGCTGGCCTTGTCCCTGTCTCCCTTTTTTTCCCCCTTTCCCCTTCCCCTCACCATACACGTGCCAGGACGTCCTCCACTCTGCAGCCTGGCTAATCAGAAGGTGATCCCAGACCAGTGGCATGGGCATCCCCTGGGAGCTTGTTAGCAATGCAGGATCTTGACTCCACCTGGGACCTACTGAACAGCACCTGCATTGTGACAAGATCCCAGGTGATTCATAAGCACGTAGAAGTTTGACAAGCACTGATTTAAAACACACTTCCCGGCCACGTGTGGTGGCTCACGCCTATAATCCCATCACTTTGGGAGGCTGAGGTGGGTGGATCACTTGAGGTCAGGAGTTCAAGACCAGCCTGGCCAACAAGGTGAAACCCCGTCTCTACTAAAAATACAAAAATTAGCCGGGTGTGGAGGTGTGTGCCTGCAATCCAGCTACTCGGAAGGCCGAGGCAGGAGAATAGCTTGAACCTGGGAGGTGGAGGTTGCAGTGAGCCGAGATCGTGCCACTGCACTCCAGCCTAGGTGACAGAGCCAGACTCCATCTCAAAAATAAATTTAAATAAATAAATAAATAAAACACACATCCCCATGGCTCCAGGGTAGAAGCCCCACTCCTAGCCAGGTGCATAGCCTGCTGAGTAAAGACCAAAGCAGGCGGGGGAGGGAGTGCAGAGGGAAGGGGATAGGCCAGTGGAACAATCTGCAGGTGGCAGGCAGCTGTGGGCCAGGAAGTTTAGAGAGGTTGGGAGAGAGGAGGGGGCCTGTTAAGGAAGTTCCAAAATCCAGATCCGCAGATGATGCAGATTGAAAACTGGGAGCCCAACAGGCTATTAGGGGAAGGAGTGTGGGCGTGGGCAGCACATCCACCACTCCCGACCCACTCCTGTTTCATAGATGAAGAAGCCAGGGCACAGAGAAATTAAGTTGCTTACCCAAGGTCACACAGCTGATAGGTGGTGGAGCTGGGATACAAACCTGATTCCAGAGCCCACATTTCTTAACCAGCCAGCAATGCGGCCTCCAGAGTGTGGGCTAAATATAGGAGGAAGAAAGGAATAGAAGGATGTTAAGTTCCTACAATGAGCAAGTACTTTTTTATTTTATTGCATTTAATATTTACAACAGCCTTTGGGTGTGGGTATTATTACTCTATGTTATAGATGAGGCAGGAATTTGCCCAGGGACAAATTCCTCTCACTGTTCATGGTGGGGACAAACACAGGGCAAATCTTAGATGTTTTTCCTCAATCCTTAAAATTAGGAAATGCTAGGACTAGAATACCTTCTAGAGGGTGCTAGAAGGTACTGTAAAATGATGCAGTTAGATCTAATACCTTCTAGTAGTAGAAGGTACCTGGCTTAACATTTAATCTAACCGCATCATTTTACAGTTAAGGAAACTGAGGCCCAGAGAGCTCAAGCAACTTACCTAAGGTCGCACAGCCAGCTGGTTACAGATCCAAGACTGACTGATTCAGTGCTGTTTTCTTGATGCTGGGCTGTGTTTGTACCGGGTGGCCTGAGCGTCCTGGGTCTCCTTGGAGCACTGCCAGGCCAGCCAGCAGGTACTGTCGGGTCACTAAGTATGAATTCAGCCTTAAACGTAGGCTGGAGGATGCAAAGGATGAAACTCCAGTAAAAAACAATGAACTTATTTTATATCTGCTTGTTGTTAAAAATCCAGGCAATGTAGAAGTGTGTCCGGCAACACTTGAAAGCACCTCCCTCCCTCCTGGCCCTCCCCATTCCACTCCCCAGGGGTAGCCACTTAACAGCGCTGTCTCCAGTGGCTCCTTAATTTTTCTGCCAGCCGTTGGGTTGTGTAGGATCCATGCCACAGCAAGGCTATTTTTAACAAGCATCCTAGGCTTCAGGGGGTTGAGGAGAGGGGAAGAAAAAAATATTCCATTTGTATATTTTTAATCCATACACATTTGAGCAGGCAGTGGCTTTCCCGTCCCTCCTGCCGAGGGTTGTGGGGAATTGATTACACTCTCTAGGTGCAGGGTAATCCTTTCTCTTCCCCTAACAAGGCTGGAGGGCCAGGGAGGGGTTCGGGCGATGTTTCTGGGGACGATGGCCGTCTCAGCTGGCTGCCTCCCGATCCTGCCTGCCCCCAGCCCTGTCCCTCCTGGCAGCCTTGAAAATCCTGGCTGGGTCTCCTGTGGCAGAGAAGGCCTGGGAACCTGACTCTTTGTGCCAAGCTCATATTTAGAAATGTCTCCAGCCAGACGTTGGCATCAGTCCCACTTGGGCTCTGGGCAGGGGGTGCAGTCACATGTGCTGCCTTTGAGTGGGCAGCTTCTGAGTGGGCAGCAGCCCACTTTGAATATAAACACAATCCCTTTATGCAGATGAGCTGGCATGGGAACCTGTGCTCCTGGGCACTGGGAGGGGGCAAGCTCTGGTAGACAGTTGGGAGAGGGAAGAAAGATGTCACAAGGCTTAGACTGGGAAATATGATGTCGGGGGAGGGGTCCCAGCTCCCTGATCCCACCAGCCCCTATCCAGTTTCTGCACCTCTTTCCTGGGTGCCCAGGGCACTGTCCCTGCCTGAGCCCCACAATGGCCCTGATGGACCTTTCTTTTCCTTTCTACATCATGCATTCCCCAGTCTGTGGAACGAGAGTGAGGCCTTGGAGGGAGGCCCCCCACCAACGGCAGGGTTTCTCTCCATCTCCCCCTCAACATCTCCAGATCACACTTGTAAAATGTGGCCCTGGATGTCACCATCTCTGAGGGCTCTTTCAGCATTGACAGTGAATCATTCCACAGTTTCTTGCTCATTTTGTGTTCTTTTCCATGGCAGTGCATGATGATGGGTGAATTAGACCAACTGATCCCGGCTTTGAATAGTAGGCCTCTAAGGTAACAAGCGGCATGCTGTAGCCCTGTGAAAACTCTCCTTTCTTTTACAACAGCTCCTTTAAGGAGAGTCATTCACTCATGCCTCAGATGTTTAATGAGCACCTACCAAGGGCAGGCCCTGTGCTGTCACCAGCCCTACAGTGGCGAATAAGACCTATCTCGCTGATGGGTGATGGGGTGGGAGCCTGTCCGCTCTCCTCAGATCACACCTCTGCAGGTCTTCCCTGGGGACTGAAGTGGCTTCCTCACTAAATTCAGCTCCCTGGAGAGGAGGCTGCTTTTCTGCAGCTAAATCTTCAGAGAGAATCCAAATGCAGCCACAGGCCTTGCCTCCTACAGCCTGAGACCGAGCCAGGGCTACATCCTCAGGCCCCTGGCAGTTCCACCTCTCCTTATCCTATCCTTCCTTCCTCTGCCCACATCTCCGGGGGAAAAGAGCTCCAAGAAGTAGTCAAGAAGGCTGAACAGATATTGTCTTTGTATCTCCTGGGAACAACATGATAAATCCAAAATCACAGAATGGATGGATGGAGGGGTAAATAAACAAGTGAGCAAACGAATGAGGAAACAAACAGAAACTCAGTTCCAGCTCCAAAGGAACTGAAAATTCAGATGAAAAGAAATGGCTTGTAGAGTGGTGGCACTGTGGTACTGAAGGGGGCCCTTGGGAACAGACTCACCTCCTTCTTTTATGAGAAAGGAACCGCAGGCTCAGAGGAGGGGGGCTGCCGCAATGCCTGTGACAGAGTGCAGAGGTCAAAGAATGGCGAGATCACCCAGGGTGGTGAGATCCAGAACCAAGTGCAAGGCTGCCCTAAGTGTCCCTTGTCCTTGGAAAAAATTGCCTTTTCATATGGTTGGGAGTGGACGGTGCAGTTTTTCTTTGAGGGTTAATTGTTTTGCTGACAGCACAGATAATTAGGAATGAGAATCCCGGAGTGAGGGCGACAGCACCATCTGCTGTGAATATGTTTCAACCCCAACTTGCAGGAGAGCTTGGAAGAGCTCCTATCCTCACCCTCCCCACGCCAACAAAAATGAATGTGCTGTAGCTGTTTGCCTCTGGGGCCACAGCTGCCAGGTGACCTGCAGCCAGTCGGGGTGGGATGGTGACCGGCTTCTTAAGAGTGTAGTTTCTTCTCCTTCCCCCATGGCATCTTCTGCACATAGCAGGGCTCACTGAAAGTCCCAAGGCTGAACAAGGATCCATGGACAGCCTGGGACAAAGAGCGATGATGCCAGGGGCAGATTTTCTGCTCTTCCCTGAGCCTGAAGTCTGGAGATCTAGTCTTCTGTTGACTAGAGGTGGGCACTTAGGGCTGCACTGAGCTACATGGCTGCCATTAAGGTTTGAAGTTATTTTCCTGCCAAACTCTATGGATCTGCTACCTACCCTGGGTTTCCTGGCCTTTGGCCTATGTTACTTGTTCCAGAAGGAGGTTGGCCCTGCCTTTCCTTGCTAAGTAGGAATGTCCTAGGTTGTGAGTTTCTCTATGTCATGAGAAGAGCTGCTTTGGAATCAAGCAGAGAATCCCATTGTCCAGGAGCAACTGAGATCTTTCGTCAAATGGGCAGACTTCTATGAGTTGTTTTCATTTTTATTATTTAAGAATATATTCCACACATAGAGTATATGAAATGTATATGTGCCTTTTGGAGATAATAATAGTTGTTTTGCTCTTTCGAAGGGGCTTCTAACCTCTGTTGCTTTGCAGAGAAGTGACTTGGAGTGTGAGCTGTAGAGGGCCAAGTTGCTGGGAGGCTCAAGGTCAGCCTAGCCTCTCCCAAAGCAGTGGCTGTTTATCGCAGCCAATTTCTTTGTGCCTGAGCCGCTCCTGTTAACTAGGAGCCTCCACATTCTTGTCTTTCTTATTTATCACTCTGTTATCTCTGTGCTTTCTCCTCTTCGACCCTCCTATGAGGGAAGAATCCAAAGGCATGATTGTTCTCCTCTTCTCCCCATCCCCCCATAGCAGGGCAAACAGGCCAATGTCCCCCTCCTCCTTCCCATTCCCACTCATCCCCCACCCCTGAGGTGACTTGGAAGGAAGATGAAATTAACCTAGGGCCAGGGAGCTTGCTGGAAAGAATGATAATTGGCTGTTTCATTTACTTACGGTGTGATCTTTAGCAAGCTTCTCAACCTCTCTGTGCATCTGTTTCCTAGTCTTTCAAACACCCCTCCACAGAGCTACTGAGAAACTAAATGGATCCCCAATGGATGCAAAAGCAGCTTGAAGAGAGTCTAATCATTATATATGTGTCCCTTCCTTCTTTTGCCACTCTCACTCCTATCTCTGGGGCTTCCCCTTGTCTGCAATGCTGGGTGTCCCGATGGATGTTCTTCGTCTGCCACGGTCTCTTCTCAGCAATGGCCCACTGAGGCCTGGAGGAGCCCATGGTTGGGGTGGAGCTGAGAGTCACAGCCAGGTGGGTACCCCAGGAGCCTACTCTTTTCACCCCCAAGAGATGGGGGCTGTGCCTGCTCAGAGATGCAGGGCTGTAGCCACCTTGGACTTGTCCGGAGATGGGCAGACCTCCAGGCTGGGGCAGGCTGCTTCAGCCAGAAGGACTTTGGCCCCTCCTGACACAGCATAAGGCACAATCTTGGCTATGAAATGTGATGGCTCTGTGGAGCCGGTGTCTCTGTTCCTCATCTCAGCAAGGTTTGTGTTTCCACTTTTGTCTCTCACTCTGAGATGACGAACTATGAAAAGATGTTCATCATCAGCCATAGGTGGGGTGTCCTACCTGGACCCCCCCCCCCCAACAAACTACAGAACACCAGAAGCCTTGCTTGGGAGATCTGGGATAGAAGAGTTAAGGAATGTTCCACATAAACGTGTCCTTGCACTTCTATATACATCTCACATGCGAGAACATGCATCTCCTTTCTCTTTCCTGGGGTGATGGAACAGCGTGAGGTTCTGTTGGTCAGTCTGGGCTAAACTCTGAACGATGGCTAGGGTTTGGATGCAGGATTAGAAGGTGAGTCTTTCAGGCAGATGAAATGAAATATGCTGAGGTAAGAAAGGAATGAAGGGCGTGTGTGTGCATGTGTGTGCGGTGTGTGTGTGTGTGTTGAGGCCTGGGCCTGGGTTGGTGGGCAGGACACTGTCAGTGAAAACCCTGGATGAGATCGAGTTGGTATAGTCATGAAGAATTGCAGGCCCTAATAATAAAGAGAAAGAGAAGGATGGCTAGAATTTTCGAGAACAGCTAAAACCTGGACATGTGTTTCTGGCCCTGGTGGGTGATGGAGCCCTCTGTTCTTCCTGCAGATCCCCTCTGAGCAGCTGGGAGCTCAGAAGCTCTGTCCAACCCTGAGGAGTGGGTCAGCCACAAGAGCAAGAAGTGATGGCGTGGAGTCCACCCAGGGCCTGAGGCATGAGCAGAATCCACGCCCATTAGACCTGGAGCCTGGGCGTTTGGGGCTGCACTGCTGGGGAGATCCAAGAAGAATCAATGCTTTGGCCCCTGGTGACATGTACATGGTGTAATGACAGGTAATGAACCTGAGGCTTGTCTATCCTTTATGAATGATATGGCAGGTAGGAGAATATATCAGCTTGCAGTAAGCATAAAATGTCAACCTGTGGGAAGATAACTATGCAAACAAAGCACACTAAGGCCTGATAAGATGATAGATGGATGCTTTATAGTTATTAGTTTCTGCCCCATGTGCTTGCTGGAGCCAAGCACTGGAAGATTTAGCATTAGATGGGTTCACTTCCTATGCCTTATGGGAAGGCCTGATGCCTTTATGGACATAGCATGTCGTATTTGAGGAGCTCAGAGTAACAAATCAAGAAGTCATTATTCCCCATCAGCTTCTGTGGGAAACAGGGAGTTCATGCCAGTGGAGAAACAGAGGGAGCGAGAAGTGAAGAAGCTCTTTCATCGTGTCCATGATGTGTGAGGAATAGACCTGGAGACCTCAGTGGTTGGGAAGCCTTTAGGTCTGGTTCAGATATGTCAAATGACAGGTGTGGTGATGGATGAGTCCTGCTTGTTAAAAACAGAAGGCTTTTTGTCTTGCCATTCTTTCAAGAATGCCCAGGCAATTAGCAGATGATCAAAGGTGGATGAGGTAATGAGTAGGGGTCTGGAGAGGACAGTAGGGGCCTGTCAGATACCTTGGGTCTAGCAGTTGATTCAGGGAAGTCAGCCAAGCCTGGAAGCATCAAGCAAGTCTCTAGGGCCTAGAAGGCAAGGCCTTGAGACTAGAAGGACAGGGGCCAGCCAGTAGGCTGGAGACCCCAAAGGTGGGTTCTGATCCAATGGCACAGCCTGTTCCCATGGATTTTCTGGTCTTTGCTGTGTGCGTCATATGAGGTACCACCCTGGCAACTTCCACCGTGGGGAAAATGGTAGGCTGGGGTGGAGGCAAAAATAGCTTGGGGCCTTGGGAAACTGACCAAGGCAAGGGGAGAAGGGCCAGTGGCCTGGGGCAGGAGGCCCAAGAGGGTGTGGTAAATTCCTTTTCAGTACAGGCCAGTGTCAGGGTCCCCAGGGTCAGAGCCAAGGGATGGGGAGGAGCAGAACATTAGGACTTCTGGGTGGCCTTGTTCTAAATTAGGCAGAAAGGATAAGTTGAAGAAGGAATCTAGAAAGCTGAGCCCAGCTCTAGGAAGTGGATCAACCAAAGGTGCTAGGTGGGCTCGGAACTGGACTCCTGTCTATATAAGGAAATGGAGAAAGAATTGAGCTCCAGGGTCTCTGGCAAGGGGTAGTCAGGGACTGGCTATGACTGGAGGGGCTGAGCTAGGGAGCTGGCTTAAATATGACCTGTATGTACTGGCCCTAGGCTATCCCCAGACCCCACCTCTCAGTGGGGCAAGTGGTCTGTACTTCTTGGACTTGGCTGGGGACCTGGGCAGGGCTGAAGCTGGGGAGCATCCTGGGGGACTGGGTAGGGGCAGAAAATATCCAATCCTGGAGGTAGGTGGGTGAGGACTTTCAAGTTTGTAGTCTCAGGAGGCTAACGGGCAACATGCCTCCTGATGAAGACCAGAAAGAGCCAGGGACTGGGTCTGTCAAGCGCTCTTCTCCTATGTTACTAATGTTTACTGATTACCTGTTGTGCACCGAGCACTGTGCTCACTGCCGGAAATGCAGAGAATGAGCTGCAGTTTGCTTCCACGGGAGGGAGTGTGGAGCCTGGTCAGGCCTCTGGAGGCTTCAAGCTTCTATCTTCAAAAACAGGGACGATACTATCTCACTCATAGACTAGTGGGGAGAATGAAATAAAGTAAAACATGTAACACACTTAGGACAGCAGCTGGCACCATAATAAGTGATCGGTACATGTAGCTTGTTTCCGTGATTCTGCTTTTGGAGAAGCTCACAGTCTGGTGGGGGGTGAGAGCCAGGAAGGCTGGGAGAAGTGCCTTCTAACTTCCAGGGATTCTGACTGCTAACAGGGTTGGGGGCCTGGGCTTTGAAAACTGGTTATCAGAATTTCTCTGGCCACAGAAAATGTGGTTTTAGGTGGACCCTACCACTCGGAAATGGTGACTGCATTTAAGTGCTTTGGCAGTTGCTGGGCACACAGAAAGACTGGAGGCAGGAGGGGTGGGTCCAGGAATTTAGAGAAGTGTTGAGAAAAGAGGACATTCTCCGAATGCTTGGAGAGTCTTGACTCCTTGTCTTCCAACTCAAGGGGAGGGGTGTGCAAGAAGCCAAGGCAAGACTTGTGACCTGGAGTGAGGTGGCCCAATAGCCACTGGGGCGGGCTTCAGATGCAAGCCACGTGTGTCATTTTAAATGTGGTAGTAGCAGCATTTAAAAAAGTAACAATAAGCAAGTGAAATTAATTTTAATGATATATTTCATTTCACTCAGTAGGTCTAACATATTATTTTAACATGTAATTAGCATAAAAATTATGAATGAGATATTTTACATTCTTTTCATACAAAGTGTTTGAAGTCTACAGTGTATTCTGTACTTGTAGCACCGTCTCAGTTTGGACCAACCACATTTCAAGTTGGCTAGTGGCAACTGTGTTGGATAGCACCAATCTAGACTCTAGAATATCTTGCCAAGGAGCACCCAGGGGCCAGGGGTATCCTGACTAGACATCAGGATTTACTATGAAATGTCTATAACGAATCCCTGGGGACATTCTCTTGAATAATAAGAGATATCTTGAATCACTTATTCTAGATGGTGACTTATGTTCTCTGGAACCAGCCCTGACTCCAGGTCTCAGCAACTGGATTCAGGACTCTGCCGCTTGCTGGGTCTAGGACCTTCAGGCGGTTCCTGAAGGTCTCTGAGCCTCAGAAGCTTCCCTGAAATTGGAACTAATAAATTCTATCTTGCTAGGTAACTATGAGGACTAAATAAAATAATGAATAATTGCCCCGTGACGATCAATTTCAAGAAGTAATTCTTCTTATTTTCCTAAATCAAATAAAAACAAATTTGGGTTTTCCTATTGGCTAAGTTTGGCAGAAAGTTTCCTAACTGGCATTTCTGTAGTTCTGTCTCCACTCTCCCTTTGCATGAGAACCGGGCCACTTTGCAGGCCAGCACAAATAAGGAGGGGTGAGGCCTGGGCCTTAGCCCCTGGTGGTGACAGCTGCCTGTGGTGCCCCTTTATCCAGACCTGTGTGGTCAGCTGGAGGAGGCAGCCCCCTGCAGCCAGCTGGTGCTCTATCTATGCCAGCTCTGCCACAGGGGAAGCTAGAGTGCCCAGGCCACCATCTCTAGGGGGCCGACAGCACCGAGGCACTGCACTCCAGTGGAGTGAGGGTTGCCAGCCACTCCAGGTCCCAAGTCATCCCACCTCTCTTGGGATCCAACCCAGGGATCCTTCTCTAAAAGCTCCATGTCCTTCATCCCTCTGTCTCCTGCCTCCCAGCCTCAGTCTTTGAAACAAAGGCCTGTTCCTACCTTACCATGTCCCCTTGCTTTTCCCAGAAAGAAAAATTCAAATAACTTCCCCTTAGGGTAGGGAGTTCAGATCTTATTGTCACGAAATATGGCTGTTCTTTTTGGGACTGGAGGGAGTACACATTTTATTGTCCTGTGAATGGCAGCTCTGGCCACTGCCCTATGCCCAGCCCCATCTGAAGAATGAGTTAAATAGCGCCTGCCTTCTGGGTTTTTTCAGAGCCTCAAATGAGATAGTGTATGTGAAGGTCCTTTATAGAGTTATCAAATGTTATTGAGACTCTTAGTTCCCTACCTGGGGGTGTTTTCGGGTCTGGGAGCTGGGTTTGAGGCTGCAGATTTGATTTAAAAGATGCCCCTTCTCTTGGCATCTCATGGCAGATGGTGCTGCCATAGGACTCAACTAGGTGTTCCCATGAGGTGCTCCCCCTAGGTGCTCTATCCCCCGGGGTGAGTGCCTCTGAATTAACCCCTTGCCTCCTGTTCTCCTTTGGGAGAGGGGAAGGATCTGGGTGTTGGTGGCAGCAGTAGGTTTCCCTGACATCTTTACTTTCCCTCAGCCTGTTGTGTGTGGGGGGTCTCTAGCCAATCCTCCTGAGTTTGGAATCCACCTAGATTATTGTGAAAGCTCATAATCCATCCTTCCTGGGACTTGGGAGCATGCCATGGATCTAAGTAAGTCCTGTAGGTCCTCCTTGCCTCCCTGGCTTGGGTCTGGTGAGGATTCTGTGATAGGGAATGGGGGCTCCAGGCAAATCCCATGTCCTCTGGGCCTGGCGTGGAGGAAGTAGGATCAGGAGGTGCAGGTGGGTGACATGAAAAGTAACTGGGCTTAAGCTGCACTGGAATCAGGGCAAAGTCTGCAGGATAAATGGAAATTCTCTGGTCCTGGGCATTGAGACAGTGTTTTCAAGGTTGGGTCCACATTTGACTGTGTGTGGTTGGGTTAATGGGCCTTTGATGCTCGCTGCAGTGGTATTTGGGTCACTCGTGTTGCTGCCTGCCTCTCTAGACTGGAGAGCCCCCGCCCCCTTTAGCAGCTGGCTGCTGCTTCCTGCTGGCTCTCCTGGGCCCCAAGCTCTCAAGGCTGTCACGAATCCTAAAAGAGTCCTTCAAACCAGTGTCACTGTGACTTAACATCTATTTCAAAAGATGATCTATGGCACATTTGGAGGACAATGCAGAGGGGGGTGTCACAAACTCAAGCACATTTGGATAAGGTTATTGACCTGGCTTTTTCTTAGTTTGCTATGTGACCCAGTGCAGTTCTTTTAAGTTCCCCAGACCTTAATGTTCTCCTCTATTAAATGGGCATGAGAGTCTGTACTGCAATGATTTAATCCTGTTTCCAGGTGTACATGCGCTCTAAAAGTAAAAGGTGCTGTGGATCTTACTTGCTAAAGATTTGAGAGAATTATGGCAACACTCTTTCCTCACCGAGTCTGGCAGTGTATAAATTCTGTTTCTTTAAAATTAGTATCTTTATTGCTTCCTGGGAGCCCAGGGGGAACAGCTTCTGCTATATCACCTTAAGTTTTGCAGCAGGGAGAGGAAGAAAGCTACATTGCCCTTGACTGACAACCTTCATATGAGTATTTAACAATTTTAATTTTTCATGATTCTTCTGATAAAAATAGTACCCGACTAAAAACAAATACATTTGTATTTTCCATCTCCTTAATTAGTTTCTAATTTGGGGGTTCTTATTAGCTTAAAATCATCTTGCTGAAATGGTCCTTGGATGAAAAAAAAAGTGAAAACCACAATCAATTCTAGAGAGATCTTACTATTTAATTATGCTGATTGGAGCACTAGAGACCCCTGGTAAAACAAACCTCTCAGAATAAGCTTGATTTGTGTAATTTGGTTTTTAAAAATTTGGGATGCATATTTATCATGTTCGACTATGTGTTGTTGCTCTCCTTGAGATTCTGACTTGTCTTGTAAGAGATGAGGGGAGGAAGCCATGGACTGTTGAGACCCTGGGACTTTAGCTAAGCCCATGGAGTCACTGGTAGGGGCTGGCCTGGAGGGAATACGAGGTCCCTGGCTTGCCTGGTAATTGGAAAATGGCTTTTCTTAAAAAAAAAAAAAAAAAAAAAAAAAGCAAAGGAGAGGTAAAAGGTCACCAAAAAACAGACTAGGAAAGGGTAAACTGATAGAATTTTGGAACTGAATGGTAGGAGAGCATCTTCCATGAAATCCTAGAAAATTAGCAAATCCTGGGTTATAGATGTATTTAGAACCAAATTCTAGAATATAATATAACTTTGGAGACACTGGGAAGACCTAGTTGCTCAAAAAGATGTGCCTCCCGCCATCCAAACCCCCAAATCAATTTATGCTTTGCTACAAGTGGGACAGCCAGCTGCCATGTGAAAGGGAGGACACTGCACCGACCATAATGTTTTCTTGCCATGAGGCTGAAGCTAATGCTGATAAAGTGATAGCTCTAACTACCAATTTCTACCTGAGCCAAGGACTTGTGGAAGGCCATCACCAAGTTCAGACCAGTGGGGAGCTTCCCAGGACCAGTAACCTTATTTCTTTCTCTAACATGACTGATGTTCAGGGGGAAAAGGGGATGGGGAAGAGGGAATTGTTATAGACTGAGAGAATCTTAATAGATGCACCAACCAAATGCAATCGATGAGTCTTGTTTGAATCCTGATTCAAGCCAACCTACTGTAGAAGGATATATTGGAGAGAATTGGGTTAAATATTAAGGAATTAGTGTTAATTTTTTAGGATGTGTAATGCTGTGACAGTGTTATATACTGAAGTAAATTCAGACAACATGATATGATATCTAGAATTTTCTTCAAAATATTGCAGAAAAAAATTTCAGAATAAAAGATTTTAGTGAACAACATACACAAACATTTTGTGTCTCTTTGAACATTTCAGTGATTAAAAAAAGAAGTGGAAATGTTCCTACCAGCTGGCTGAGCCCTGAAATTTCACCATTAGAGCTTTGTTTATCTAGCTTAAGCCTTTCTATGCCAATAATATACAGCTTGTCCTGGGAGCGTGGTTTACCCTTCGGGAAAGTGACAGTACAGAACATTTGCTCAGTATAGAATACGGTAGGGTCACATGCAAAAAGATTTCAGGGTAAGGCAAGTTTGGAGAAGGCTGCACTGAACTAAGCCAAAGAGATTTCTTCAGAGCCTTGGTGATGCTAATATACACTGTACCTCTTGGACGGGGATGGGCTATCGTAATGCAGTGTGCCCCAAAATTATTTGTTATGTGCTTCAAAGGAAATAGAAACTTTGAGTCCCTCCAAGGAAAATCAGAATAAAGTTAGAATCCTGGGTTCCAGAACTGTTTCTGGTTACTCACTAGTCATTGGGCAGCCACTCAGATTCCATGCTGCACGAGCCTCAGTTTTTCTATCTGTAAAATGAACTTAATATCACTTGCCACCTACCTCACAAGAATGTGACATGGCTTTGTATAGCATAAAGCCCAAGATCGAAGGATAAGTTGTGTGATTATTATTTGGTACCATTTTCTGAGACTTTGGTCCACAAACATTTCTTGGTGGCTCATGCAGCATGGCTCTGTCTGCAAGGTGCCGTCTAAGACACAGAGGTGGGAAGACAAGTTCCCTGTCCTTCGGGAAATCATGATGGAATTGGGGAAGCAATGAAAATACACAGGGATGGAGGCTAGCAAAGCCTTCTGGCCCCCGGGACAAATGAGTGGTTCAGGTTCAGAGGAAAGGGGGATCACTCTTGGCTGGGGTGGTGTGCAAAGGCCACCTGGAGGAGGGAACCCTTGACCTGAAAGTCTGGGGCAGATTTAGATGGGCTCTCCCTTTGTTGGTTATGGATCACTTGGTTGGAACACTGCCCTTGCCTCCGCACGCCCACATTCTGCAGCTGAGCACATAAACCTTGTTTGGATTTCAATGCTATCTGACTTTGGGGGCCCAAGTCCTACCTGTCCGGAGCTGGGGTAGATGCTCCCCCTGCCCAGCCCTCACAGCCACTCCCATCTTCTCTTCCATTCTGTCTCCACCCCCTTTTCTTCTTCCCACCAGGACCCAGCAAGGCTGGGATTACTCATCCTGCCCACACTCACTCAGTCCTGCCCTCTCTTTTCAGTTTTTTTTTTTTTTAAATACAGAAACCACTGGGACAAAGCAACAAAATATGACTCAGACACCCAAGCCTTCATGTGGAAATGTTTGTCATCATCATCATCATCATATCACTTTTTAGGGCAGTGAGAGATGACAAACTCTAATGGAAACATTGGAAAAGGCTGGCAGTGGTGACTTGAGTGGAGGTGAGGGGATCTGAGGCACACCATGAAGCTGGCCCGGTTTCTTGGGTGCAGAGAGCTGTTTGGGGGCACTGACTCGCCTCACTGAGTGTGCATGGAGTTATTCAGGATGTGAACAGCAGGCAAGAGCTCATGCTACCTAAAAGTCCACATCATCCTTTAATTTGCACAGCAGAAATTAAAGAGAAGGCCCTAGAAAAGGATGGCACTGTGGTGGAGACCTCAACAAGGTACATTCCGTGCCCAGGTGCCCTGCTCTGGGCCATGCCAGGATTTAAAGACATGCTGGGGCATGCCCTGTCCTCAAGAGCCCTAGACAGAGCTTAGCTCCCTCCGAGCTTGTTAGAAGGCTACGCATAAGCTATTGCCAGTACTGATATTTTGGGAAAGGACTTACTCAGTGCCTGGCACAGAGTTGACCCCCACTGTGGACTTGCACAGCAACCACAGAACCTCAGCTTTGAGCTCAGAGAGCCCTGATGTTGAGTTCTGGCTCTGCCACTCGGGGAAGGTGACAGTCTCCCTGAGCCTTGCTGTCCGCAAGTGTAACATGGGGAAAGCAAATCTCCCTCCCGGGATTGTTGTAGGTGCAAAATGAGATGACATGGACAGTTCTTGATCCAGTGAGCCCTCAACAACTTTTAGTTTTTGTCCCTCCCTACTCTGCCACTGAGGAATAATAAGACATGGGGCGAGATGCACTGAGCCTCAGCTTCCTTATCTATTAAATGGAAATAGATTGCCTGTCTTACTGACCCTAAGGCGAGAGTTTAATGGACAGTGTCGGTACAAACACTTCAAGGAGTACAAAGAGTCAAACACTAAAGATGCACATATGTGTATTCATATGTGCAAACACACATACATAAACTGCACCCAGAAGACAAAAATCTCAGGGTGGAAAAATGTGTTTGCATTTTGTAGTGCAGGTGGTCTGGGAGGGTGACAGATCAGCACCAACTCTGGACTGGCTTGGGTTGTACTTTTGGTTGTTTTACTTTCTCAGAGGTTGTTTAGTTTCCTTTCCTTCTGCAGCCCCTCAGCAGAGTGTGGCATGGGGGCAACAGCAGCGCCTAGCTCTGCCTGTCAGCTTTGCACGCCCCTGAACATGTCACTAATCACTTCTGCAGACACAAAAATGGAGGTTAAAAAGTACCAGCAACAGGGCACAGGGGATCCAACAGGATGATGAGTTAAAGCCTTTCTGCGTTGTAAAGTGGTGGTCAAATGGAAGAGGCCGCTGGGCCTTCCAAGCTCAGTGGAATAAGAGGTTTAATAATACTTGTTAATTGATCAATGTGTGCCCTGCCATTTTGGCTGCCTTTTGAGGAGATGGTGGTGATTATTTTTATATTAGAGAGAGACTTCTTAAAGAAGCCTTCTCTGACCCTGTGTTGCTTTTATGACTCAGAGAATATATCTTCTCCCAGCCCTGGTGGATAACAGTCAGGTGGCCACTGGGACTGAGACCAGCCATCCATTTACCCACTCATTCTAATTAGTTTTGTAACTCAGCACTCACTCTGGGCTTTGATTTACGGTTAATGGTTCATCTTTAAATGAACACTTGTCTGGAATCTTCCATCAGTCAATGGCTGACTTTTAGGAAGTGGCGGTATTGACCTGGCGGCCATGTAGTGAGTCCTGGAAAGTGAAATTTAATTTTTTTTTTGTGGGGCGGGGGCAGTATTTCCACTGCTTTTTCCCTACCAGGCACATCAAGAACCCTCCTCCCCTAAAAATACACTCATTTTAAGGCTACGTGGTATATGGAAAGAGTACAAGACTGTGAGTCAGGAGATAGGCGTTCCAGCCCAGCTTTGCCATGAACTCACTGTGTGCTGCCAACCACGAGACCTCCCTGGGCCCCAGGTTCCCATCTGATGGATGGGGCAGGGTTGGGAGGGGGGTTCCTCCCCTGAGCCTCTGACTTACTTTGGACATCATTTGGGCCAGCCCAACCAGGTATATAGTAGATATGCAGTAAATTTGAAAGATCTTTGTTCAAATTACAAAAATAATAACTGCTTTGTATCAGAAAAAAATAACAACATAGAAGTATTTAACTTCTATGAGAGAGTGAAGGAACTTGTGATACTACCCCTCATCACCACAGATCATCACTATCTACAATTTAGGGAATTGCTTTATCTATAGCCGGATCCACATCCGTGTCACTGTCTATATCTCTACTGTTACCATGGATCTGGAAAATAGATACATATTAAACAAAAATGGGATCAAACTAAATATTATGTTCTTCAGCTTGTGTTTTCACTTAATTTCTTTTTTTTTTTTTTTTTTTGAGACAGAGTCTCGCTCTGTCCCCCAGGCTGGAGTGCAGTGGTGCAATCTCGGCTCACTGCAAGCTCCACCTCCCGGGTTCATGCCATTCTCCTGCTTCAGCCTCCCAAGTAGCTGGGACTACAGGCACCCGCCACCACGCCCGGCTAATTTTCACCGTGTTAGCCAGGATGGTCTCGATCTCCTGACCTCGTGATCCGCCCGCCTCGGCCTCCCAAAGTGCTGGGGTTACAGGCATGAGTCACTACGCCCGGCCTCACTTAATATCTTAAAAAAACTGTTTATATATATGGCCGTAATTCTTTATAACATGGTTTTCTGTAATATGGATATAATTCATTAATCAGACAATTAATTTAACCTCATGTATGGACATCTGGGTGGTAGCAGTAACTTTTAATTGATTTGCTGTTTGGGTGCCCCCCTCCTCCTCCAATAAGGGGTCAGAGAAGAGACGGAGGGGAAGAGCATGTTTGCACAGCTGAAGCCTCCATCCTCAGCTGAGGGCCCTGCCCTCTCTCATCTCCAGCGATTCTTCTCCAAGTACTGTGGCTTAGCAATGCCAGGTTGTGGGGCATTGTACCCCCAGAGCTTTGGCACTAGGGCCAAAGCTGGGATCGAGACTGGGAACAGTGAGGAAGGCCCTGGGAGGGTGGGATGAGCAGTGGATCAAGTGTGCTCATGGCTGTGAGCTGGGGATCAGTGAGTTCACGGCAAAGCTGGGCTGGAACTCCTATCTCCTGACTCACAGCCTTGTGCTCTTTCCATATACCACATGGCCTTAAAATGAGCGTATATTTGTGAATCAAGTGTGCTGGTGGGGTCCTGAGAATTTGAACACTGCGCTTAGTACAGTGTGGTTGTTCCTGGAACCACAGGGCATCAGGAGCTGGGATGATGGTGATTCGGGGGTGGGTCATGGAGCAGACGTGGGCATAGCCCTCCAGAGAAGGGCAGGCCTCGAGTGGAACTGGCCTGATTCAGGTCCCAGGCCATCCAGCCTTCCTAATCTTTTCCACGAAGAGACAGAGAGACCAGGCCACTGTGACCAGCCTGAGCAGGCTGCCCAGCAGACCGGGCTTTCTCTGTGCTCTGTTCCCTCCTCCTCCAGGCCAGAGGCTGGTGACTCACCCTCCACTTTCTGGGCTGATGTGAGGGTGGGAACCCAGGCATGGCACCATTTGCATCCATTTTTCTGAGAAGGCAGAAGGGAACAATTTTTGGCTCTTGCACCTGCAGGACTTTGTGTTATTATTGCGTTTCCTCTTGTGTTTAGTTGGATTAGAATTTTTGAATAGGCAAAACATGAAAATCAAATGCTTTTACAGAGGTATACACTAAGATTTCTCACTCTCACCTCTGTCTTTTTCTACTCCATCCCTGCCCCTGTTGTCCCCATAGTGTTTATTTGTGCTAAAACACAGAAATTCAAGTATGTATTCTTAGTTTTCCATTTTACCCTATAAAACATAGCCTATTGAATACTCTGTACTGCAACTTGCTTTCTTATTTCCTTAACTATACATCTTGGAAATACCTCCATATTAGTACAGAGCACTTCTTTAGTTTTCTTTCTTTTTTTTTTGATTGCTCTGTAGTATTCCACTATATGCATGAACAGAATTTATTTAACCAGTCCCCTATGGAGGGACCGACTTGGGTCATTTCCAATTTTTTTGCTTTTAAAAACAATTCTACAATCCGATGTCAGTCTGAACTATTTTGTTGTATGTGTGTGTGTGTGTTTAATTACAGACCACCCCAAATCTTTTTTAGAAGAAGGTAGAGGCCGGGCATGGTGACTCACGCCTGTAATCCCAGCCCTTTGGAAGGCCAAGGCGGGCAGATCACTTGAGGTCAGGGGTTCGAGACCAGCCTGGCCAACATGGTGAAACCCCGTCTCTACTAAAAATGCAAAAATTAGCTGGCCATGGTAGCACGCACCTGTAATCCCAGCTACTCGAGAGGCTGAGGCAGGATAATTGCTTGAACCCAGGAGGTGGAGGTTGCAGTGAGCCAGGATTGTGCCACTGCACTCCAGAGTTGGTGACAGAGCAAGACTCCATCTCAAAAAAAAAAAAAAAAAAGATGTTGGTAGAGTATGCATTATCTATAAACAGATAAGTGAACAAGACTTTGTTCCCAGGTCCTTATGCTCTGTCCCCCAGCACTTTAACCGAAATGCTTGCCAAGATACCGTGTCCTTTGCTTGCCTTCCTGAGCTGTTAGATAATAGTCTTTGCTGTCATTTCCTATGGTGGTTTTGGTGAAGACTTATGGGTCCTGAATCCAGTGGTAGGAATGGCCATGGCCTACACTAGTCAAAGGATGGATTCCAGTCCCTGATCTGTTGCTGGTGAACTAAGTGACCCTCCACAAGCCCTTTCTTCACCTGTCATGCAGGTGAGCTACATGACCTGAGATACTGTCCCATGCTGACATTCCGTGGTTCTACAAGCAACCAAATGATGTTATGCACACTGTTGAAATCCTCAGGCCTTGGATATCAAATCAAAAGTCACTTTCCCAACCTGGGGCCTTGTGCTGGCAATCCTTTACCTCCCTGGGTAGCTGGAGCACTTTCTTCAATGTGAAATCAAAGCTTTGATGAAGCTGGCCTGTATGTGGTAATAAAATGATGCCCATGTGCACATTCCTATTACTCAGTAAGTACATTCATTTGGCTGCAGATTTGTGAAAGCCTTTCATTGCTAGTGCATGAAAAAGGGGTATTTCACACATGTTTCATATTAGCCCTGTGATTTAGCTTCTGAGTGAATAAGAATCAATGCAATGGCCAACTGCCACCAGAGATCCCATTTATATTGTATTACAGGCTGCTACGGCCCCACCTTTGACTGTGATCTTGTCAGATCTGATAAGGTAATAGTAATAATAACTTAGATTTCCATTATGTGGGCTCTTCCCCTCCAAGGCATTCCTGCTGCATGTGTGCCTTCTTTGTTTTCTATCTGTGCTTGTCCAGGGTGTATCTGAGTCAGCCAGGGTCCTCAAAGTGAGTTTCATCTTAGAAAGAGGTCTCAGGATCACTTATCAATTAATCAGTTAGTAGACCAATCAGTCATTCAATCCCATGTTACCATGCACAGCACCTTTCAAACTCAGTGTGGCCAAAGGGAGCTCCCGACATAGTCCCCACAGCCCTGGGAACTGACTCTGTCCTGTAAACAGCTCCATTGTCCTCCTGTCTGCTAACCCTGCTTCTACGCACCCTCTCGCATCACATCCACGGTGGCTCTGCCCGCTCTGTGTGTTAATGCCTCTGGACTCTGCCACTTCTCTCTGCTCCTGAGTCGTCATGTGGTCCAGCTCACCACCCCCTTCCCTGGACCAGCCCAGACAGGTCCCCCGGCGTTTCCTGCCACCATCCCCAGCCCAACCCAGTCTTCACGCAGCACACAGGAATTGCTCTGCTAAGCATGCTTATCTGAGCATGTCATTCTCTTATTTAAACCCTCTCATAGCCTCTTCTTGCTTTTAGGATAAAGGTAAGATATTCTTCTCAGGGCCTACAAGGTTCTGCTCACCTCATCAGCCTCCTCTAGCATCCTCTTCCCTTTTGGTTTCTCTGCCCTTATGAACTCATCACCTCCCATAGGCCCTAATCCCATCACCCTAGGGATTAGGGTTTCTACATGTGAGTTTTTGGGGTATCCACACATTCAGACCATAGCATCACAGTTGTAAATAGATGTCTCATTTATTTACAGTTGTAAATAGATGTTTAATTCCTAATCCACCTCCTCACTGGAGGGTAAACTGCATGCCTCACTGACACCTGAACCCCAGATCCTGGCTCAGCTCATAGTACTCTTTCCCATCTTAGGGTGGTGTGCACACTGCTCTCTTGGGGTGATGGCTTCCCTTGCCTTCTCCGGGTTGACTCCAGCTCACCCATCAGAGGGCAGCTAGATGGTCCATTCCCTGGCCCTCTGGGCTGGGTTGGGCCCCTGTTTACATGCTTCTTAGTCCATTTGGGCTGTGGTAACAATATCATAGACTGAGAGTTCACAAACAACAAATTTGCTACTCACGATTCTGGAAGCTGGGAGGTCCAAGATCAAGGTGCCAGCAGATTTGGTGTCTGGTGAGGACCCACTTTCTCATAGATGGTGCCTTCCTGTACCGTCTTCACATGGTGGAAGGGTCAAGGCAGCTCTCTGGGGCCTCTTTTAAAAAGGCACCAATTCTATTCATGAGGCTCTGCCCTTCTGATCTTATCACCTCCCAAAGGCCCTAATCCCATCACCATTGCGATTAGGGTTTCAGCATATGAGTTTTGGGAGTATACACACATTCAGACCATAGCATCACAGTTGTAAATAAATGTCTCATTTATTTACAGTTATAAGTAGATGTTTAATATCTGCCTCTTCACTGGAGGGTAAACTGCACACCTCATTGACAACTGAACTGCCGGATCCTTACTCACTGCACAGCCCACAGTAGGAGCATGTTAAATCACTGGGTGAAGGAAGGTATGAGCAAGCTGTGTCCTAAAGGGGCAGGGAAATACAAAGAATACAGGATCCCCAGTGAACCCTCATTTTGTAGCAGCAAAATCAAAAGAATGGCAAAGTCATAGAACTGCAAAGGACTTTGGTGGTCATCTCAGGCCCACCCTCAGCTTTAAGGGAGGGAGTACAGACCGTGGATAAGACCCACATGGGTGAGACCATAGGCTCTGGAGTCAAACTGCTTTGTCTTGTTGTGTGCTCCTGAGCAAGTTGCCTAACTTCCCCCATGCTCAATTTCTCCAGCTGTAAAATAGGGACAACGCCTTCCCCAGAGGAATGTTGTGAGGATTATATAAGAAAACCTGCAGAAGGCACTTATCATAGTACCAGCCCTGTACAAATATTGGCCAGAGGGTGACACTGAAGCCCAGAGATGTTAGACCTCCTCACAAGATCATACCATTCCTTAATGCAGAGTCTGGCTTTTTTTTAAATTGATATTTTCTTTCAATTTTTTATTTCCATAGGTTTTTGGGGAACAGGTGGTTGGTTAAATAAGTATGTTCCTTAGTGGTGATTTGTGAGATGTTGGTGCACTCGAGCAGAATACACTGAACCCAATTTGTAGTGTTTTATCTGTCACCCCTCCCACCCTTTCCCCTGAGTCCCCAACGTCCATTGTATTATTCTTATGCCTTTGCATCCTCACAGCTTAGTTTCCACTTGTGAAAGAGAACATATGATGTTTGGTTTTCCATTCCTAAGTTACTTCACTTAGAATAATAGTCTCCAATCCCATCCAGGTTGCTGTGAATGCCATTAATTCATTCCTTTTTATGGCTGAGTAGTATTCCGTCATATATATATATACCACAGTTGCTTTATCCACTCATTGATTGACTGATATTTGGGTTGGTTCCACATTTTTGCAATTGCGAATTGTGCTGCTATAAACATGCAAGTGCAAGTATCTTTTTTGTGTAATGACTTACTTTCCTCGGGGTAGATACCCAGTAGTGGAATTGCTGGATCAAATGGTAGATCTATTGTTAGTTCTTTAAGGAATCTCCACACCGTTTTCCACAGTGGTTGCGCTAGTTTACATTCCCACCAACAGTATAGAAGTGTTCCCTTTTTATCGCATCCACGCCAACATCTGTTATGTTTTGATTATCAGAGCTTGGTTTTCTGAACTGGCCACCCGCTGAGCTGTCTCTCAGAAGTGCTGACATGGTTCTTGCCTTCCTGAGGCCTCCCGTCACATTGCTATAGCACAGTGTTTCCTAGCCAGGATAATTTTGTCCACTCTCTTCCAGGGGACATTTGGTGGTGAGGTCTGGGATTGTCCCAGACTTGGGAGGGGAGTGCTGCTGGCATTGAGTAGGTGGAGGTCAGGGATGCTGCTAGACATCCTGCAATGCCTGGGACAGCCTCCCTTCCTCTCCCCACCTGACACAGCAGCCCAGAGTGTCAGTGCTGAGATTGAGAAATCCTGCTTAGGGTTTATAGGAGGGCTATGGGCAAGCCAAGTCCACTGGAAACTAATCTGATGAAGGCCATCGTCTCTAAGGAGGGGCAGGAGGAAGCTAGGAAGCCTCTCTCTAGGGAAAATGGCCTCTCTTGTTTGGGGCTATGCAGGGATGGAGGCCTGGAGATAGAACTTAGAGGCAGGTGTGAATCAAAGGAGCTGTTTGGAGCAAAGATAAAATATAATAGGGACAGCCTGATCCGCTGTGAATGGGGTCTGGGGAATAAGAGTAATTTCTCTGAGTGTTGGCTTTGCCAGAACCTTACAGACATCAGCATCCACCTCCTCCTTCCATCCCATTTACCAAACAGCCTCCAGCTCATTGGAGATTGAGATGGGGGTGCTTATGCAGAGATGCTGCTCTCGGCTGGGGCGGATCGGCACGCAGCCTGCACCGTGCAGCCCATCTTCAGTGGCTCTGTGAGCAGGCTGCTGAGGCTGGCTGCCCTTGGGAGGTGTGAGGACGCAGGGGAAGTGTAAATCACACTCCATCCAGTTTCCCCACCCCTAGCCCAGCACCATTTTCACCTAGGGAAAGTCTAATAAAAATGCATTCCAAGTCCTCGTCCTAAAGGGGCAAGGATGGGGATGGGGAGGAGCTGGGGAGGGGAAGCAGTCCAGTGCAGCTTTGATTGCAGATATCTGAGCTGCAGGGCTTTTCTGGCCTTAGAATCAGCCTGGGGAAGCTGGTGGTCCTGGATATCCACTCAACTCTCCAGGCTGCGAGGCGGTCCTGCAAAAAGTCCCAAGTTTCCAGCCCATCATGTGAGGTAGGTGGGTACATGCTCTACCCAGCACAGTGCCTGCCAGCTTGGGTACAGTCAGCTCATCTCTGGGCTGAGCAAGCCCTCCAGAGGTGCCTCACATCTGTGGAGGATGCACCAGCCAGGGCTTTGTCTGGGAGAGCAAGTGGCTGAATGGAGGCTTGTGGCATGACACACCCACAAGGGAGAGGGACAGGGGAGCTAGACCAGGCCACCTGAGCAGTGGTTCCCCACCCTGGACTGCATGTTAGAATCACCTGGAAGCTTTGAGAAAATTCCAGTGCCGAGGCTATATGCCAGACCTATTATAACAGTCGTGGGGTGAGACTCAGGCACCAATAATTTATGAATTTCTCTAGGTGATTTCAATGGGCAGCTAAGGTAGAGAACCACTGACATAAAACCTAAACCTTCCTGGGCTCTGACAGTCTGGCCACATTGAGGCCTATAATGAGGACACAACAGGACCCCTGGTTGGAGCTCAGGGAGGCAGGCATGGGGCTGGCAGGCCCTGGGTGGGGAAGGATAGTCAGCCCCCTGGCCGCACAGATGGTCAGGGTTTCTGGTCAGGCTGGCTGTAGGAGGAGTTGGGAAAGAGCATGTGGAATCAGAGGTGGTGGCCGCCTGAGCCGGGGTCTGAGAAGCAGGGCCGCAGCTGCCAGTGCACTTCCTGCAGCTGGCAAGTGCCCTTCAGAACTGCAAGGGAGGGAAGGAGACAGGAAGTGCCCACTGGGCTTGGCCTCTGATATAGCATTTAGGGTAGATTTTATATTGCATGTCTGGCCTTGGCTGTCAGCCTGGGAGCCCCCAGGAGAGCAGCAGCTGTGTCATCATGATATCCGGGGTTTGGCCGCTTCTCACCTCTTCCACTGTCATCTCTCAGGTGCTGGCAGCCGTCACCTCTCACCTGGATTAGCACAATAGCCTACTGATTGGCCTCCCAGCCTCTGCCCCCAGTTCTCCTAGGCGCAGCGGACAGCAGGATCCTCTGACATGTGTCAGATGTTTCCTGCCTTGCTGAGAGCCTTCCAGTGCCCTCTCCCCACCATGTCACTCAGTCAATGCCAAGTCCCCACAGCAGCCTGCAAGAATCAAATGACCTGTTCCATCTTCCCACCTACCCATCTACCCACTTCCCCCTCGCTCCACTCCCGCCACACTGAACCCCCTGTGCTAGCGCATTCTTGCCTGAGGGCCTTGGCCTGGGATATGCCCTTTGCCTGGAAGCTTGGCCTCCAGAACCCTCATGATCCCTCCTTCTCCTTCTTCTCCAGTTTGCTTGCATGTCCCTTTCTCGGTGAAGCCTTCTCTGCCTGTCTACTTCCTGTCTCCTGAATCTTCCTCATTTCTCTTCCTAACACACTTGGATATCAACATTTTATCTTTTGCTTACTCATCTCCCTGCACTGGAATGTGAGCTCCCAGAGGCTGGGAATTTTTTTCTATTCTATTCACTGATATAAACCCACGGCCCAGACAGTTTCTAGCCTGCAACTGTCACTCTGTGTATTTGTTTCTGTTTTCCCTGCTTTTGAACTATTGGTATTTAACCACAATATTTGGCATGTGACAGTCTCTTTATTGGTCTGTGTGTGGGCTGCCTTTATTTAATTATGTATTTACTTGGTTGTTTTTATTAATGTAATAAGCACCCAAGAACCCATTGCCCAAAACAAAGCTAAGATTGGACAAATGCCTACATCCAAACATTCCCGGGCCTCCCACGGCAACCATTTTATTCCACTTATATATATTCCTAAAAATATACATTTTATTATCATTACTTTTAGCCTTGTTCAAAGCCTGTTATGCTGTATGTAATCACTGCAGCCTTTTTCACTTAATAATGTATTCAGATCCACCTACACCATTGCATGTGCCATGCTGCTTTCCTTTTGACTATAAAAAACATGTGTGGAGTGAATATTTAGCATTACGTCCCCCCATAGTGCCAAGGTCATAATCGTAGCTAACATCGATTAAGTTCTTTCTCTGTGTGAGGCACTCTGCTGAGTGTTTTATTAACCCCATTTAACGGATAGGAAAACTGAGACAGAAAAGGTAAGCAGCTGGCCCAGGATCACACCCATATGGCTTAAAGGGGCAGAGGCAGAATTTGAACCCACACAGTGTGTGTGGCTCCAGAAAACTTGCTTCTAACCTTGTACTACACTGTCTCTCTAAATGAACACCTGAATGAGCTCACACACACACTTTCCCAGACCACCAGCCCCAGAGGAAGCCCCACTGATTTGGTTACAAATCAAGGTTACACACACACACACACACACACACACACAGAGGCATTCTGGCATCGTTCATGAATACTCGTTAATTGACACAAAATTTATGGTAGGAGAAAGCGACCTTACTCTCTGATGCTTGCTAAGATCCTTCTGTCTCCCATAGCCCTCTGTCCATCTCTCTATTAAAATAAAATGCAGCTGGGCCTTGTGTTTACAGGGGTGGGGGCTCAGAACCTACTCCAGCAGGCTGAGCCCTTGGGCTTGGTTGCCAGGGGAGGGGAACAGGCTGGAACCTGTGACATGTTGGTTCTGGGAAGAAGGGGCCTGCTTGGGGCCCCTCCATACCAGGGACCCAGAAGACGGCGGGGGCCTCACTCAGGAGTGCCCTTCTTGGGGAGAGACTCTTTGAATATTAGGAACCAATGAAAGTGGTGCGGAGCCTGAGGGCTGGGCACAGGATTCAGCAAACAATAGATGCTGTTGAGAACAATCGCCCCTGCCCCAGGGGGTGTATGCAGCAGGGCCAAGTTCAGGCAAATAAGTGAACACTGTGGAGGCTTTGGGCCCAAGCCCAGTGTTGGGCTCCTGTGAGCTGGGCTGGACCAGAGGGAGGACGTGGGCCGCAGATGCGACCCTCCTAGTGTGAGGAACAGCCTGTCGCCATGCCAGCACTGATTCAAGGTCTAGGGCAGCATGGGTCTGCAAGGGGCTGTGTGGAACTTGCCTCCCTGACCAGCCGGGAAGGCAGAAGGGGCCTCTCCAGGAAGCCAGAAGCCCAAGAACCAAGCAGGTGGGCCTCTAGCCCAGAGGCTTCATCTGGAGGGATGGGGGCAGGGGAGGACTTGTGAGGGGGGGTTGGTTCCCAACCAGTCCTATGGGAGGAAGAGAGGAAGAAAACAGAAGTGAGTTTTGGTTTGTTTGTTTTTTGGTTGTTTTTTTAGGTTTTTTTTTTGTTTTGTTTTGTTTTTTGCAAGGGACATGTTCTGCTGTCATCAATAGGGGGTGGCAGAGAGCAGAAGACAAACAGCTAGGCCTCCATGGGTCACAAGTCCACCTCAGCCCTCAGTTTCCCCATCTAGAGGGCCTGGAAGCCTTGGAGCTGAGGGCATGTGTGGCGACTGAAGGGCTGGGCTATAGCTAGTGCGCATGCGCCTCAGTAGGGCCCCTGAGATGGGCAGGGGGTGAGGAAGGAGGCAGGGGTCCTCCAGCAGAGGGGAAAGGTCTGCTGAATGTCGGGCGAGCTGTCTCAACCCAGGCTGCATGTTAGAATGACCCTGGGATCTTCTGAAATTCTGATGCCCTGGCCCACCCCAGACCTACAGGGTCAGAATATCTGGGGATGGACCTGGGATCTGTATGTTTCAAAGCCTCCCCAGGTGATCCTTTTTGTTAGCCAGGATTGAGAACCACTGGCTCTGCCCTCAATAGCTGCAGGACCTGGGACGTTGACTTGTATTGCCTATAAGCTGGAGATGGTAATAGTATATGTCACATCGAGGCTGCTGTGAGGTTTCACTGAGATGCCATGTGTAAAGCTTGGCACGTGGCAGCCACCTAGGAGGAACCTATCCAGTCAGCCAAAAACACTGGTGCCTCCCTGTACTTTGCAAACAAGCTCTCGACCTGGCATCCTCAGAGCAAAGGCATCAGGGACACAGGACATTTGGGGAGACGTTTTGTTTCTGGAATCAGATCGGGGTGAGGCTGGCCTAGGGAGCTGGGTCAAAACAGTAGGCACTGCCTTGTGCCAGAGACTGAGGTCAGGGCTGAGCTGAGGCACAAGTTGAAGATCCCGCTCCACTAAAGGCTTTAGCTTTGGCTGTGATGTCTGTCTAGGAGCAGTTTTTAGCCAAGCCTGCTGAAAGGGCCACATTTTTTGAGTGTCTTTTTTTTTTTTTTTTTTTTTTTTGAGACGGAGTTTCACTCTTGTCGCCCAGGCTGGATTGCAGTGGCGCAATCTCAGCTTACTGGGTTCAAGTGATTCCCCTGCCTCAGCCTCCTGAGTAGCTGGGATTACAGGCGCCCACCATCACACCTGGCTGATTTTTGTATTTTTAGTAGAGACAGGGTTTCACCATGTTGGCCAGGCTGGTATTGAACTCCTGACCTCAGGTGATCCCCTTGCCTTGGCCTCCCAAAATGTTGGGATTACAGGCGTGAGCCACTGCACCTGGCTTGTTGAGTGTCTTCTATGTGCAAGACAAGTTCGCGTGAATTATTTCACACAATTCTCACAGCAATCATGTGTGATGGATACACATATCCCCATTTTACAGGGTCGGAAACTGAGGCCCAGAGAGGTGTGGCAGCTTGCTCATCACCACGTAGAACGAGGTCTCTTCATTGCCTCCTGTGTTAGTTCTATAAAGGAATACCTGAGGCTGGGCAATTTACAAAGAGGCTTATTTGGCTCACAGTTCTGCAGGCTGTGCAAGCATGGCACCAGGATCTGCCTGGCTTATGGTGAGGCCTCAGGGAGCTTTTAATCATGGCAGGCAAGGGGAGCTGGCATATGGATGGCAAGAGAGGGAGCAAGAGATGCCAGGCTTTTCAAAACAACCAGCTCTCCTGTGAACTATAGAGCAAGAAGTCACTCATTGCCAAGGGCATGGCACCAAGCCATTCATGAGAAATCCACTCCCATGGTCCAACACCTCCCACTAGAACCCACTTCCAACACTGGGGGTCACATTTCAACGTAAGGTTTGAAGGGGATAAACATCCAAATGATATCACCCCCATGCTGCAGCGGCCTTCCTGCTACCATCACAGCCTGTGTTTGCCTGCTCAGGCTAGGGGCTGGGGGTGGAGGAGGAGTGGTGGGGAGATGGGGTCCCGGCTCTTCAGACACCTGTGACCCCACTTCAGGCAGCTCCTACTCCTAAACCCATACATGGAAGGATTGTTCTTTTCAAAGTCCTTTAAAACAAAAACTAAAACAAATCCCCTTCTATTTTCCATGAAGATTTTTAGTAACATTCTTTTGAAAATTCCAATTCTATTTTGTCTGTAAGGAAGGGAAAACATGAGGAAGGGAGTGTTCTTTTAAGCCCAGCAGGAGCCGGGTGTCCAGGTGGTTGATGGTGTGAGGCAGGGTCTGGGTGGGAGAGTGGGTGGGAGAGTGGGAAGCCTGTTGCCAGGTCTCTAGGGCTGGAGAGTTGATGCTGTGGCTCTCTGAAGACAAGAGGAGTGAGGACAGTGAAAATTGCTGATCCTTTCTTACGGGGGCTGGGCGCTTCCCGTGCTTAGGTAGACCTGAAGGGCTATCCTCCATCCACAGGGCCTCTCCATGGCCTTGATTATACATCTTTCCAGTTGAGTTATGCTTTAGGGGTAGGGGGCAAGAAGCTAATTGAGACCCCTAAGTATCAGAGCTGGACAGGTCCATTGAGTTCACCAGCCTAGAGATTCTCTGAACAGTTGGATGGGGTGGGGATGGGGGTGGAGCACAATTGTGCAGCCCCCTGGAGAGGCTGATCTATCCACGCCCATGAGGAGCCACCCTTCCTACCGGGAGTGTGGGATTTGAGGCTGAACACAGGCTCCAGTCTACCTCGTTACCTCCCACTTTGCCCAAAATGAGGAAACTGAGGCCCAATGTGGGAGGTGTTTCTTGGGGGTCCCCAGGCTAGTAGGTGGCAAAGCTGGGGCTTCCTGAGTACCAGGCCAGTGCCCTTTGCACTCAAACCAGGCAGGGGTTGCAGGGAGTGGGAGGAGAAACTGACTACCTTGGACATCATGAGTCCCTGTGGGGAGGACCGTCACTCCATTGAGAATCCAGATACGTGATCCCTCAGCTTTGCTTTCCTCACTAGATCACAGAAAACCTTCCGCCATTTCCCTGTGTCCTGTTGGGGTTTTGAATTTTCAAAAATCCCCGAGTCCTGTGAGCCTCATCCAGCGTTGGTTTGCCAATTTACCCCCAGCAAACTCCAGCTGTTGCTGAGTTCCTCTCAACTGGTGATCCTCTCAGGGTCAGCTCTCTAGGTACCTGCTTTATGCAGAAGTTGCTGTGTTCCGAGTGTCTCAACTCCCCTGGCTTCTGAAATCACACACATTTTGTCCCAACTCTAATTGGCACTCATGAAGGCATTCCCCAGGCAGATTGGGGTAGGCTTTGACAGCCCGAACAGAGGACAGAAGCTGCCATGCCCATGGTCACCATGCCCTCTGCAGAGGGCTCCTTTCATCCGAAGGGGCTGTGCAGACCCCCAGGAGGGGGAGCTGAGGGAAACCCATTAACAGCCGGCTCAGGACTCCCCTGCTGGCTGCAAACAATGCCTGCCTGCCTGCTTGTGAAGCACTTGGAAAATGGCTCATTAAAAATGAAAGCCAGGGTCGGGGCGGGCACCTCGGGTGGCCTGCAGCCTGCACCCTTCTCCCAGCTGTCAGCAGTCTCTAGGGGATGGGCTGGCCTGGAGGGGTGGGGGCAACTGTGGGCTCTTCCTTCCCTGGTCTCCAAGGAAGCTCAGCTGGAGAGCCCTTGTTGAAGGGGATTTCTGGAAGAGGCTGCTGTGTCTTGTGCCTGATTGGGTATACAGTACTGCCCATACCTGCCACCTCCCATCATCCTGTGCACTAGTCCTAGCAGCTCTTGGCCACTATATGCAGTGACCCCACCCTTTTGTCTCCTCTCTGGGCTCTCCTGCCCTTTTCCTCCTTCACTGGACATTTGAACTTCAGATAAGCAATGAGAAGTTTAGTAGTGGCAACTAAAAATGCAGCTAGGCATTGATACATGTACCCTAGGGAGCAAAATCATCCCTTTATAACTTGAGAATCTTGAGGGGCTTTTAAGAGGGGACTCTGTCATTGGTAAGTCTTAAGGTTGCTTTTGCCATGTTCCCCAGGATTTAGAGGGAAAGATCATTGTAGACGAACTGAAGCAAGAAGTTATCAGTAATCCCGCATATTGCACAGAACGCACTTATACTAAAAAGTTATTTGTTGTTTATCTGAAATTCAGATATAACTGAGCATCCTGTACTTTTGTTCACTAAATTTGGTAACCTTATTGTGTTAGTTCGTTCTTGCGTTGCTACGAAGGAATACCTGAGACAGGGTAATTTATAAAGAGGTTTAATTGGCTTACCGTTTTGCAGCCTGTACAGGAAGCACGGTGCTGGCCTCTGGTTCTGGTGAGGCAGGTGGTGACAGGGAGCTATCATGTCACATGCCAAAGCTGGAGCAAGAAGGAGAAGGGGGTGGTCCCAGACTCTTAAACAACCAGATCTCACATGAACTGAGTGAGAACTCACTCATCACCAAGGAGATGGTGCTAAGCCATTCATGTTCTGCCTATGATCCAGTACCTCCCACCGGGCCCTACCTCCAACATTGGGAATCACATTTCAACATGAGATTTGGAGGGGATGCACATCCAAACCATGTTACTCACCCACAGAGAAATCTCCCCACAATAGGGCTGGGTCCAAGCGGGATGACATCTGTATTCTGTGGCTTCTGTCCTTTGCAAGACCAGCTCTACTTACCCATGCCCCGGAGATTGCAGTTAAAACACGCAGGTTCTGACTGAGTTGATATAGGGCAGGGCAGAGACTCTACATTTCTAGCAAGCTCCCAGGCCAGTGCTAATGACCTCTTAACAAGGCCTATGCTGCTGGTCCAGGGACCATACTTTGAGTAACAAGGAACTAGAGCAGTGATTGCAGGCTGAACCTCAGGACTGTTGGGGAGCAGGGGAGGGGGTTTAAAAACGCTGCTGCCTGACCCCCACAATTCGGATCTAATTTGTCTGGACAGGGCCTAAGCACCAAGGTGATCTAATTCCCAGGCAGGCTTGAGAACCACTGCCCTAGGCTCACTCTTAGCAACTTCTGTCTGCACTTGCTGGCCTGAGGCCTCTGGATTTTGCTAGATACTGCTTAGACTCACTCCGAACTCTAGGGTTTCCATTTCCTATGAATGATGCCCCTGGAGCTGAGCATGACAGCCACAACTGGCCTGGAAAGCAGAAATCCTAGCTTTGAGTCCATGCATTGAATACTGTGTCATCTTGGATAACTCGCTTAATCTCTCTGAGCCTTAGGTTCACACTTATAAAGAGACGAGAGGAGTGATAGTTATAACAAAAGGAGGATCAGATGAACAGGACCTGATGCAAGAGCTTCTTGGGTCCATAATCAGGCATGGGAATATCAGATGAGTTGATGACAATAGGAATCGAATGAAGAACTATTACATTTAGCATCGGCCTCTGTGGTCAAGAAGGTTCACATGGAATCAGTTACGATGTATTGACATCCCTGCCCCGTAGCATCGTGGAAGAGCTTGTCCTGTTCACCACAGCCCAGGATATAACTCCATTCTCACATTATGGCTCACACACAGTAGGCATTCAAAACACACTGCTGAACCAATGATTGAGACACTGTTTCAGAAGCCTGGGACAGCTGGGCTTCTAGGGACACAGCATGTGACATGACCCGCACTGACTCCTATGGAGTACCTACTGTGTGCCAGGGACTCTGCTAAGCTTGTTAATTCTCACAACATTGCTGTGAGGTAGGTACTATTATTATCTCTGTTCTTCACATGAGGCACAGAGAATTTAAGTAGCTTGTCCAAGGTCCCATAGCTGGAAAGCGGCAGAGCTGGGATTTGAACCCAGGCAATCTGACTCCAGAAGTCATGCTGGTGAACATTGCCCTTTACTGCCTCTTAGAAATTAAGAGCCAATGAGCATAAAACCATGACAGAAGAGTCTTTACTTGGATACTTGCTGGAGGGGTAAAATAGAGTCCTGACACAAGGGATGATATGACTCATCGTAGTGCTGTGGGGTGGCCAGCAAAGGCCAGGAAGGGAGCTTGACAAGCCTTCTGGGGTTCGGGGTAGGTAGGGCTGAGCAGGCAGGATGAACAAGAATGCCAGCTGCCTGGATGGCCTCAAGAAGATCCCTGTGGGCTGGGAACCATGGGAAGTTGGCCAGCTGGTAGCAAGGCCCAGGAGGGGACTGGATCTCCAAGATGTGGCCGAAGCCCAGGCATGTGAGCCCAGCACGTGGGCACTGCCTGAGACCTCCTTTCATGTGCCCTGAGCAGGGACAGGCTACACGTGTAGTTGAAGGTCAGGCATTGGCTCCCTTCTAAGGGGGTCAGACCGAGCTTCACAGAGGAGGAAACCCTCCTTCTGTCCCTGAGAGATGGACAGAAACTGGATAAGCAGGTGGCAGGTCAAAGATGTCTTAAGTAGGTGGGAGAATAGCAGAAGTACAGAGATTCTTGCCTTGGAAGAGTATCTAATTGAGAAATTTCAGGAATCAAAGCAGGCTTGTTGGGGAGAAATATTTGGTCTAAAATGGCTGCTTTTTCTACTTGTCTTTATCTTATTGATGAAGAAAAATCCAAATAAAAGCAAATTTTTAATGGAATAACTTTGATATCTTTACTGTCAGCCATGCATGCCCTTGGGACCCCCAATGGTCCTAGGACTTCCCTTCAAGGTGTCAGGTAAGATCACAGATTTGCCATCAGATGTATCTTAGTGTGAGTCCCATCCCAGCCACTGAATAGCCATATTATTGGGCACATTGCTTTACCTCTCTGAACCTCAGTTTTCTCATCTGTTGTATCAAGACTGTCCTGTCCATTGTAGGACATTGAGCAGCATCCCTGGCGTCTTACCCATTAGATGACAGTAGCAACCCCCTCTTACCGAGTTACTGACAACCAAAAATGTCTCCAGACATTGCCAAATGTCTCCTGGGAGGCAAATTGCCCATAATTGAGAGTGACTATAACAGACCCTGGCTTCTTCTTAGGCAGAAAAGGCTAACTTTCATTCATTCATTTTTTTTTATTTCTTCATTCAGCAGATATTTACTAAGCACTTGCGATGGTACTGTGTGCTGGGCACTGGGAGATTTGGTGCTGAGCAAGACAAGTCATGTGCCCTCAAGCAGCTCCCACCACGGGCAGGCAGGGGGTGAGAAAGACAAGAGAACAGACATCTACTGCATCTTGGGATCTGCTGCCTTAGGAAGCAGATGGTGCTATGGGAACATGAGGAAGAGATGCCTACCCCTGGGTTTTGTTGGAGGGGTGGGGAATCTGGATCAGAGGTATCACAGAGTACTGACTGGCAGGGGCCAGGAATCCCTCCATTTCTGTTGTCGATTGAATAAATCTGGGAATGGTGAGCAAAGACTGCACATGATGTAATTTACTGCCCAAATTGGCTGAAAAGATGTGCACACATCTGTCACATAGAGGGGCAGTTACTTTGTGCTGACATTTGGAGCCAGGCAGCCAGGGGCCAGCTGATGTGTCTCCTTGGAAGGCCGAGATGTAGAGGACAAGTGGGTTGATAGGTCACCCCACAAAGAGAATGCTATTGCTGCCAGCCTGAGTTGCCAAGTGAAATATGCCCCCATCTCAGACTCCCCAGAGCAGCGGAGAGCTGAGCTAGGGGAGGCCAGGGGACAAGAAACCCCTGAGCTTTGAGGCAGATGCACTCCCAAATGTGTTCTGAACAAAAATCCAGCGAAGCAGTTTGCCTTTCCAGGCCTGTGCACTTGGGTGACAGCCCCTTCCCTCGGCATTCTGAAATAAGGCTGCTCACCATCCTCAGGGGACACACACACACACAGACACACACACAAAGAAAAAAGTCTTTCTCTCACTGGCCCTTTTAAGCATGAGGAAAGACAGAAAGGCTGCTTGTTCTAACAGTAGACTTTTTTTGGAAGTCTTGGACGTAGTTTTTTTTTTTTTTAAACCTGAATCCACTACTTATATTTCTGGTTTTAAAATCCAGACTTGCACACATAGCCTGGAAAATGGAACGCGGAAAGGATTGTTTTCACTTACTCAGGAGAGACGAGAAAGGAAAGCTCCTCAATAACCTAATAATAATAACAACAGTGATTTTTAAAATTTTGATAATGAAAAATAGGAACCAATTTTTTTTTTTTTTGAGGTGGAGTCTCACTCTGTTGCCCAGGCTGGAGTGCAGTGGCGTGATCTCGGCTCACTGCAAGTTCCGCCTCCTGGGTTCACGCCATTCTCCTGCCTCAGCCTCCCGAGTAGCTGGGACTACAGGCACCTGCCACCATGCCCAGCTAATTTTTTTGTATTTCTAGTAGAGATGGGGTTTCACTGTGTTAGCCAGGATGGTCTTGATCTCCTGACCCCGTGATCCACCTGCCTCAGCCTCCCAAAGTGCTGGGATTACAGGCCTGAGCCACCGCACCTGGCCAGGAACCAATTTTTGAGGGCTCACTATGTGCCAGGCACTTGACATTTGCAACTCTTACCAGAACCCGGCAAATAGAACTCACGGTACCATTTCCTAGGGGAGAAACTACTGAAGCTTGAAGTTGACCAACTAGAGTATTTGGTGCAGCCAGGATTCAGATCTTGGGTCTGAAAACAAATGAGAAAAATAAGATAATGTAGTACATTTTTTATAAGACTCAGTTTCTCTCTCTTAAAAGGGTTGTCCTTTATTCTGAGATTTACGTTCTTCCAACATTTTTGGCAATAAGATGTGGTCTCTTTTATGATAGCTATGGGGATAGTAGACATGCATAACATGACAATTTGGTACCGTTTCCTTTTAAAAACATATCGTATAGGTCTGTGAAATTCCCTCACGAATGAGATGCTCATGTGACAGCCTCGTCAAGAGCAGCCCCTGCTGCCACTACCCCCACTTCTGTGCTCTTCAGCATTTTTTACACTTCCTGCTTAAGGTTGTGGATTTGCCAGAGAGGGAGAATGAGGAGGAGGAGAGAGCAGGAAAAATGATAAGTGACAACCCTTAGGGCAGCAGTAGCTTTTAAAGAAAAGATTGTAATTCTGTTGAAAATTGCTGGAGAAGAGTGTGCAGTCCAAATAGGCATATGCAAATTATATGCAAATCACACCCAGCCCTCCTATTTCATAACCTGGATGTAGCCCTTGGGAAAATGCTAATGGAGACTAGTGGTCTCCGGGAAGCCTCCCTTGGTGATCTCCAGGACTCTGGCCCTAATTAAAGAGTATTTTTCCAGCAGTGCGGGGCTCCAGTGATTTTTATTTTTACAACCTCTTTTTCTTTCCCTCATCTCCGCAGTCCTGTGGCCAAGCCTGAGAGGGGTCTTCTAATTCCAGGGGTGAGGACCATGGCCAGAGACCTGGCCTGGAATGTTCTAGAATCTTCAGGTAGACCTCACCTTCTGTAGGGCTCCTGGGGTCCCAGCCCAGCCTCACCCTGAGGGGAGGGTCTGCTTAAAGCTTTGGTTCTCTGACTTAAGCATACATCAGACTCACACAGAGGGCTTGGTAAGACACAGCTTACTGAGTTGCACCCCAGAGTTTTAGATTCAGGAGGTCTGGGATGGGGCTCGAGAATGTACCCCATCAAGTTCCCAGTTGATGCTGATGCTGCTGGTCCTGAGACCATAATTTAAGAACCACTGGCCTAGAACGAACAGAACTACTCAAGGTATGGTCCACTGGTACTGTTTGTTACCAGTCTGTGACACAAGTACAGACATTGACAGTAAATGCTTAGAAACCCTTATTGAAGTTTGGCATTGCTGTGACATCTTAAACATCTGACTATTTTTCTATCAGTTCATTTTTATTGTATTTTACAAACGTATTGGTCCAATTGGAAACTCTGGCTGAGAGGACCCAGCCTAGTAATGGTCAGAGTTCAGGGCAGCCCCCAGGCTGGCAGGAGACTCGGGATGCCCACTGAGAAACCAAGGCAGAAGGACTCTGGCCAGCCTGGGCATGGGGTGGACTGACCCCCAAAAGTGGAAAGGTGGGAGGGAGAGGCAAGGGCAAGAGGTCATCCTGCCCTAAATGCCAGTAGAATCGCCCTTTGAGGAACAATAGCTGGGGAAGGGCAGAGCTAAGGAGCTGGCCTAACTCCAAATTGCCTGCCTTTCCTCTGAGATGGGGAATCTGGGGGCAGGGAGTGGAAGAAGCACTGGTCAGACTGGTTCAACCAAAGTAGCCTTGTCTGTACATACCTAATCTTGTGTGTGTGTGGGTGTGTGGTGGATGGCCTTGCATGGCTGACATGGGAACTCACATGGCCATACATGGCTGGTGTCTTTTGGGTGCCTCTTCCTTTATGCAAAATGAGTATACAAAAGTCCAACTTAGAAAAGGGATAGATTGGCATGGTCTTATGAGGTTAATTCATTTTTAAAAGCATTAATTGTTGGAGTCCCTGCTACATAAAAAATGTACCAAAAATGTAGTCTATGCATGGCTTCCACGACAGCCATTGCATAAAGAGATACCTGTTCTTACAGAGGAAGGCAGCAGAAAAGTACAATTTATTTATTTATTTATTTATTTATGAGGTGGAGTTTCGCTCTGTTGCCAGGCTGGAGTGCTGTGGCGTGATCTCAGCTCACTGCAATCTCCGCCTCCCAGGTTCAAGCAATTCTCCTTCCTTGGCCTCCCAAGTAGCTGGGATTACAGGTGCCTGCCACCACGCCCAGCTAATTTTTGTATTTTTATTAGAGACGGGGTTTCACCACGTTGGCCAGCATGGTCTCGATCTCTTGACCTTGCCATCCACCCACCTTGGCTTCCCAAAGTGCTGGAATTACAGGGGTGAGCCACCGCACCCGGCCAGAGGTGGGTTTTAAACAGCATTATACATTGCTTAGAAGGCTCTGACAGCAGTAAATACCATGATCATAAGTCGTCTAGCTGGAAGTGCTCAGGTCTAAGAGTCTGGGACTTGGTAGCCCATCTTGGCATGGGCCCTGACCAGTCCCTGGCCTGGGCAAATCCTTTTCAGCTAGGAAAGGAAGTTCTGTGATTCCAACCTGCCATCTTTGTAGACAAAGTTTTGACAGTTTATGGTGACAGTGTGAGAAGTAATTAGTTGTCTTGTGCCTTTGGGCATATGAGGAGGCTACTGGCTCTTCAAGCTCAGAGTCGTAGAACACGGAGCCTGGAAGGGGACATAGCATTCATCAGCCCTTAGTTTTATAGTAGTAGAAACTGAGGCCCTGGAGGTCCTGGAATCTGCCCCAAGTCGAGTTTGTATTAAGGCAGGCAGCCCAGCCTATTGTTGGAGGCTTACCATATAATTAATGGGATTTGGAGCAATTACAGGGACAGTAAAGCCCCTCATTTGTTTCTCATGCCAGGCATGAGATTCCTTAGGAGGGTGGAGTGGGAGAGTGGAGGGAAGGTGGTAAGGAGGTGGCAGATAGTTGGCAGATCGTCTCTTGCCGGGCCTGCTCCGTGGAACACTGGCTAACATTTTTACACTGTGTGCCTCAGAGAATTCCGATGCAAAGGGCATATCTGTTTTAAGTACCCACCTATTTTTCCTTTGGGGATAATTCTTGTTGGGTTTTAATCTAGGCTTTAAAGAACCTGCTTTTTTGTTTTGTTTTGCTGTCAGCACCACGTAAAAGGTAGGCATCGTTCTAGGGAGGGATAGCTGGGCTCTGACCCCATACCTGGGGACAGTTCCTGAGCTCAGCTACATATTCACTTGTAGGAGAAGAGGAGAGGACAGAGATTTGTGTTGTGATAAGAAGATAAGCATATTGGACAGATGATTGACAGCTATATGGAATTCTATATGGAAGTCAGAGCCTAGTAAATTCCAGGTACCTGAATACTGGACTGTTCATTAATTCAACAAATATTTATTGAGCATCTAATATTTCTCACTGTGCTAACTGGAAATACAAAAAGTTTTGGAGACTAGCGGTGATATGGTTGCACAACACTGAGAATGTACTTAATGTCACTAAACTGTACACTTACATATGTTTAAAGTGGTAAATTTGATGTTGTGTATATTTACCACAGACACACACAAAAGGTAGCAAAACAGAATTGGGTCCCTTCTTCCAGGAAGTAGCTGGTGTTCTGCAAACTCTCCCTAACTGTGGCTGAGCCTGGACCATGGGTGTTAATGATCACAGTGGGAGTCACGAGGAAATCTTACCCAGAGCAGGCTGAGGAGAGATCACCCACCCTCAGCCCATTAAAGGAGGTGTCTACATAGCAGAGGGTGCTGACTGTCAAATTTCTTGCTAAAATGTGATTTTGAGATGTTGCCTGCATAGGGAGTGTGCTCAGGTTTGAATTTCTGTTTGGAACTAATGTTTGTTCACAGACATTTGCAGGTGTGAAAACCTTGGCGGTTGCAATCATGGTGACACCTTGAGCTCAGGCTCTGTTTGTTTGTATTTTTTCTTTTCAGGATGTTTCTGAGCATTTCTCTTGCAAAAACTTCAGTGAGCTCGGGCTACATAGCATCATCCTTGGCTTCCTTCATGTTTCCTGTGGGCTGGCCACCAGTGGACATGCCACCCTTGGGGCTGAGGGGAGTAGGCAAGTGACCTGAGCTCCCTGAGCCTCTGGGCAAGTGACTTGAGCTCCCTGAGCCTCAGTTTCTCTGTCCATACCAAATCCTTAGGAGGTCTAAGCACACATGATGGAGGGTGAAGTATTTAGCCACAGGTCTGATGTTCATCCACTCTCCCTAACTGTCAGCTTGGAGTATTTCCACTTACTTGGGCATTAGCACATCATGTCTTACAGGTAATAATGCATTATTACCTAACATCTTCCCATGTTACTATTCTCTCCACTTGGATTCTATAGCACCCAGGAGGGGTATCACCTCCTAGTATGTCTGACGTGTCTCACGCGGTGCTGGGCACTTGGTAGATGCTCAGCAGATATTCAGTGATTATGCATAGTTTGTTCATAAAGCTACGGTCTGGGCAGTATTTCCCAGGATAGAACTTTAGCTTGCCCGCAGCAAAGCCCAACTCCAGGTCCCTGAGCAGAACCATCCTGGGGACCTGACAGTCCCACGTAAATCACAGATTCCTACTCACTATTTAACCTTTTGTTTTGGAACCGTAGCTCTGGCCTCTTCAGAAGGTCTCAGGTATGGATGGCTGGGTCACCCAGCAACAGCCACGCAGATAATTACACGGATTTCAAATTGTTCCCCACTTTATGTCCTCAAAGCAATTTCAGAATCAATTTGAGGTTTGACAGGGAACAGTGGAGGTCTCGCAGGCCTGGAATGGCGTGCTGGACCTACTTAATGCTCGTTATAATTCCAGTGGCAGGCCCCGCGCACCTGGGGAGCAGGGGCGCTGTCCTCTCTTGCAATTCAGGAAGAAAATCAATCAATCAATGAGAGCACAGCTAATTAAAGGTAACAAAGGCTCGAGGCACCTCAGCCCTCCCTGCAGAGTCAGGCCTGTTCAGCACTAGTAGGAAAACCAGGCTTGTCTCAAACAGAATTAAAATGAAGTCAAGGTGTCAGAAATCAAATCTAACAAGGCTATCTTTTTTTTTTTTTTTTTTTTTTGAGGTAGAGCCTGGCTCCCATTGTGCAGGATGGAGTGCAGTGGTGTGATCTCGGCTCACTGCAACCTCCACCTCCCAAGTTCAAGCGATTCTCCTTCCTCAGCTTCCTGAGCAGCTGGGATTACAGGTGTGCGCCACCATGGCAAGCTAAGTTTTGTACTTTTTTCTGAGACGGAGTCTCACTGTGTTGCCCAGGCTGGAGTGCAGTGGTGCGGTCTTGGCTCACTGCAACCTCCGCTGCCCGGGTTCAAGCGATTCTCCTGCCTCAGCCTCCTGAGTAGCTGGGATTACAGGCACCTGCCACCATGCCTGGCTAATTTTTGTATTTTTAGTAGAGACAGGGTTTTGCCATGTTGGCCAGGCTGGTCTCGAACTCCTGACCACAGGTGATCCCCCACCTCGGCCTCCCAAAGTGCTAGGATTACAGGCATGAGCCACCACGCCTGGCCAAGGCTATCTTTTTTTAACAACAGGTGTGTCCCCCACATTGGTGTGAGGAACGCCTTCCTAGGGGCAGTCTTGAAGTGGATTTAGATGGTTACTCTGGTCTCAGTAAAGTAATACAACTGGAAAAAGCACTTGAGGCTATCCCTGTTTTGTGATTGGGGGTACACCAGGTGCAAGGTACCCCTCATAAACTGGATCAGAACATTAGAAGCAGGCAGCTGGGCTTATGCTCTGTGTGTGGGGCCCCTGCACATAGAGAGGCCATGGAGTATGATGGTTAAGGTGTGGGCTCTGGCCCAGACCCCCTGGGTTCATTCCTGGCTTTGTCACCCACTTGCCAGGGGACCCTGGGCTGGTCGCTGCAAGGTCTTCATCTGCAAGATGGGGGTGGTCGTAGCTCCCACCTCTGGAATCTTTGGAAGATTACATGAGTTAGCGCTTGTTAAGGGCTTAGAACAGCACCTGGCACAGAGTAAAGCCTTGCTACTCTTATCACAGAACCATTTCCCTAACAAGGGAACTGGTAAAACTATCCTTGACTTTGCAAGAAGTGAGATAAGTTTATTTTTGGTTTCACCTTGAAAAAGGGATATGGAGACCCAGAGGGGTGAGTTAACCTAAGTTCACAGAGCAAAGTGGAAGTGGGGCTAAGCCTGGAGTCAAGGCCCCATCACTGCTTGGACCAAGTGCCATCTGAGTTGTGGAGCTTATCCTTGGCCTACCTGGCCTCTGCCCAGCCTATTGCTCCCCTCCACCCAGCCACCCCAGGCTCCAACCTTCTTCTAAGCTTTTCTCGGATGTCTTCCACCCCATCTCTATTCTTATGGCCATGATAAACTCAAAGCCTCATCTTTTGTGGAGTAGTTTGTATTTGATAGTGTTAACACCTTATGCTAAAGGAATGAACTTGTAGTGTCAGGAACCTGCTCACAAGTTGGGAGGCATCTGGGGAGGCAGAGAAAGTCCTAGGCCCTTGCTGTCACACCATATAGCATTTGGCCTACTTCCCACTGACCCTGTCTTATAGATAGATTCTGGAGATAAAAAGGAGCCCCTGAGTCTCATCAGAGGGAGGTTGGGGAGCCTTGGTGATTCTCAGGGATCACTGCCTGCTTTGGCTCTTCGCCTTTTGTTTTGGGAACCTTTGACTGTTATGACTGGCTTACCTTCTTCTGGCTCCTCCACTCTCATGAGAGATCAAGTCAAGGAGCAAGACAGAAACAGTGAAGTCATTGGCTATTGAGGTGCACAGAAGTCAAGAAATTCCAAGCTGTGTCCTCCACAGAAGGTGCAAATTGGTCTTCTTGCATGGGTGCACATTAAGCACTCCCAGTAATAGGGAAGCGAGGGAGGGGAGACAGAAGCTTTGGCAGCCTGGCCTGCTGGAACTGCTGGTCCAATGCCGCTTCCATCCTCCCCTGTCTTGCATCATTCCTAGCACTGTGAACGCTAATGGGACTAAAAGCTTCAAAAACCAGAGACTGCATTTGGATTGTGGGCCCTGGGGTTGCAAAGTGGGGCTGGTTCCTGATGACTTCAAGCCAGAGGATGCAGCAGCACAGAACTGCAAAGAAATGGTTTCCAGACACCTGCCAGCTCCTGGTTTTCCCAGGACTTGCTTAGCTGCCAGCAAGACTGGAGTCAACTATGGACTATGGTTTTTGGGGGAAAGGCCTTTGTGGAGGGATGTTGTGAGAACCACATGAGAAGTTCAGGTTCAGACTCAAATATCTAACTCCAGCCAATCTGTGCTGGTGCACCACATAGAGCGTGGACGTCGATCCGGCCTGACTTAGCTAGCTCTCTATTGAACATGCTGTGCAATGAGAAAAATTATTTTGCCTGCTGGTGTTAGTGTTCTCTGAGGGGAGGAACTGCTTTCATTTAAGAACTACCTTGATAGGTCATTTGGGTGAGAAATGAGGCCTTGTGGGCATGAGTAGAAAGAGAAAAAAAATTATATATAGAGAGAGCTCTTCTGTGTAAATCTGTGCAGGAATTGCAGTAAAAAGGGAGAGAAGGTGGACTCGCTTGAAGGCTGGGATTGAGTTAGTGGAAATGGCCAAGGGAAGTCAAGGAGCAGGAGCCGTCAGCTCTTCAGTTTAAAGTATCTGACAGCCCTATCCTCTCCTGAAGCCAGACTCCAGGGGCGTCCACTCTCCTCACTGGCCTGTGTGTCCCTTTCTGGGGAATGGGGAGGAACCTAGGAGAAGGGACTGGGGCTTCTGCACAGGGGATTATAGGACAGAGTTAAAAGCCAGCGTCAACTCCTGGAGAAGGGAAGGAGAATTCTGCAGAAGCCAGAGGTAATGAGAAATACACCCCCCTGAGAATTTGCAGACATCGTGGGGCTGGGTGTGGGCTTTCCTAAAAGCCGGGGAGTGGCAGTTGTTACCCATCTTCTAGGTGGGAAAGGAGCTGGTTTCCAGATGCTTCCTGAAGACTCTCGCCTTTATGTCCCTGAGGTCTGTCCATCAGAGCGCTGCTCTAGCTGACCCTGCCTGCTGGCTGGTCTCCAGGCTGGGCTGTGGCCTTCCTTGCCCTGGGGAGCTATGGTGAGAACCTCTGCTTGCTGCTTCATCCCCAGTTCCTTCAAGACAGCAAAGACCTTGCAATTAAAAGTAGAGACTCACCAAGAAAAGTCAACACAATCTGATATCTGCAGAGAACCCCCAATGCCTCTCATCCAGCTGTGCATCTCATCAGTCATTTTCGGTAGTGTCCATGACAGACAGCCACTAGCCTCGCTTAAATATTCCCAGTGCCCGTAGGCTCACTATGTTGGCTAGTGACAATGCCACTCTCACATAACTCGGCTGGGAGGTTCTTTGTGAGATGGAGCCACAGTCCATACCCACTCCCCCACTCCTCCCTCAGCCCCCTGCTGAGGTACTTACCATGGCTTGCTATTTATTTTGAGATGGAGTCTCACTCTGTCGCCCAGGCTGGAGTGTAGTGGTGCGATCTTGGCTCACTGCAACATCTGCCTCCTGGGTTCAAGCAGTTCTCCTGCTTCAGCCTGCTGAGAAGCTGGGATTATAGGCGTGTGCCACCACACTCGGCTAATTTTTCGTATTTTTGTAGAGACAGGGTTTTGCCATGTTGACCAGGCTGGTCTCGAACTCCTGACCTCAGGTGATCCCCCCACCTCAGCCTCCCAAAGCGCTGGGATTACAGACCATGCCTTTTTACTCTGGCTCCTTTTCCCTGCACAACAAATAGCCCTTCTGGAGTGCCTGTGGCCACCTTTCTTATCCTTTGAGTTCTCTTCTGGCTGAACATCTGTCCCTCTCCCATCTTCTCATCTGTCACAGGTGCCTGGGTGCCCAACAACAGACTAGTAATGGCATTCCTCACTCACAACTAGTAACTCAACCTTACTGAGTCCTCAGAGGGCATTTTCAGTGGATGGTCAAATAGGCAGTGTCTTTTACTTTCTGAAAACCTCCTAAAAGCCAGGCCCAGCTGTGCCTGCCCACATCCTCTTGGAGGTACATTCTCAGCCCAGGAAGGCCTTTGCTTTGCAGCGAAGCCGTCCTATGGGCTTCTGATGCACTCTGCCCTGGCAGTGTCCTTCTCGTTGTCCCCTTGCTGTGCTCCTGGCCAGCCCTGCCTGTCTGCTGCCTCACAGCCATGTTCCAGGCATGTCTGTTTATGGGCAGGGCAGCCACTGCCTACTTGTGGAGGTTTGAAAGGAACAGGGGCTGTCCTCTTCTGCCTTTCTTCCCGGCATTTTTTTTGCCATTCATTTCCTGTCTGCATGTCTTTTGTCACTTGCACCTCCTCCTGGCCCCGCCCCTCTAGCTCTTCCTCTTCTAGGGAGCCTCCCTGCTTGGTATCTGTAGCAAGAGTAAAAAAACGACCTGGCTGGGGCCAAGGGACTTCACCAGCTGTGTGGACTCAGGACTTGTTTCCTCAGCTGCAAAATGAGGGTGGAATCGGATGCCCAGCTCCACCAGCATATGGTTTCCACTTTGGACAGAAACTTCTGTTTTCCTATTCCAGAGGCTACAAACTCCCTGCTAGTAAAGCTCTGTTTCACAAGGGAGACCACATTCACAACTCATCTGCCTGGGGGAGATGATTGATATACCCTGGAACTCATGAAAAACCTAGCCAAGTGTTCCTACCTCTGGCTTCACCTTCAGATCACTTAAGGAGCTTTTAAAATATACTGATGCTTGCACCCCACCCCGAGGGAGTCTGATTCAGTTGGACCTGGGTGGGGCTCAGGCATCTTCATGACACTGATACAGAATGAAGTTAGAACCTCCGCTCCTGGGCCCTGCCACAAGCTTTGCTACTTGAAGTGTGGTTCTCAATGCAGTAACAGCAGAAATGCAGAATCTTAGGCTTCACCCCAGACCTCCCAACTAAAGTGTGCATACTAACAAGGCCCCAGGGGATTCCTATGCCATTTGTCATTTGGGGAGCTCTGCTTTTGCCCTGTAAGTGGTCTTTGAGGATTCCCTTAGCTTATACTATCTGTTTTTCATAAGCAACCACAAATCCATTTTGGGGATAAATGTGGCATAAAAAATTGTATCCAATGTCAGATGATATTAACTTGCAGGAAAATAGATGTCACATCTACTCATGAGCCATTTTCACTTCACTTCCGTGAACTCTCTCTCCCCACAGGGCCTTTGCACATGCTGCGCTCTGCCTGGCATATTCCCATCCTCCTTCAGCCTCTTCATCCTCCCTTTCCCCTGGCTGTTTCCTACTCACCCACAGCTGGACTGGCCTCTGGGAACTGGTTTTTGTCCAGTCTGCATCCTTTGCCACTCTCATCTCCCATCCACGACTCCCTGTGTCTCCCATGCCTTGGCCCAGGTGAGGTGGGGGCAAGAACCAGGTTGAGTTATGAGAAGATCCAACTGCAAAGTTCAGTTTCTCTCTTCACTTCCTTTGTTACTTCCCCTCATTTTCCTCATGTTTATGCAAGAAGAGGCTAAGAATATACCTTTTCTGTTCTCCCTTCGGTGGATGTTGTGATCAAATGGAGAAACAGATGCCTTCTAAAGTATGAAGAATCCACAGAATGTCATGATGGTTCTGGAGGCAGGAGAGGGAGCTGCAAGGATGTCATGGGTGTGAGGACAGCATGGCCCTCTTGCCCAGTAATTATGGGGATAAGTTTTTTTCCCTGCATGAGTGTTGAGCATTAAATGTGTGGAAAGAGTCATAGCTCCCAGACCCAAGAGTACCTTTCCCTCTCCTCCAGGCCTCTCCCTCTGATTCCTGTTACCAAGTGATGCCCTCCCATTTCACTATTTTCTGCTCCTGATGCTGCCCTGGGCCCCTAGCTTCCACCCCATCAGGGTTGGGACCTCTGTGGGTGCCTCTTTGAGGTAGGACAGGACTGGGCGCTTGTGTCTGTGCCTTAGAGGAGAATATGGTGAGGCTACGTAGGAGGGCCTGGAAGGCTTCTGTGCAGCTGACCACTGCCTAATTCTGAACTCCCTGGACAGGTGACAAAGAAAGATGTGATGCACACATGCCCTGGATCACTGCTGTGCTCTGCTGTTCTTCATTCCATAGATAGCTTCTGATGAGAACCCAAGTGCTCCAGGATGGATCTGCAGAGCCCAGAGGAGACTGCGAACTAGGTTACAAGCAGAGAAAGGGGCCAGAGCAGGGCCAGACACTGGCCTACCCTGCTGAGGGAGACTATACCCCAGAGGGCTCCGGTGGGTCAGCCTGCTGGGCACCCTGAGCCACTGGCCCCTGGGCTCCTGTCTCAGTTGCCTTGGTTGGAAATGTTGAATGTGGGGCTGGGACTATCACCAAAGTGCATGAGTGGTAAGGATGTGGCATTGGTCTGGGCCATCAACAGGGAGGGGAAACTGTGGGGACAGAGCAGCTGGGTAGAGTGCCAAGAAGCATGGCTGGATGTGTCCCTATGTGGAGGTGGGCGTCAAGATGGGGCAGCCTTAAACAGCCAGGTATAGCACTAGATGGCCTCCAGAGCCCAGCCCACTCCATGAGTGCCCACTGTCATCTTCCCTGATCAGAAAAGGCCTGTGCCCTCAAAGGGAAGGACAGGGGGCAGGTCTGTCCCCAGGAGGACAAGTAAGGCAGCCATCAACTCACACTTTTTTTTTTTTTTTTTTGAGACAGAGTCTCGCTCCATTGCCCAGGCTAGAGTGCAGTGGCTCGATCTTGGCTCACTGCAACCTCCACTTGCAGGGTTCAAGTAATTCTCCTGCCGCAGCCTTCCGAGTAGCTGGGACTACAAGCATGTGTCACCATGTCTGGCTAATTTTTTGTATTTTTAGTAGCGATGGGGTTTCACCATGCTGGCCAGGCTGGTCTCAAACTCCTGACCTTGTGATCCACCTGCCTCAGCCTCCCAAAATGCTGGGATTACAGGCGTGAGCCACTGCGCCCGGCCTCAACTCACAGTTTTACTTTGATATTAGGACACTCAGTGACTGCACAGACAAGAGGTGGAGTTTGCATTTCATAACTACCATAGGCATATAATGTGTGACACAGGCCATACCCAAATGAAGGCACACATTTTCATACAGGACCACCTCAGAGGCAGCAAAAAGCCTGACCCAACCCAAGTAACATTTTATCCTCTTAATGAGCGTGTAAACAGAAGGAGACTTCATGAAGTTCATGTTTCTGCCTTCCTGCAGGGACATTAGCAGGCATTGATTTTTAACCGTGATGTATGGCACTTCTGACTGAAGGGGACAATGCCATTTGGGAGTCTGTGAGGTTTAAGACGTTCTGCAGTTGCCCGGCACTGCAGCGCTGCCAAGCCCTGCTCTAATAGCACCTAATTTGTTAGGGTAACAGGGAAATGGCTGTGATTGCTGCCATGTTCCAGACGAACATGGCAGCACATCCCACCCAGCACTGCTTCCCTTTGGGTGGAAGTAGAATGGGGGAGAGAGAGGGACAAGTAGAAAAGTCAGAGGCAATGAACAGCCGATGCATGACAGAGCCTCTCTCCAGGGAAGGGCAGTGGGGAGTGGGACCAGAAACGGGCCCTCAGGGACTTCTACCGTGTCTATAAGAGTCTATACAAACAAAATCCAAAGGCAAACACAGCATACTACTAAGATATGACGATGCTGGGTGGGGTTAAAGGATGTTTGTTATGTAAGTCACCATATGTCAATACTTTTGAAATATTTTGTAATTAAACAACAATGTAAAATAAAAAATAAATCCAAGGTCCAGGGCATCTTGGGTAGTAAGCCACTCTTTGTGTAGGAGAGAGAGCACTCTAGAACATGCGGGCATATGTGCTGCGTGTCTCTAGACCAGCAGCCCCTAACCTTTTTGGCACCAGGGACTGGTTTCGTGGAAGACAAATTTTCCACAGACGGGGTGGGGTGGGGGAAACTGTTCCACCTCAGATCAACAGGCATTAGTTAGATTCTCAGCTGGGACTACAGGTGTGTGTCACCATACCCGGCTAATTTTTGTGCTTTTAGTAGAGACGGGGTTTGGCCATGTTGCCCACGCTGGTCTTGAACTCCTGGACTCAAGCCATCTGCTCACATGCATGGTTCACAATAGAGTTCGCGCTCCTGTGAGACTCTCATGGCTCTGCTGATCTGAAAGGAGGTGGAACTCAGGCAGTAATGCTGGCTCCACCCGCCGCTCACCTCCTGCTGTGTGGCCTGGTACCTAACAGGCCACCCGCCACTACCAGACTGTGGCCCCGGGGACTGGGGACCCCTGCTCTAGACAGACTCATAGGACATGTGTGTCATAGGACACGGCATTGGGAGAGCACCCGAGACTCGGGAACGTGCTGTGGGAGAGGAGCTTCTTTTCACTATGTGGCCTTGAAGGTTTTTGGGATGCTCCATCGTGTGCCTGTATTACCTAATTTTTAAAAATAATGTAATTAGTTTCCAAGACTTCAGAAAAGACAAATAGAGATGGGAGAGGAAAACAAAAGGAGACATCTTAAAGGAAAATAAAAAAGGAGATGAGGAGAGAAGAGCCTCTTGAAATGCTAGGACTCAGCCTTAGGCTTGGTGGTGAGGGTTAGCGGGGACCACTAGAGGCTCCCGAGTGAGGAGCCCTTTCTGAGAGCAGATTTCTGAGGGCACAGAAAGGGAGCCTAGAGGAGGAGGCTGCCACCCTGCCTGGCACAGGGTTCCATGGGATGCCCCCTCCCCATCCTGCATGGGGAGCAGCCCAGGCCTGCCTGGCAGCCATCCAGGGGGCCTGAGCAGGTGGTGGGGGGTGGTGAGAGGTTGGGCAGGTGCTGAGACCAAGGCGCATGGGCATGGCAGGTGGTTGGTGAGGCCCAGGCCACGGGCCATCTTCAGGGGGAGGTGCAGCCCCAGGAGGGAACTCTCTGGCTTGGAGGTAGCTCCCCTGTTGGACACTGACTGTGAGGTACCAGTGGAAGGGAGGGATTTATGCTATGGAGATGACCGAGCCCGGGATCCTAGCCAGTCTCTAATTGGGCCAATGCAAAACTCCGTCCTAGGATTGTTCAGATACTTGGAAGATATGTCTTTGTGTCTTTGGGATGGGTCCCCCACCTGACCCCTATCTCTTCCCCACTCGCCTGCGACTGCCCCCCTCCTGCTGCTGCTGGGCTGAGGGAGGAGGAGAAGCCAATGCGGACAGTGAGGGGCTCTTTCAGCTGCGTTGGCTCAGGCCTGCCACCTAGAGTTTCAGCTCCTTGTGAATTCCAGGCTGCTCTAGGCCTCTGAAACCATTTCAGCCCCAAAGTGAGCCAGGCCAGTAAAATGAGCTTTGTAAAGTTTTGTTGAATTGAATTTGACCACCAAGAGTTGCTTGTGTGTGGCAGCGGGTGGGTCAATTGTGCCTGACTTCCTCAGCTAAAAACAATCTTAGCCTGAGTCCTCTTGGGCTTGGGTCCTAGAAGGCCAGGCGTTCTGGGTCTGCCGGGGAAGGGAGAGGCTTCTAGCGCCCAACGCCACTGGATCCCGCCTTCCTCACATGACGCAGAGGAAACATTCTGGAAGGAGCACCCCACGAAGAGGCCACCAGGGACTGCTACCTCCACCTCCACAAAATCATGCTGAGTAAGCTAGAAACATCATCTGTGCAAGCCCCACGGAATGGTGTTAGAGATATCTGGAGCCTCAGTTCTGAAATGTGGCCCCTGGGCCACAGCAGCTTTACCTGGGGACTCATCAGAATGCATATTCCCAGGCCCACCCTGGACCTACCGAAGACTCCGGGGCATGGCTGGGTGCTCTGTGTTTAACAAGACGTTACTTGCAGGCAATGCTGATGTGTACAGAAATTGAGGCCTGGGCTTCTCCCCTGTGGAGGGGAAAGAGACAGGCAAGTGCAGTCAGAAAGCTTCCTGAGTGGCACTGACTTTCATGCCCAGGCCTGGTGTGTGCCCTCTCACCTCCTATTTTTCAAGCAGAAGCAGGATGCCCCAAGCAGGGAAATATTCTCTCCAGTGTACTGCAGCCAGCTTGCAGTAGGCAGAAATCAGAGCTCACGGTTCCTAATTCCTATTCAGTTGCTGAAGTTGTATAAATGAAAAAGAGGAGGCCAAGTGGCAGGGCAGCAGATTCAGGGAAGGTACAGATTAAAATTTTGGGAACTAATAACTCACTTAGCTGACTCATGGAGCCAAGATAGCCTTCCCTGCCACAGCCCTGGGGCTGCATGAGATCAGCTGGAATAACTGTCCTGCTGGTGTTGGGGGAGGGGTGAAGCCCTCTGTGTGGGGACAAGCAGTGACCAGGAAGGGAGGGGTGGGGGGCAGGTCAACAGCAGGCATGCCCTGATGTGGGGACCTTACCGTGTGGGTGGAGGGCAGCTGAGCGCCAGGTCCATCTCAGCTGCTAGAGAGCCTGGCAAATCCTCACAAATGGCCTCGCTCTGGGCTGCACCCAGCATTGTAGGAGCGGCAGGGACAGCTGGGAATTGCACTTCCTTCCCAGCACTGGCACCAGAGGAGCTGGCCTGGGGCACCTGTCAAGGGGATCAACATTTGGAGGCTTGTGTTATAATGGGAGCCAAGCTAGAAACAGAAAAAAACTCACCTAGGAACGGGGCCTGGGAGTGGGGGTGGGGGTGTGCAGGATTAATTTAATTAAGCCCTGCTTTGGGGACCAGGCTAAATTTAGTAGCTGCTTCGGCTGCTGGTTCAACGCCTTTCCCACAACTCCCTCCCATCTGCCCATTGTGCCTTCCGCAGGTGATTAATTTCAAATTCCAGGCTGGCATGTGCACACGCACCTGCTGATTGCCTAGTCCCCTCTCCAAGCCTCTGCTAATGTGCTCTCCGGGCTCCCAGGGGAAGGTGCATGCTGAACCACGCCAGCAGCTTGCTTGCCCTTCCCCAGGGAGGTAAACACCGCATTCGTGCTAATGACTCCCACGGTGGCCATAGCAGGCCCAGGCCCAAGCTCCAGCACCTCACCCAAGAAACACGGCCACAGCGGGCCTGATCTCCAGCTTGTTCATTTCATTGTTCTAGGTGAAGTTTAAACAAAAGGTTGAAAGGCTGGGCATCGTGGCTCATGCTGGTAATACCAGCACTTTGAGAGGCTTAGGCTGGAGGATTGCTTGAGGCCAGGAATTTGAGACCAGCCTGGCCAATATAGCAAGACCCTGTCTTTATTTATATTTTTTTTTCTTAAAGGTTGAAAAGTGTGCTAATGTTCTGGACCGAAGTGACTGAGACTACTAGAGTTTAAGCCTGTGCCTCATAGGGATGAGGGGAGAGGATTCTCTTACCCCCATTTTTGGTCCAGTTCTACACTCTTCTTCTTTGATGATTTATACTTGGTCTGTTCAGTCTTTGGACTGCTTTTATTCTAATTACCATCGCGCCTATTTGGGGAGCCATTTTGAAGTTTATTAGTATCTCCCCCAGATTTAAATTGTGTCAAAAAGAGAAGGGAATTGGGTGGGAGATGCTGCAAACAATACTAAGTGCCAGACGATGATTTATGGGTGCCGTGGCCTGAATGTTTAAACGTTTATGTCCCCTCAAAATTCCTATGTTGAAACCCTAATTCCTAATGTGATGATATTTGGGGATGGAGCATTTGAGAGGTGAATAGAGTCAGATGAGGTCATTAGGGTAGGGTGCTCATGAATGTTCTTGTAAAAAGAGGAACAGACTGGAGACATCTCTTTGTGTGCATGCAGTGAGGAAGGCCAAGTGAGGACATGAGCAGTAACGGAAATCAGCCAGCAGCTTGATCCTGGGCTTCCCAGCCTTCAGAACTGGGAGCAATACATTTCTAGTTTTGAAGCCACCCAGTCTATGGTATTTTTGTTATGGCAGCCCACACGGACTAAGACAGTGGTTTAGAGCACTTGTTTATCAAATGTTTGTTGAGTATTTCTGGTGGGCCGGACATTGTGCCAATGCAGAAGCTGTAATGCTGAGTGAGACACAGTTCCTGTCTCAAGGAGCTGATATTCTAAGGGAGTGAGAGATAAGCAAAGCTGACCATGGCAGGGGTGGGGGTGTCACCACAGTGCTTGCCACCGAGTGAGGGCTCAATGAATAGCAGCAGCAGTAATAGTAGTAGATTTCAATGCTTTATGCTGGGAGCTGGGCTCAATGGGTGAGAGCATGAAGGAGCTTTCTTTTTCTCACCTTGCTGTTTTCCATACCACTCCATGGACTCCTTTCCAGCTCCTGAATCAAATCTAGCTTTTCTTGTCATACCCAGGTATTGAGGAATGGCTTTGTTTTTAGGTATTGAAAGTCTAGCCCAGTTTAAAGCTTGATCCTCAGTCTTTCATCCAGTTTTCAGTTTCTGCCTCCTTCTCCACCCCAGGTCCCTGCCCAGGTTGGCTACCTGCAGCAGACGAGCATGAGGCATAGACAGCATCTCTTCTCTCTGCTTGCCCCTGTCCTTCTCTCTTGCCAGCTGCTGCTTCTGGCCTCTCCAGGGACAGGCGCAGGAGGAGGGAGTTAGTGGTCCAGTGCTTTAGTGGGTCTGGACACCTTGGAGGTCAGAGAGGCCATGAGTCATAGTGAAAAGCTCTGGAGTCACACAGGCCTAAGCTCGAACCTCACTCTATCCTTAGTAGTGGTAGGACTTTGGGGAAGTGGCTTAACTTCTTGGTTCCTCAGTTGTGCCCACTGTAGAATGGAATGGAATGATAGCACTTGCTTTAACGAGGAATTATGGACATTCTTGATAATGTATGTACAGTGCCAAGATGTAAGTACTTAACAGATCGTAGCAATTTTTTTTTTTTGAGATGGAGTCTCCCTCTGTCACCCAGGCTGGAGTGCAGTGGCGCCATCTCAGCTCACTGCAACCTCCGCCTCCCAGGTTCAAGTGATTCTCCTGCCTCAGCCTCCCAAGTAGCAGGAATTACAGGCACCCACCACCACGCCCAGCTAATATTTGTATTTATAGTAAAGACGGGGTTTCACCATGTTGGCCAGGCTGGCCTCAAACTCCTGACCTCAGGTGATCTGCCTGCCTCAGCCTCCCAAAGTGCTGAGATTACAGGTGTGAGCCACCACGCCCGGCTAATGGTAGCAATTTTTAAGAGGCTGAGTCCCCTATTGGAGTCTCTCCTAGCAGAGATCTGGTGTTCTACATGTTATGAGTTAGCCCTGCCTCCAAACTCCAGAAAGCTTGGCCAATCCCCCTAACTGCTGTGTTCACTTCCCACCCAACCCCTGCCACCATCACCATGGTGACAGCACTCTTTGGTCAAGAGCACTGGAAAATGACTGCAGTGACCATAATGGCTGTGGCTATAGATTGGTGCAATCTTTTGATTAATTACAGGTCTAGGAATATGAATGATTTTAAAGCACTTTCCAAATTCGCAGTGCCACATCAACACTAAGATGGTTTTCATAACAACCGAGTCCTGGGCTGCCTGTCCCGGTGGATACGCAGGCCTGGGCTCCCTGTGGGTTTCAAGAGCGTGGCTCTCAGGTAGGTTTCTCCTTTGCTGCTTTGCTCCTTTGCTGTTGCCACCTTACCACCTTGGAGTTTCCCTTGGATTTTAATCCCCCAAGGGAGGAAACACCTTTATGGAATAGTTTTTGTTGCTGCTTTGTTGAATCCAGGCCAGCTAGGTAGAGGAAGATTCGGCTGTCATTCCTTTTATATCCCCAGAGGTAGTTCTCAAACATCCCCCCTCACCACCACCCTCCCTGAGTTTGTGGAACCACAAACTCAAGATGAGAGGCCTGGGATGGGAAGCCCATTGCCATAAATGTTTGGCTGCTTCATGGCTAAAGGCTGCTGAGAAGCTGCTCACAAGTGAGATGCTCTTCAGCCAGCCCTCTACTTATAGTGGTGGTGCATTCTTACCAAGATGCCAGTGCATTTGAAGGATGATGTCCCCAAAGCAGAAGGTTCTGTGGTACCTAAGATGGAGTTGGGGCTAGGGTGATGATACCAGGCACCCAACTCTTTTCACTTTCCAAACTTTTAAATATGACTTGAGGAGCCTCTCATTTTATAGAGCCTAGAGAATGTTCTTTCCACAAATCCTAGCAAGAGATTACTACTTCATATATTGGCTTGGGGCCAGGAATTTTGACTTTCGTTCACTGTCTCCGCAGCACATAACACCTATGTGGAAGAGGAGGAGGGCACTCTTGGACTAGGGAGGTGGCAGGAGGGGTGGCTTTCCGCGGGCTGTCCTGGCTACAGCCACCTAAGCATAGTGGGAGGGTGTCTGGGCAGCCAAATCTTCCCAAAGTGAGATGGCGAGGCCTTGCCAGGAAGAGGATGCAGGCCCAGGGGACGGGCGCCTGCGGCACAGAGCTGACTAATGGTCCAACTCCAACAATAGATCCTGTTGTCTGCCCAGGGAAGGAAGCACAGTCTGTCCCCAACCCCCACACTCTTAATGACCCTCAAAAACACCACAGGGGAGCAGTTCTGCTTAGCTCCCCAGGATAATTAGGGTCTACCCTGCAGCAAGCGAATCAAAGAGCAGGGCACGCCTGCCCCTGGCACTGCAGCTACCTGACTGGAAGGCTGCAAACCTCTTCACCTTACAGAAGCCATTGCCCACCCTCTCCCCGCACAGAGTCCTGCTACCCCTCAGTAGCTTTGGCGGCCCTGAAAGGGAGCCCTTCTAGTACGGCTGGGACTGGGACTGAGAAGGAGGTGGGACTGAGGCTGGGGCACTTTGGCTTTTGGACCTTGGAGTCCTGGCTGGACCTAACAGCCCCAGCCAGAAGCTACAGGCATGGCCTGGAGTAACAGGAGCCATCCATGGTCCTGTGGGTGCTTTAAGTCTCCTTCCTTCCCTTTGTAAAAAATATCAGTAGCTATCATTTATTGAGCGTGTACGAGGTGCTAAATGCTCTGAATTAATTATCTCTTTGAAAGTACACAAGAACCCTATAAAGAAGGTGCTAGCATAACTACTGTAATCTCCATTTTAACAAGTGTGGAAACTGAGCCTTAGCAAGACTGGGGACCAAAGCACTTAAAGCACCTATCCATATTGCTACATAGATATCAAATTCGTTTATTTTCACTGCTATATTGTATTTCATTGTGTGAGAATCCACGTTGTATCTGTCTCGGATGGTAACTGCTATCATGACTAACATGCACCCTTCTAGGACTTTTCAGAGTGCAGAGTGCTAACCGTTACACCATGGAACCATCACCTTCTAGGACTTTTCTATGCTCAGACATGTACCTGGGCGCATATAGGACCCAAAGGTCCATGTCTGTGTGTGGTTGTATGTGCCCTAGATTGTAAAATCCATGGGGGTACAAATTATTTTTATCTTTTGACCCCTGTTGTATCCCCAGCACTTAAGCATGCCTGGCACATAATAATAAATACATAATTGTGTATTTACATATATATTCATTCAATACATAATAAATATATTATAATAAATATATATTGAATGAATATATATGTAAATACACAATTATGTTTTGTGGTGTTAAAAAAATCATACCGTGTTTATTTTTCGTAGATGTTTGGTTTTCTTTGCTTAACCTAATTCCTTTCCATGTCAGTACATATAGATCTGTCTCATTATTTTTCATTGCTACATAATATTCCACAGATCATCCAACCATTCTCTTGCTGATGGGCATTTAGATTGTGTCTGATTCTTTTGTGTTACAACTCTGAGATTAATGTCTTTGAACTTGTCTCCTGGAGCATAAGTGTGAGAGACTAGATGTGAATAACATGCCTAAAAGTGAATTTGCTAGGTCTTAGAAAACATGCTATTATTATTATTATTTAGTTTGATATTGTCCAATTACTCTCCAAAGATTTAAAAAGCTCATTTACACTCCTGGAAGGAGTGTGTGAGCAGTCCCATTTAGCCAATCAATGCCCGATCCTGTCTGGCGATGGGAAGTGGTTTCGCGTTGTGCATAGCCTTGCATTTCCCTGATTGGTCACTGAAGTTCAGTCAACAATTTTTACTTTTTGAGTTCAATAAATGTATATTCTTCTAGTTCTAAATATCTATTTTTGAAAGTATTTTATTAGGGTTTTTGCAGGTGTATAATAATATAATTGGTTTTTATACTGATCTTTGTCTTAGTCTATTCAGGCTGCTGTAACAAAGTACCATAAACTAGGTAGTTTATAAACAATAAAAATTTATTTCTCACACTTCTGGAGGCTGGGAAGTTTAAGATCAAGGTACCAGCAGATTCGATGTCTGGTGAGGGCTTTCTGGTTCAGAGACAGCTCCTTCTCACTTTGTCCTCACAGAGTGGAAGAAGCCACTAAATCCCCTCTGGCCTCTTCTGTTTTTTAATTTACATTTATTTATTTAGAGACGGAGTTTCACTCTTGTTGCCTAGGCTGGAGTGTAATGGTGTGATCTCGGCTCACTGCAACCTCCACCTCCCAGGTTCAAGCAATTCTCCTGCCTCAGCCTCCCAAGTAGCTGGGATTACAAGTGTCCACAACCATGCCCAGCTTTTTTTTTTTTTTTTGTACTTTTAGTAGAGATGGTATTTCACCATGTTGGCCAGGCTGGTCCCGAACTCCTGGCCTCAGGTGATCCACCCGGTTTGGCCTCCCAAAGTGGGGGATTACAGGCGTGAGCCACGGTGCCCAGCCCTCTGAGCAGTTTAATAAGGGAATTCATCTCATTCATGAAGGTTGTGCCTCCATGACCTAATCACTTCCCAAAGTCCCCACCTTCTTACACAATTACCTTGGGGGCTAGGATTTCACCAGATGAATTGTGAAGGGACATAAACATTCAGTCCACTGTAATATTATAACTAGCAATCTTTGTATTCTTATAAATTCTAACACATTGCTATACATTCTTTTAGATCTTTGTAGATTATATCAAATTCAAATAATGTCAGTTTCATTTCTTCCTTTCCAATTTTTATGTTCTTTATTTCTTTTTGCCTTAATGTACTGGCTAAGGATATCCATTACAGAGTAGAGTAGCAGAGATGGTGGACAGCCTTGTGCTGTTCCTGATGTTAAAGAGAATGCTTCCAGTGCATCACTGTTAAGTTTCATAGTAGCTGCAGTAGTAGATGGCCTTATCAAGTCAGGGAAGTTCCATTCAGTTCTTAGTTTGCTAGGAGCTTAATCAGGAATAACAGTTACACATTTTATCAGGTGTCTCCCTTACCCTCTTATAAGATGACTATATGATTAGTCTCTTTTAATTCTTTATGGTGGTGAATTGCACTGGCAGATTTTCTAATGTTAAGCCATTTTTTTCCAATTCCATAGAAAAATTCAACCTGATAATGGTATATATTTTAAATATATTTTTGTATTTGGTTTATCAATTATTTATCAGCCATTTTTGCATCTTTATTCATGAATGAGATTGGCCTGTAATTTTCCTTCTTGAGACTTCACTGGCTTGAAGTCTTTATTCACCTTACAAAATGGGTTACAAAGTAGTCTTTCATTTTTTATGCTCTAGGAAGATTATATATAAGATAAAATGGTTTACTCATTCCATGTCTGATAGAACTTTCCTGTGAAACCATTTGGGCCTCTTGTTTTCACTGTGAAATGATTTTTAAATTACTGATTCAGTGTATTTAATGATTGGAAGACTCTTCAGATTTTCTATTTGTCTTAGAGTTCACTTTTACAAATTATATTCTTCCAGGAATTTGTCCATTTTATTTAAGTTTTCTAACAAATTGGCATAAAGTTAATAAAGCATATAAAAATATTTTGGCATGAAGTTTGATAGAAATTATTTTCATTATCATTCAGTACTAAGTATTTGTAAACATCTATTATGATTTTTGTCTCTGATTGGTGTTTTTAATTTTACAAATATAACTTGTTTCTCTTTGTTTTCTTAGTTACCGTTTGTTACTGATTTCAAATTTAATTACACTAAGATCAGAGAACATGGACTGTTTTACTCTTTGGAGTTATCCGAAACTGCTCTATATCTTCTGGTCAGTTTTTTTTGTTTTTGTTTGTTTGTTTGTTTGTTTTTCCTGCAACCTTTGCCTTCTGGGCTCAAGCAATCTCCTACCTCAGCCTCCTGAGTAGTTTGGACTACAGGTGTGCGCCACCATGCCCAGCTAATTTTTGTATTTTTTGTCAAGAGGGGGGTTTGCCGTGTTGCCCAGGCTGGTCTCAAACTCCTGAGCTCAAGTGATCCCCCTGCCTTAGCCTCCCAAAGTACTGGGATTACAGGCATGAGCCACCGTGCCTGGCCTCTTCTGGTCAGTTTTAAAACTTGTTCTGTTATCTAATTTGAGGTGCAAGGCTGGTGTTAAACACACTAGTTATTCAAAGCCCAAAATTTAAAACATATCCTTGCTTATTGTATCTGTTTGACAAGAGTTTCTAAATTTTCCACCCTAATACTGTGTTGGCCCATTTCTCTTTGTATTTTTATCAACTTTTTCTTAACATATTTTGAGGCTATTTTATTATGAACATATTTAGAATTATTATATTAATATATTTTCCTGGTGAGTTAAATATTGCATCAAGTAGTAATCTGTCCATATTTTAGAAATACTTTCATTGATATCCTTATGAGTGGTGCTGTCTCTCACTTTCAATTGATGTGATGATGTTTTCCTTTACTCTCATTCTTAAAAGATGATTTTTCTGAGTTATCAATTATTTCTGTACTTTCAAAATATTTTCTATTTTTATCCCATTGTTTTATTTCTAGTTACCATGATGATTCCAGCTGACAAAGAACTAATACACACACACACACACACACACACACACACACACGCACACCTCTTCTCTGACAAAGATGACTAGGATAACAACAATTATACCCTGATAAAATGATATTTTGAGGCTGGGCTTCAAACCAAGAGAAGGATATTGTCAGTTGCCTGAAAAGAAGAGGGACTAAAAGTCTGAGCATAGTGGGAGCTTAGGCCAAAGGCCTCACATGTATGGGGACCTGAAAAAATGAATGTAGTCTGAGGTTCTAAATCCCTCAAGGGGAAGGGAGCTCATGTGTGGGTTTCCTGTGTTTGGGAAGCCAATGGCATTATTCTAGGAGTCATGCAGGGCACATTCTTCTATAAAATGAGAACCATAGACACTCTAGTCATCAGCCCAGAGAATTCACAAGGAAGCACCATCTTCCAAGGACCAGGAGCAACAAACAAACAAAAACAAAAATAAAAAAAATTGCCCTTGAAAAAATGGAACCCCAAGCTGATGTCATAACCAAAACAGATAAAACTCTCCATTAAAGGCAGAAACTTTTGTTGAAAAAAAATGTTTTAGGGCACAAGATCCAGGTATATGCCGTTTGTAAGAATCACATACACAATTTAATGACAGAAAAAGATGAAAGCTGGCTTGGCATAATGGCTCATGCCTGTAATCCCAGCACTTTGAGAGGACGAGGCAGGAGGATTGCTTGAGCCCAAGAGCTCAAGACTAGCCTGATCAACATAGGGAGACCTCATCTCTACAAAAAAATTGCTAAATAAAATAAAGAAGAAAGAGATGAAAGCCAAGGGTTGGAAGAGAATATGTTATACAGATACCAAAACAAAGCTGGTCTTGCAATACTATTAACAATGTAGAATGTAAGGAGAAAAATATAAATAAACAGGATCATTGCTTAGTGATAAAAGGTACAGTCTGCTAGGACATATAATAATCATGAATCTTTATGTGCCTAACAACATAGCCTCAAAATAAGGGAAGCAGAAATTGAAAGAATTGAAAGGCACAAAAGACAAATCTACAATTACTGTAAGAGATTTTAAACATACCTTTTGTAAACAGACAGGTCAAGGAGATACAAACTAGTAAGACTATAAAAGGTTCAAACAATACAAGTAACAAGCATGAGCCAATGGATCTATATATTACCCTGCACCCTGCAAATGGAAACTACACCTTCTTCTGTGGCATACATTTATAGAAACTAACAATGAACAATACCATTAAAGAAGTCTCAGCAAGTGTCAAATAATCAACATCATGCAGCCCACATTCTCTACCATCATGCAACTAGAATTCAATGATAAAAAGAACTTCCTCTGCCTTTACGCATTAGTCCAGTCTTATAAGATAAAGGCAGTCTTATCCATGCTGGACAAGAGCAAGGCTCAGGAGAGGGTGAGATAACTATAAAACCAAAGGAGGCTGGGGATGATGTTTCTTTCTTCTCTCTCTCTCTCTCTGTTTTTTTTTTTTTTTTTTTTGGAGACCGAGTCTCACTCTGTTTCCTAGGCTGGAGTGCTGTGGTACGATCTTGGCTCACTGCAACCTCTGCCTCCTGGGTTCAAGCAATTCTCGTGCCTCAGCCTCCTGAGTAGTTGGGATTACAGGTGTGTAACACCATACCCAGCTTTTTGTATTTTTAGTAGAGACACGGTTCCGCTATGTTGGCCAGCTTGGTCTCAAGCACCTGTCCTCAAGTAATCCACCCACCTCAGCCTCCCAAAGTGCTGGGATTACGGGTATAAGCCACCACGCCCAGCCGGATGATGTTTCTTAACAGAACTTGAGTACATATTTATGTGCCCCTCCCTCCCTCCCTTTCCCTCTCTCTTTCTTAACAGGGTCTCACTCTGTCACTCAGGCTGGAGTGCAATGGCATGATCATGACTCACTGAAGCCTTGACCTCCTGGGCTCAAGTGATCCTTCCATCTCAGCCTCCCAAGTAGCTGGGATTACAGGCATGCCCTACCGTGCCAGGCTAATTTTTATTTTTGTAGAGACAAGATCTATATTGCTCAAGCTGGTCTCGAACTCAGCAGTCCTCCTGCCTTGGCCTCCCAGAGTGCTGGATTACAGGCATGAGCCACTGTGCCCAGTCCCCTTTTGTTCTTCCCTTTGTTTTTTTGAGACAGAGTCTCTCTTTGTTGCCCAGGCTGAAGTGCAGTGGTGCAATCTCGGCTCATTGCAACCTCTGCCTCCCGGGTTCAAGTGATTCTTGTGTCTCAGCCTCCTGAGTAACTGGGACTATAGGCGTGCACCACTATGCCTGGCAAATTTCTGTATTTTTAGTAGAGATGGGGTTTTGCCATGTTGCCCAGGCTGGTCTTGAACTCCTGACCTCAGGTGATCTGCCCGCCTTTGCCTCCCAAAGTTCTGGGGTTACAAGTGTGAGCCACTGTGCCTGGCCCCCTTTTCTTCTTGATATAAGTGATAACATGATCATGATATTTATACATCTTCAGAGCATGCTCAGCTGAGTCTCCTTTGCAGCTGACTACATCATAGTGAGGTAGGCAGGAGAACTCTTATACTTATTTTACAGGTGAAGGAACTGATAATAGAGGAGCTCACTTGCCAAGGTGCTGAAAAAGTTTCACTGGTAGAACTGAGACTCAAATTCATGTATTTTGACTTCTCATTGGTTGCCTGTACTATTGCATCAGCAATGGGAATAATTCACACTCAACTTCATGTCTGTCTAAATTATGGTTCTGAGAGGAGGCCCTAAGCCATGTGCATTACTACCTCCACTGCCTGGCAATGGAAGATTTTAGTACATGTTTGTTGAATGAATGCCAAGTTAAGTTTTTAATTTCTGCTTGGGTGTTTGCATTTATTTATTTCCAAATAACTGTTCTCATAGTAAAAGTGATGTCTATTCATTGCAGGGAATTTGGAAAAAAACAGAAAATAGAAAGAAGAAATTAAATTTCATATAATCCTCTCATTAAACATTTTATAAAATGCATTTAGTGGCTGCACAATAGGAGTACATTTGCTCAACATTTAGGCTATTTCCAAATTTTCCCTGTTATAAATAATTCTGTGACAAGTACCACTGCACCCTCATTATTTCCTGAAGATAAATTTCTGGGACTGGAATTACTAGGTCAAAGGATATGAAATTTTTTAAGGTTTTGATAAATATTGCCAAATTCCCTTTCTTAAAGCTTTACTAATTTGCATTCCCCAATGTAAGAAAGTATTAATTTATCTGCACCCTCATCAGTTTTTTCCTTTTCCCTTTTTAAACTTCTTATTGAAATATTAGCTACATAGAAAATGTACACATCATAGGCATATTGTTCAATGAATTTTCACACATTGAATATACTCATGAGCCTAGCATCTAAATCATGACATAGAAGATTCTCAGCACCCCATAAGCCATCCTCAGGCCCCATTTCAGTCATTGTCACATTCCTAAGGGTAACCATTGTCCTGACTTTTAACATCATAGCTTAATCTTGCCTGTGTTTGAACTTTATTAACTTTACATAAATCACATAGTATTACCCTTCAGTGTCTGCCTTATTTTACTCAACTTTAGGTTGGGGAATTCATTCATTTTGCTATGTGTAGTTGTAATTTGTACATTCTCATATTTGTATTGCATTTTATTGTGTGACTATACCACAATGTCTGCATCTTATTGTAGGTGGGCATTTAGATAATTCCTAGGTGGGGACTATTAAAACCAATGCTACATTCTTGTACCTGTCTCCTGGTAAATTATTGTAAACATTTGTGTTAGCTATATATACCTGGAACTGGAATTGCCAGGTCATAACACTAAATTTTTTTTTTATTATTATACTTTAAGTTTTAGGGTATATGTGCACAATGTGCAGGTTAGTTACATATGTATACATGTGCCATGTTGGTTTGCTGCACCCATTAACTCGTCATTTAGCATTAGGTATATCTCCTAATGCTATCCCTCCCCCCTCCCCCCACCCCACAACAGGCCCCAGAGTGTGATGTTCCCCTTCCTGTGTCCATGTGTTCTCATTGTTCAATTCCCACCTATGAGTGAGAATATGCGGTGTTTGGTTTTTTGTTCTTGCGATAGTTTACTGAGAATGATGGTTTCCAATTTCATCCATGTCCCTACAGAGGACATGAACTCATCATTTTTTATGGCTGCATAGTATTCCATGGTGTATATGTGCCACATTTTCTTAATCCAATCTATCATTGTTGGACATTTGGGTTGGTTCCAAGTCTTTGCTATTGTGAATAATGCCGCAATAAACATACGTGTGCATGTGTCTTTATAGCAGCATGATTTATAGTCCTTTGGGTATATACCCAGTAATGGGATGGCTGGGTCAAATGCTATTTCTAGTTCTAGATCCCTGAGGAATCGCCACACTGACTTCCACAATGGTTGAACTAGTTTACAGTCCCACCAACAGTGTAAAAGTGTTCCTATTTCTCCACATCCTCTCCAGCACCTGTTGTTTCCTGACTTTTTAATGATTGCCATTCTAACTGGTGTGAGATGGTATCTCCTTGTGGTTTTGATTTGCATTTCTCTGATGGCCAGTGATGGTGAGCATTTTTTCATGTGTTTTTTGGCTGCATAAATGTCTTCTTTTGAGAAGTGTCTGTTCATATCCTTCACCCACTTGTTGATGGGGTTGTTAGTTGTTTTCTTGTAAATTTGTTTGAGTTCATTGTAGATTCTGGATATTAGCCCTTTGTCAGATGAGTAGGTTGCAAAAATTTTCTCCCATTTTGTAGGTTGCCTGTTCACTCTGATAGTAGTTTCTTTTGCTATGCAGAAGCTCTTTAGTTGAATTAGATCCCATTTGTCAATTTTGGCTTTTGTTGCCATTGCTTTTGGTGTTTTAGACATGAAGTCCTTGCCCATGCCTATGTCCTGAATGGTAATGCCTAGGTTTTCTTCTAGGGTTTTTATGGTTTTAGGTCTAATGTTTAAGTCTTTAATCCATCTTGAATTAATTTTTGTATGAGGTTTAAGGAAGGGATCCAGTTTCAGCTTTCTCCATATGGCTAGCCAGTTTTCCCAGCACCATTTATTAAATAGGGACTCCTTTCCCCATTGCTTGTTTTTCTCAGGTTTGTCAAAGATTTTAATTAAAAAAAAATTACAGCCAGACATGGTGGCTCACGCCTGTAATCCCAGCACTTTGGGAGGCTGAGATGGGTGAATCACCCGAGGTCAGGGGTTCGAGACCAGTCTGGCCAACATGGCGAAACCCCGTCTCTATTAAAAATACAAAAATTAGCTGGGCATGGTGGCAGGCACCTGTAGTTCCAGCTACTTGGGAGGCTGAGCCAGGAGAATGACTTGAACCCAAGAGGCAGAGGTTGCAGTGAGCGAAGATCACACCACTGCACTCTAGCCTGGATGACAGAACAAGACTCTGTCTCAAAAAAAAAAAAAAAAAAAAAAAGAGAGAGAAAAAAATTACCTAGGAAAGCTGGTGCTTAAATCAAGGAATAATAGCTAGTCGAGGATTTTGGACCAGTTGGCTACTGAGTGTTAGTTGGGACCTGGGTCCTTTCCCTAGATTTCTCAAGTCATGCCTTGCTGGGGACTCTGGCTCCGTAGGTGTGTAACCATGAGAATATATAGACCCTTGTGTCTAGGATTTATGTCTAGAGATGGAGACATTCTCAAATATGGTCAGAGTTGGGGGTGTGGCTAGTCACAGGGTTGTGCAGATGACTGTGAGCAGGGATTTAGGGGTTCCTCTGTGGGCACCTTTTGTTCTGGGTGTGTTGATACGGGTTGGGGCAGATTGTGTAGGGCTTGAGAAGCCAGGCCAGGATGTTGGGGAGTTTATTCTGTTAGTGGTGGATTGCCATTGAAGGCTTTTGAGCAGGTTAGTGCCTTCAGGGAAGCAATGTTTTTAGAAACACCAATGGGAATGGAGCCCAAATCCAATGAATGATGGATGCAGTGGCCCTGACATAAGAACTTGGGAGTCCAGGGAGGGGTCGAGGAGTGCCCTCAGTTATGGGTGAAGTCTCGGGAGTCGGTGAAACCCTCAGGCTGCAGTGTGCTCCCACTTTCTCCAGCCTCCATGGTACCTTTCCTGCCCACTCCTCCTTCTCTGACAAGCTGGCTCCACTCAGCACCCTCCAATACATGCTCCTTGGCTGTGCTCCTGCCTACAGCACTGACCACACCGTATTCTAATTGTAGGGTGAGTTCCTTGGGGCAAGAACCAAATGTGTCTTATTTACCATTCTGTCTCTAGCACCTTGCACAGTGCCTGGCACATAGTAGATGCTCAATAAAAATTTGTGGAATGATGAATATTCTTTTGCATCCTACCTATTTCCTCTCCCTACCAACCCCTTTTGAATGACTCGCATCTGCTCATCTTGGCTCTTATCCACTGCGTTGTGATTTCCTTCATCCCCTTTCTTCAAGGCTCTTAAATCCTGCATACAGATGAAGATGTCAAGGCAAACTCAGTGCAGAGGCAGGTTCAGTGCTTCCCCTGCTCTCTGCTTCTGTGAATGTGGGGCTGATGTGTAGCCTGGACAGCCTGGGGCTCAAGAAGCTTGCTTTGCGCAGCTCCCACCAGTGAGGCTTCAGTGGGGGAGCTGCCTGAGGCTTAAGACTGGGGGTGCCTTCATTTTAGTATCAGCCAAGTGCAGGCCATTTTGGGGAGGTTGTCCCTTGTCTGACTCCTACCTTGCAAAAGGCAGGCTGTGCTAATATCAGAAGACAGAACCACCACCCCAGGCCCCGTGCAGTCCTTTGTGTTCATTTTGTTTGGGTGGATATTTCCCCACTGGAGTTTGGACATGATTCATGGTGATAAAGGCTGCCACATCTTACTGGATCTGCCTAAAGCCAAATGTGAGGGGATGCCAGACTTGCCTGAAGCTTTGTGTGAATAAGCATGGCCTCTTTTGCCTCCCCTTTTTTTTGCCATGTTGACCACGAAATGACTGCAGGGAGGCAGGGAACCTGGAGCATCCAGGCTGGTGGATCTGCCAGCCTGTCACTTCAGACTGGAAAGAGACCAAGGCCTGTAAGTACTGGATGTCAGGGCATTCCGTTTTAATGGTGGAGCAGGAGCAGTTTTCTCACAGAACAGTCAGGGGTCTGTGTTCTGAGGAGTGGGGGTGCCGGGGGGACCGTCTCCATGGTGCTGCCCTCTGGGCCCTGGGGTGAGCTGGTTCCATGGACTTTTTCCTTCTAAGTATGTGTGACAAAGGTGTGACAGTGTGCCCAGCATACCAGTTCCCCTGCCAGGCAGTTTAAGGGCTTTGTCTGTCTCAAATTAATTTTCACTGTCTCCAGCAAGATTCTCCAATTGATGAATTAAAAAAAAAAAAAACAAGAAAGCAAAACAACACAGAAAAATCCAGAAACAAAATCAAAACACAAACCCATTGCAGTCCCTGAGGGGACAGCCTGTGAGGAGCTGGTTGACAGCAGAGAGCAGTTAGGCGGTGTTTCGGTTGTTTATTGCCACGTGGCAAACCAGCCCTAAATATACTGGCTTAAAGCAACTATTTGCTCATGATCATATAGGTCAGAATTTGAGGAGGATGGCTGGACGCGGTGGCTCATGCCTGTAATCCCAGCACTTTGGGAGGCTGAGGCAGGTGGATCATGAGGTCAGGAGTTCGAGACCAGCCTGGCCAATGTGGTGAAACCCTGTCTCTACTAAAAATACAAAAATTAGCTGGGCATGGTGGTGGGCATCTGTAATCCCAGCTACTCAGGAGGCTGGAGAATTATTTGAACCCAGGAGGCGGAGGTTGCAGTGAGCCAAGATCGCACCATTGCATTCCAGCCTGGATGACAGGGCAAGACTGTCTCAAAAAAAAAAAAGAAAAAAAAGAATTTGGGGAGGATTCTGTGGAGACAGCTTTTCTCTCTTCTACTTGGGTTACTCAACTGGGGATAGACGATCCAAGATGGTGCCACTCCCATGTCTGGGGCCTTGGAGATGCTCTTGACTGGGAACCTCAGTCCTTCTGAACATGGCCTAGTCCTCTCTGCATGGCCCCTCATTCTCTGGGGCCTCTTTCTCCTGTGGCTTCTCTCTGTAGCAGAACAGCCTGATTTCTTTGCATGTGGCAGGAACCTGCCTCTGCAAAGTGGAAGCTGCAAGATCACGTCAAGCCCAGAAGGTCATTGGTGCCACATTCTGTTGGTCAGAACAAACCTCATGGCCAGTCCAGATTCAGGGGGAGGGAAACATAACCCACCTTTTGATAGGAGATTGCTGTGGCTGTCTTTGGAAATAGTCTATCACAGGAAATAATCCGTCACCTCCATTGCTGGTTTTCTTCTCACCATTGTCACCTCTGAGCCTGTCCCTCTTTACCTCACCCTACTCCCACTCCAATCCCTCCTCCCCCTTGCATCCTCAAAGAGAGGGGCTGCTACCTGCTATCTGGCGCAAAGGAAGGGGGTCGATTTAAAAAAAAAAAAGCTCATGTGGTATTTTTGTGGCTATAGATGATGAATCCTAGAACTCTGTTGTTCCTTATAAACCACTATGTTTGTCTACAAATTTAGCACTCGAGGGAATGTTTTGTGATTTCTGTTGTGGGAGCCTCCAGCGTGACTGTGAAGCCGGCTGAACCCAAGTGCCCGTTTCCCACATTTTGGTGTGTCCTCACCAGCCGGGGTTGCCCTTCATGATGCAGCCATAAAATGTGCACCTTGCACATGGTTAAGCAGCGTATTAGTTGTTCTAGCCTTCCTTAGAATAGCTGTGAAGTTTAAATTCTCAAAATCTAAGTGAAATAGCTATTTATTTTGCACTTTTATTTGGGACAGAAAATCCTAGAGAAAGCTTAGGACTGGTGTGAGATGGTATCTCATAGTGGTTTTGATTTGCATTTCTCTGATGGCCAGTGATGATGAGCATTTTTTCATGTGTTTTTTGGCTGCATAAATGTCTTCTTTTGAGAAGTGTCTGTTCATGTCCTTCGCCCACTTTTTGATGGGGTTGTTTGTTTTTTTCTTGTAAATTTGTTTGAGTTCATTGTAGATTCTGGATATTAGCCCTTTGTCAGATGAGTAGGTTGCGAAAATTTTCTCCCATTTTGTAGGTTGCCTGTTCACTCTGATGGTAGTTTCTTTTGCTGTGCAGAAGCTCTTTAGTTTAATTAGATCCCATTTGTCAATTTTGGCTTTTGTTGCCATTGCTTTTGGTGTTTTGGACATGAAGTCCTTGCCCATGCCTATGTCCTGAATGGTAATGCCTAGGTTTTCTTCTAGGGTTTTTATGGTTTTAGGTCTAACGTTTAAATCCATCTCACACCAGTTAGAATGGCAATCATTAAAAAGTCAGGAAACAACAGGTGCTGGAGAGGATGTGGAGAAATAGGAACACTTTTACACTGTTGGTGGGACTGTAAACTAGTTCAACCATTGTGGAAGTCAGTGTGGCGATTCCTCAGGGATCTAGAACTAGAAATACCATTTGACCCAGCCATCCCATTACTGGGTATATACCCAAATGACTATAAATCATGCTGCTATAAAGACACATGCACACGTATGTTTATTGCGGCATTATTCACAATAGCAAAGACTTGGAACCAACCCAAATGTCCAACAATGATAGACTGGATTAAGAAAATGTGGCACATATACACCATGGAATACTATGCAGCCATAAAAAATGATGAGTTCATGTCCTTTGTAGGGACATGGATGAAATTGGAAACCATCATTCTCAGTAAACTATCGCAAGAACAAAAAACCAAACACCGCATATTCTCACTCATAGGTGGGAATTGAACAATGAGATCACATGGACACAGGAAGGGGAACATCACACTCTGGGGCCTGTTGTGGGGTGGGGGGAGGGGGGAGGGATAGCATTGGGAGATATACCTAATGCTAGATGACGAGTTAGTGGGTGCAGTGCACCAGCATGGCATATGTATACATATGTATCTAACCTGCACAATGTGCACATGTACCCTAAAACTTAAAGTATAATAAATAAATAAATAAAAAAGACTTAGAAAAAAAAAAAAAGAGAGAAAGCTTAGGACATACCTGCAGCCCAGTTATAGCTATTTACAGAGCTGGAAAACAAGAAAATGAGAAGAGGAATGAAGAGGGTTGTTTTTCATGAGGTACTGGAAGAAATTTTACAATAGGAGATCCTGGAGGCCACCTCAGGTTATAAAATCTGAGGCCTTTTTACTGTCTCAATGATCTTTTACCCCATCGCGGTTGCTGCCGTCTTTGTCATCTGCCCTGTCTTCCTCCAGGTCCTCAAATCCCGTCAGCCTTTCTCCCCTCCTCCCTCTGTATCTTGAGTCCATTTCCAGGATCCCATGCCTTCGATGTTTCCAAAAGCAAATTTCCAAAATCAAATTTGCCTTTGGGGAGAAAACAAGTCTGTAGTTGATCGGTTCCTGTTGCTTAATGCCCTCACTGTAATGCTGCTTAGCAGATGATTGGAATTTAAAGAGCTTCTGTTTTTCATTGATTTTAAATGGGGTGTCATTAAGAGCTGAGAGAAGAAAGATGAGGCTTACCAAGGTGCACTTCAGAACTGTTCTGTGCCCTTTACCCTCTTCCTGGAAGATGATGCGAAGCAGTTGTTTCAGGTCCCTTAATGCTACAAAAATACAAGTGCAGGGGAAAAGTATTACATGCACATTGTTTCTCTTTGCATACTTAAAGTAGTGTGGATTGAGGGTCAGGAGACCTGAGTATGGTAATCCACCTCTGCCAAAAGTGAACCCTGTGATTTAGGGCAAGTCGCTCTCTGGGGCATCTCTCAGTCGGGGATCTGGACTCAATTCAATCTATCAGACTCTGGGCCGGGCACTGTACTGGGCATTGGGAGTAAAGACTGAGCTAGGCTGTGTCCTGCCCACAAGGAACTCAATGTAACAAATGATCTCTGAGGTTCTATGATAATTGAAATTCGCTGACAGATGCATGTCCCAATCCTAGGCATAGGAACGCAGCAGCGCTGGCTTCTGCAGAGGGAAAAACCACTTCGATGATAGTCTGCTGCCTTCTAGTAAACCATAAGTAGAGGAAGAATCTGGGGCCAGTCATTAGCATGCATATATGTTTTCCCAAGGTTTATTTAGGCAAACAATCTGCCAGTTCAGCTAAGCCGAGTTTGGTATCAAGTAATTCATCAATTAATTTTCCATTGCTAGTGATCAGACCTTTCTTTTAATTAAGTGGTTGTTTTGCTCACTTGTGACTCTTTTCCAGTAATAAGTACTTCGTATAATTAGCAAAAATAACTTTGGCTTCAAGTTGGAGATGACGAAGCCCCCAGAGTAAGTCCCTATGAAAGGAAAGGCCGGTGATTAGCAGCCTGTGACCAGGGCTGGGTGTGTGTTGTAGCGGGAGGGAGGAGGAGTATCGAGGACACCTTTGCAAATAGCTCCTCAGCCAGGCCAAGAGCAGGTGCTCATTGACTTAGCAGACACCCCCGACATGAGAGCCAGGGCCCTGGCCTGCAGATCAGCCTCCTGCCCTTTGCCTTCTTGCCAAAGATTCAATGACTGTGGGAGAGGGACAGTGGCCTGGACCATGCGCTGACAGGAGAATGGAGACAGGTGATGGAACTGAGATGTATTTTACAGCCAGACTTGGCAGAATTTGGTTCCAACAGAACAGAGTGGATGGAGGCTGGAGAGGAAGGGGATGAGTCAGGTGTGACTTCCACATGTTTCTGGATTGAGCTACTGTGTGGATCAATGCAGCATTTATGAAAATAGGGGAGACTGGGAGGAGCGAGTTTGGGAGAAATATAAACAGCTTAGCTTTGGCAGTGCTGAGTTTGAGACACCTGCTGAGTCATCCTGGTAGAGATGGCAGAAACCAGCAGCTGAGTACCACTCTTCTAAGACAGGTTAGGGTGGACATAGTGCTTTTGTGAACCTTTGACCCTAACTTGCTGTCATAATGCTGTCCCCATAAAAAAACAAAACAAGACAAAACAAAAACAACAAGATTCAAGTTCAAAATATCTGATTTAACAAATAAACCATGCAGCACAACTGTTTGGAAGATGGGAAGCAGCTGTCTACATTTATACCGAAGACCTACTGGGGTATTGAGAGGTAGTCTGGAGTAGCAGAAAAAGCATGAGATTAAGGGTCCTAAAAGACTAGTGCTTGGCCCAATTCCATCACACATAATCTTGTGTAACTAGAGCAAAAAGCATCTGATACTTTGCTTACCTCCTTTACACATGTATCATGAAAAAGATGGGTAGAAGTGTTATGGAAAGTATACATGCTATGAACTTTACCAAAATTACCATTTATTCGTATTACAATGTGAGTTTCTCAGTTGGATAGCAATAAAAAAGGGGTAGGTTCTTTCCCTTTTGATAGTTTTAATGTTGTCTTTTGTTAGCAAAATAACACCTTCTTATTGTTTTTTTTAAAAAGGAAAATATAGAAAAAATAAAAAATCACTCATATTTTCACTACTCTAGAAAACCACTTAATATTTTGGCATATTTCTTGTGGGTAATATTTTTGTGGAAGTTTAAAAATTAGAGATTCTTTCAAACATGTAGAAGTGTACAGAGAAATTATGTAACTATTATCCATATACCATGAGCCATAATTAATCAATCTTAACGTTTCTACCTTATTTTATTCTGATCCTTTCCTTTTTTAGAATTGAAAGTAGACACCATTGACTCTCCCTCCACCCTTCCTCTTCCCTTTCAATTATCTTCCCTTTCTTCTAAAATATAATAACTATTATGTAGTTTTTACTAATCTGAATGTAAAATGATATTTCATTGTTGTTTCAAACTTCATTGAGGTAACTAATTTTTTTCCATTTTTGTATACATTTATTAGTCTACTCTTTTCCTACTGATTTATAATGCCAAGTTTTCCATATACCAAGTTTATGTTTATCTATGAGTTTCTTTCTAGGATTGCTATTTTTTTTCTTAATTGTCCATCTCTATGATAATAACATGTAAGTCTTACTGAGTTTTCTAATAAATCTTGATCTGTAATAGAGCAAGTCTCTCCAGCATTTTTTTTCAAAATTATCTTAGCAATTCTTGGCCCTTTATACTTCCATATGAGCTTTATGATCGGTGTCAAGTATGACAACAAACCTTGATGGAAATTTTTAAAAATTGAGATACAATTTACATACCATAAATTTCGCACTTTTAAAGTGTACAATTCAGTGATTTTTAATATATTCACACAGTTCTGCAACCATTAATACTAATTCCAGAATGTTTTCGTCATCTCCAAGAGAAAACCTACACCCATTAACAGTCAGTTCCCATTCCGTGCTTTTCCCAGCCTCTGGAAACCATTAATCTACTTTTGTTTCCATGGATTTGCCTGTCCTCTATGTTTCATATAAATAGAATCATACAATATGTAGCCTTTTGTGTCTGGCTTATTTCACTTAGCATAATGTTTTCAAGATTCATCCATGTCCTAGCATAAATTAGTACCTAATTCATTTTTTATGGCTAAATGACATTCCACTGTTTGGATATACCATATTTTGTTTATCCATCTCTTGGTGGACATTTGGATGTTTCCACTTTTTGATTATTATCAAGAATGCTGCTATGAACATAAGTGTGCAAGTTTTTGTGAGGGCAGATGTTCTCATTCTCTTGGGTCTATACCTAGGAGTGAAATTGCTAGGTCTTTTGGAAACTATACCTTTAACCTTTGAGAAACTCTTCACTCTTTCCCAAAGTGACTGCACCATTTTGCATTCTAGTAAATGTGAAGTGGTAACCTGCAGGCATTTTTATTGAAACTGAATTGGCTTCCAGATTGGTTTTGGGAGATTAGCACCTCAGTATTGAGTCTTCTCTCCATCTGGAATACATCTCTCCCCTTGATCAGATCTTTTATGCCCTTCCTGTCATCTTGCTGGAGAACCAGGGGATCCAAGGGTATAAGTCTCAGAGGCCAAAGGCCAAAGAACCAGAAGCTCTAGTGTCTAAGAACAGGAGAAGATTGCATGTCCCAGCTCAAGCAGAGAGCAAATTCACCCTTCCTGCACCCTTTTGTCCTACTTTGGCCATCAAAGCATTGGATACTGCCTAACCACATTAGAGAGGGTGATCTTCTTTACTCAGTCTACTGATTCAAATGTTAATCTCATCTGGAAGCATCCTTACAGACACACATGACACACCCAGAAGTAATATTTTACCAGCTATCTGGGCATCACTCAGTCCAGTCAAGTTGACACATAAAAAAATTAACCATCATGAGGTGCATCATGAGCAATGATATCATTTGCAACTAATGAGAATGTTGTTTGTTTCCAATTATTACACTTTGTTTATATTGTCTTATTGCACTGGATAGGACTTTGAATTCAGTGATGAATAGTTTAGGTGATAGTGGCATAATTTAGGGTCCTGCATTTAATGAAAATACATCTAAATTTTCATTATTACATTTGATGTTTGTCATTAGTTTTTAATAAATATCTTCATCAAATTAAAGTTATTTTCTATTCCTAATTTACCAAGTTATCGTGACTGAGTATGGAATTTTGTCAAATGCTTTTTCTTCAGCATTTACTAAGATGATCATATTTATTTGTTCTTCTTAATCTGATAATGTGACACATTGTATTAACACATTTTCTGAAGAACATTTTACATTTTTAGCATAAATGGAAAATTGTAGTTGATAAATTGTATCAAATATTTATTTGATACATATATTAAATAAATATAATACCTTATAAATATAATTATATAATATATTTAATAGAAATATATAATATAATATATGCTATATATAAAATACTATATAATATAAATATTTATTTGATTTATGTATCATATACATACAGTTTATTGATATATGTATAAAATAAATATGTATTTGATATATGTATGAAATAAGTGACAAATTGTAGTTGATCATGATGTAATTTTGATGCATTGCTAAATTTGATTTGAGACTTTTAAAAATAGGATTTTTGCCTCTATTGTCATAAGTGAGCCTAGTCAACAACTTTCTTTAATTGTACCCTCTGTGTGACGTTATTAAGGTTATACTAGCCTCATGAAATTATTTTGCCAGTTTTCCTTCTTATTCTATTCTCTGAGACAGTTTGCTTTGGGTAAACATTAACCACTCCATAAAGTTTTGGCAAAGCTTGCTTATGAAGCCTTCTTGGTCTAGTGCCTTTGAGGAGGGAGGTGCAGATTTTTATCAGCTTGGTTTTGTTTGTGGTTACTAATGTATGCAGGTTTTTATTTCTTCTTGAGAAAGTTATGATCATTTATACATATATGTAGTTTTAAAGAAAATTGTGTTCTTCTATCTTGGTTCATAGTTTCTCTTTTGATTTAAGAAATATCTACTGTTTTGTCATGAAATTTCCATTTAAATCCTATTGCTATTTTTTTTTGTCCCATATTACTTTTCCTTTTGTTCAATCTTGCTACAGATTTGTGTTCTATAGAACTAGGTTTAGGGCCGGGCGTGCCAGTAATCGCAGCACTTTGGGAGGCCAAGGTGGGCGGATCGTGAGGTCAAGAGATTGAGACCATCCTGGCCGACATGCTGAAACCACACCTCTACTAAAAATATAAAAATTTTTTTTTTTTTTTTTTTGAGACAGAGTCTCACTCTGTGGCCCAGGCTGGAGTGCAGTGGTGCAATCTTGGCTCACTGCAACCTCTGCCTCCTGGGTTCAAATGATTCTCGTGCCTCAGCCTCCCAAGTAGCTGGGATTACAGGTGCGTGCCACCACACCTGGCTAATTTTTTGTATTTTTTAGCGGGGTTTCACCGTGTTAGCCAGGATGGTCTCGATCACCTGACCTCGAGATCCGCCCACCTGGGCCTCCCAAAGTGCTGGGATTACAGGCATAAGCCACTGCGTCCAGCCATAAAAATACAAAAATTAGCTGGGCATGGTGGCACACGCCTTTAGTCCCAGCTACTCGGGAGGCTGAGGCAGAGGTTGCAGTGAGCTGAGATCGCACCACTGCACTCCAGCCTGGCAACAGAGCGAGACTCCATCTCAAAAAAAAAAAAAAAAAAAAAAAGAAAGAGAGAAAAAGAACTAGGTTTAGGTTTTGGTAATTAGTTTCCTCTTTCATTGATGTATACTCTCATATTTAGTATCTTATCTCTTCTACTTTCTTTGTGTTTATTGTTGTTTTGCTAACTCCTTGAGGTGAACATTTAACTGATTTATATTTATTCCTTCTCTCTCTCTCCCTTGTCTGACACTGATAGTGTTACATCAGTTATCTTGTCATTATTATTTGTCTGGAATGCCTTTTTCCATTACTTTATTTTCAACCTCTTTAGATTATTCTGTTTTTTATGTCGTTGTAACAACATTAGCTGGCTTTTCTTCCCTTTTATTTAATCTGAGAATTTGTCATTTACTAGGTTATTTTAATCCTGTTCTGGACCAAGCTAATGAACCTCCAGTGTGGACTAGAGATCTCTAACAAAGAGGCTCAGAAGGAAATCACCAAGGAATAAAACATTGTCAGAACCATTTGCCGATCAAAGTGACTTCTACCTTTGAGCTGTGGGCTTCCTCCCCTCAGCTCCCAGGAGTCTCCTGAAAATCTTTAAATGTGGTCCCAGGTGTCCCTATAATCTCAGGTATTCTTGTAATTTGAGAGGTTAACATACCTTACAGTGAGTGGTGGATTTCACTTTGAGCATGGTGCTTTCATCTGCCTACGCTATATCAGCACATGAAGGAGAGAAGCTCCTGATGCTGAACCTTCTAAACAGGGGCTTTTTCTTCTCCACCACTTCATCCCCAGCTTCCACTAAGGTGCCTGATTATATGTGCTATGGTCTGACTGTTGATGGCCCCCACAAAATCATGTGTTGAAGCCTAACCTCCAAGGTGATAGTATTAGGAGGTGTGGCTTTTGGACGGTGATTAGGTCTTGAGGGTAGAACCCTTAGGAATATGATTAGTGCTCATATATCAAAGGCCTGAGGGAGCCTGGTACCTCCTTCAGTGATGTGAGGACACAGTGAGAAGGCACCATCTTTGAAACAGAGCAGGCCGGGCATGGCGGCTCACATGTGTAATCCCAGCACTTTGGGAGGCTGAGATGGGTGGATCACTTGAGGCCAGGAGTTTGGGAGCAGCCTGGTCAACAAGACAAAACCCTGCCGATACTAAAAATACAAAAAAAGTTAGCTGGGTGTGGTGGCATGTGCCTGTGGTCCCAGCTACTCAGGAGGCTGAGGCATGAGAATCACTTGAACCTGGGAGGCAGAGGTTGCAGTGAGCCAAGAGTGTACCACTGAACTCCAACCTGGGCAGCAGAGCAAGACCCTGTCTCAAAAAAAAAAAAAAAAAAAAGAAACAGAGCAAGCCCTTACTAGACATCAAATCTGCTGGTGGCTTGATCTTGGACTTCCCAGCTACTAGAACTGTGAGCAATAAATTTCAGTTGCTTACAAATTACCCAGTCTAAGATATTTTATTATAGCATCACAATGGACTAGTATAATATGCATATGTATATAGATGCATAGATAGATATATCTACATTTTTATCTACACCCCACATTTACATGTATATGTCTTGACAAGGATGCTTTCCTTGACAAACTTTAGTGAGGCTCCTCCAAGCCCTCTTCTAGCCTAGGCCTTGACCTTGGCCAGCTGAGCCCAGTTTTAGCAAAGAATCCTGCTAAGCCAGTTTATTGAGAATCCCCCCCACCCTTGATATCTGATTACCCTTGATATCTAATCAAGTTCATCATCCCTCACCCTTGATATCTAAGCCCTCAGCTTGCCTTTAGCAAGACTCCTGTTAAGCCAGTTTAGCAAGAATACCCTGCCCTTGATGTCTAATCAAGTTCTTCTTAGTTATTTCCACCCACTGGCCCCCTCACTTTGCTCCTTGGCTATAAATCCCCAGCTGTCTCTGCTGTATTCAAAGTTGAGCTCAGTTCTGCGCTGAAGTCTCTCTCCCCTAATGTGACAGCTTGCATAAAATTTGTCTTGCCATTTTAAACAAGTGTCTCATGCAAAATTTTCTTTCATAGTCTTCTATGTCTGTATAGTGAATAAATTAATAAATGAATGACATGGGGCTGGAGAAGTGCTTGTAATTATGAAAAGCGTGCCGTTGGACTTTGAAACTCAATGCTTAAACAAGTGCATGGCCTGCTGTTCCCAAAGATTTCACCTCAAACTTGTTCTCATTTGCCTATTGAAAGTATCTGCTAAATATTGTGCTCAGTTGCCAAAACGGCTGATATATCTTGAATGTTGGCCTATGGAGAGTACTTGCAATTCACATCTGTGAGACAGAGACATTTAGAAGCTAGAAATCTACAAGGCCTTTTGTCTTAGTCCATTTGGGCTGCTATCACAGAATACCATAAACTGGGTGACTTAACAACAAAAGACATTAGTTTCTTACAGTTCTAGAGGCTGGGAAGTCCAAGATCAAGGTGCCCGTAGATTTGGTGTCTGGTGAGGGGCTGCACGCTGGCTTACAACCAGCTGTTTATTGCTGTGTTCTCACGTGGTGTAAGGGTCAGGGGAGCTCTCCAGGGGTCTCTTTTATGAAAGTTCTAATCCCATTCAGGAGGGCTCCACCCTCATGACCTAATGACCTCCCAAAGGCTCCACCACCTTCTAACACCATCTCCTTGGAAGTTAGGATATCAACATGTGAGTTTGATGGAGACACGTATTGATGTGTCTTTCAACCTGCAAACCAGAACATGATGTGCTCAGAGGAACCTTGGGGAGAAGCCATGGTGAGTGAGAGTGGGAAGGAGAATTTGGGTTTCCTTTATTCCTCTGGCCTTGGTTACCATATTGATAACAATGAAGACCCAGTCGTGAAAAGACTTTGCTGCCAGACTAAAATGCATTTCCCTTTGTGCAAACTCCAGCTGAGAGTGTGGTGCCAGGCCACTCTTTATCCCTGCCGATTAGTTTTAGTTGAATAGAACTGTTGAGGGGGGCCTTGCTGTCAAGCAGTGAACACATGCCTTATCTGATGCTGGATGAATTGTTGCCAGGGATTGGTCAGTGATGACAGTGGGAAGGCCTGGACAAGAAACAGAAGAGAAAACTTCCTGTCATGTAGTTTCTGTGGTGCTGAGGGGGTATCTGATGAGCAATGGAGGAGGCTGGGCTAGAAGAAGATGACCTTGTGCTTTGATCCAACTTGACCTACAGCAGAAGCTAATCATGAGTCAAAGAGGCAGGTACCAGGGTGTTCACTGCAGCCATATTTGCAACAGTGAAAATGGAAACAAACATCAAATGACCTCAGTGTCTATTAGTAGAGGAATTTTTGAGCTATAGAGTGCTATGTAATCCTTTAAAGGAATGGGGTGGAGCCTACTAGGATGTATGTCCCATTGAAGACCCAATGTCCTTTTATTATAACACATATCTTATAATATTCCTTTTGCTAGCCTGAAATGATACTCATAAATACATGTAAACCTACCTACACATAAAACTAAAAAAAAAAAATCCATTCTATATAGCTACCTGTAACATTAAACAGAAATAAAAGGAAAGTAACTTGTAATAAAATTGTATGTATTTCACTCTATCAGTGCTTAGGCAGGAGTAGACTAGGAGACATAATGAAGTGGCCAGAAGCTTGCCCCTGTGCCTGGAGCCACTGATTTGGTACGGATGCTAGGGGGGTTGTGTGGACAGCTCAGTTGCTGAGAGCAGCACTGCTATTGCAATGAGATTTCTTTTACAATGATGAGTAACTCCTGCTAAAATTATGAACAAAACAAAGTCTGTTTCTCTATAGTGCTAGAATGCAGGTCAAGTCTTGGCTGGGTGAGATTGTGGAGGCATTGCAGGTTATTTGGCACCCTCATTTCCAACATCCGGGGTGTGGTATTGCCTGTGTTAAGAACCTCAGGCTTCTGCCACCTGCTTGTTCTATGGATGAAGAGACTGAAGAGACTGGGGTTAAAGGCCTAATAGGGACCAGAAACCAAGACCCTTGCAATAGTCCTTCTCAGTCGCCTCCTGGATGCCTTCCTCCCTGCCGTGGAGTCAGTGGGAAGAGCATGAGTTGTGGGATCGGAGGCCTGGGTGTTGGTGGGTCCTAGCTCCATCGACCACTTAAACCTCTCTAAGCATTAGCTTTATTTCACTTTAAAATTATTTTTGAATTTTTAAAATTTTGAAACAATCTCAAACTTACAGAAAAGGCACAAATGCAGTACAAGGAGCCTTCCCTCACCCCTGAACCATTTGCGAGTAAATTGCCAAACTGACGCTCCATCATCCCAGAATATTATTTAGTGTGCATTTCCTATAAACGAGAACATTCTGCTATAGAACCACACCACAGCCACCAAAACCAGGAAATTCACACTGATTTGCTGCTGCTTCATAATCCTCAGACCCTCATTACGTTGTGCAAGTGTCTCAATGATGTCGTTTTAGCAAAAGGGCCCAGTGCAGAATCACATGGTACAGCAAGTTGACACGCGTCTTTAGTCTCCTGCAGTCTGTGAGCAGTTTCTCAGTCTTTCCCTGTCTCCCATGGACTGAATGCTATTTTGTTGAATACAGGCCAGTTATTTTGTAAGTGCCCCTCATTTAGGGTTTGTCTGATGTTGGCATGATTAGATTCAAGAGATGCCTCTCTTTGACAGGATGCCATGTCCTTCATATTGTGAGTTTTATTTTCAATGTGACCATAAGAAAAACTGGGCTCTTTTATTGCACTCTGCCCACAGGCCAGCACTGGGCTCAGTGCTTTGCCTGCATGATGTCATTTAGTTCTCCTCTGGGGTATGTTCCGTTACAATCCCTGTTCTAGAGATGAGCAAACTGGCTCAGAGAGCATAAATAACTTGCCCAGCTTAAGCGAAAATCCGAGATGAACCAAGACTTGAACTCCCGTGTTCTAGCTTCAGAATTGCTGAACATATTGACTATTGTCAGAGAAAACCATAGCCAGGCACTAAAGAGATAAAGACAGATTTTAATCAGAAACTATTGCAATAAGAGAAAAGAGACTTCAGGATAGAACTAAGCTCAATCCTAAACACAACAAAGACAATTGGGGACTTACAATCAAAGAGCAGAGTTGCAGGAGCAGAGTTAGAAAATTACTAGTGGAGACATCAAGAGTAGAGGGACTCTTGCCAAACAAACCTAACAGGATTCTTGCCAAAGGCAGGCCAGGTAATTAGATATCAAGGATAGGGTTGATTCTTGCTAAAACCAGGCTTTTCAGTTCTATTAGAGACCTCCCTGGCACCACCAGGACTAGAAGGCAGATCCCTCCTCCTACCCCATCTCCACCCATTGTCTCTCATCCAGACAGGTGGTTCTCACTTCACCGTGACCTTCCCAAGTGGCATAACCATTCTGTCTTTTACTTTCTCATCTGCAGCCAAGGACTTGGGACCCCTGTCCTTCCACTTCGCTTGTGGTCGTGGGGGTTGATTGAGACGACAGATGGAAAAGAGCTTTGCAAAGTGCCCTGTGAAGGTAGAAAATTCTACAGGCTGCCCTTTTGGCTGACTCCCAGGCACAGTCCTTTTGGGGGAGTGTCCACCACATGAACATGTAGTTAGTCACCATTCCCCATGTGAGCAGACCATTTGGTGGGAGCTGGCCGGGTTAGGGGGAGGGTGATGTCAAGGAGGCTGTTGCCATGGTGACTTGGTGGTAGCCCTTCCCAGCCTCCCTTAACCGAACCCCTGCAGCCAGGTTTCCAAAGCACTGCTTTCCAGCACATTGGAAAGCTATTTCCACCTCTCTGAAACCTGGATCGTGTCTGACAGCTGAAACCCAGCCTCTCAGAAGACCCCAGAAGGTCCTTCATCAAGCCAAGCCTGGGGAGTGGGGCTCTGGCTTCCCAGAGTAGGCAGGCAAGCCTAGCTGCATCTGTGAGGATGTGCAGTGACACAGAGCCAGCTGTGGGGAGTGACATGCGGCGAGTGCTCCTTTCTTTGTTTCTCTCTGATTTATCCCAGTTGTGCTCATAAAGGTGATTTCATTCTGTGGTCATTTTAAACAATGAGCAGCTCAGTCTTATTCGCCCCATGATTACAGCTCAGCTTCTGACTGTAATTGATGTTAGCCAGGCTGGCTAATGTAATATCTTATGAAGACTGGCTCATTAATTGACTGTAGAGATGTCACCCACGCACTGGAGGTATTAACAGTCACAGGCCTTAGGTACTGCTGACTCAGCAATGGTGGGACTGCAGATTTCTGTTCCTTCTTTTAGGATGAAGTCCCAACAGTGGGATTACTAGGTTATAGAGTACAGATATCTTTATAGGTCTTGATGTGTTTTGCTAAATATTTTACCCAAATATTGCACCAGATTTTAATGTCACTAGCCGTTTACAAATGTTCTCACTTGTCTACAGTCCTACCAGCATTTGATTTATTAACTCCATTTGGGGGGCTAATTTATAACTATAAAATGGTATATTATTGCCTTATATTGCATTTGGGGGGCTTGAGTGGTTTAATTTGCATATCTTTGATTACTAATCTATTACTAACTATTTAATATGTTGGTTTATGATTTGTTTTTCCTCCTATGTATTGTCTGTTTATATCCTTGGCTCCTTTCTGCTGAGTTTTTTTTTTTTTTTTTAGCAGCTTTATTGTCACCAAGGAGCCACAGGGACATGAATAGACACAGTTCCCAGTGTCAAGAGCGAGATAGCTGACCCTCTCAGGACTGCTGTGGAAGGTTGTGGAGAGAGGCCAGGAAGGAGGTCAGGAAGGTCATTTTCGGGACACCAGAATGCTCAGCTGCATGCATTCATTAAGTACATTTTTTAAGGTCCTCTATTCCTTTGAGAAAAAGAAGAGACAGTTCTGTTTTCTCTAATCCTTAACTCTGATGTCTGGACGAGTGGCTGCAGAGTGGATGCAGAGATCAGCACAGTGTGATGCTGCCCTCAGGTTGCTGATGATTGCAAGGAGGCTGCACCAGCATCTCCCTGCCCACACGAGTTGCTCGTGCTGGTGCCACGTGAGTGGTGCTACTTGCAAGTGTACTGGGGGCCCAGAGGACAGAAAGATCCACGTGGGCTGAGGCAGTCAGAGTGTGGGGGATGGTCCTGAAGAGCAGGTAGATTTAGCCAGAAGGAGAGACCTGAAAGCCTTGCTAGGTGGGGGAAAGTGTCCACCAAGCACTGGGACAGGAACTTTTATGGTGTTTGTGGGACAATGAGGAGTTGAATCAGGCTGGAGCACATGGTTCCCATGGGAGCTGGGGCCACTCTAGGCCAGAGAGGAACAGTGGCTCATGTTATGAGCAACCTGGGCCAGGCCAGGTGCAGGTTACCCTGAGTGGGCACAGAAGGCATTCTGGTGGTAGGAGCATGAGAAGACAGAGTGGAAACAAGGTGGACAGCTCTGCAGTGAGGCCCAGCCAGTGCTCTTGGCTCGCAGATTCTGCATCCAGTGATACTGGCTGCTGGGCACTGTCAGGCTCTATAACTGGTCTGGGGCATGCTCTGTAGGCTGGTCTTGGTGGAGCCTGAAACTGCCCCATCTGGCCACATAGCCCTAAAGACAAAACCTAGCAACATGGAGTGACACGGACATGCAGTCTTCTCGAACTTAAATTGGGTTAGTGGTTGTGTGTTAATGTGTTCCTGTCTGTTGGGTATGTCACACAGGAAAGAAAGGCTGGGTAACATTTCCCTGTATGCTGATGATTTCCTTATTTATAAAGTAAGTCTGTAGGGCTTACTCCAAGATGAGACCACTCTACACTGGTGCTGTTTTCTGAGCATTTCCACATCATCTATATGAGCCCTGGTTTCATATACTGCCTGGTGTTTGTCTTAGAGAGTTTCTTGTGGGTAGGCCTCATCTCCTTAGTGAGACAGCAAGCTCTCTGAGGATAGGGAAGTAGCAGACTTCTTCCCAGAATCCCAGCAGGGCAGGACCACAGGGTGTGGACTCTGTAAGTGGTCAAGATACCCCTGTTGCTTGGTTATGGGCCACCTTCCAAGTACTTCATCCTTCAACTTCACTGAACTCTCCTGAGGCTGGAAGCATGAAGTGCTAGGGTAGACCATGAGCCAGGGAGCTTGGGTTGACATCCAGCTCTGCCGTCCTCTCACTGTGCAGCCTTGAGCCGGTCATTTTACTCTCCTGTGCCTCAGTTTCCCCAGCTGTACAATGAGACAGTCATTGAAAATAGATGTAAGGATATTTCAGATTCTTTTCCATGTTCATGCTTTCTTCACATACTCCTGTGACTTTCTAGGGATGTGAATCCCTAGCCCTGTGACTAGATATACTGGAAGGTCCCAGAGGATAGGGAAGAGGACCTTTGTCCCCTCTGCACCTTCCTTCTGGCCCTTCTGCTCTGCCTGCACCCACAGATGCTAAGATGGCTCCAGTTCAAGGTATTCTGTACAAGGAAGGCCAAGGCCAGACCTGCCTCTTCCATTTGGTGCAGAAAATAGATCTTAATGATGATGTGGAAGATTCAGAGTGCTCACATCCCCAAAATGCCTTTCCATGACCACCATGTCCTGGTTAATGGGGTATTTGGGGAGCCCACAGAGCCTGAGCTGATGCCACCTGGCACTTGCTTCGTAAGAAGCAGCGACAGTGAGAGCTTAGGGTCTATTTGGGAGCCTAGTGTCCATGCTGTGAAGATGCTCTGTGATGCATGGAGTGACTCAGAGGCGAGGATTCCAGGCAGAGCTGTTGGGTGGGCATCTAGGGTGGGAATCAGGGGTATCCTTCAGATGAACTCTTATTTTGCACAACATCATCCTATGAGAACAACTCTCTCTGGAGCCAGTGACTTAGTGCAGTCTTTCCCACATAGTTCCGGCAGCGCCAAGCCATTATTTTGCACCACAGCAATAATCATCACCATGATAATAACAGAAGTCCATTTGTTCAGTCTCTTAACTTGGAAATAAATAAGACAGCTGATCCAGTGTGAGCTCCAGCTCTAGTCTATCTGCCCCATCATCACTTGATAACGATCATGGAGCCCCTGTCTGCACACGGTGCCCTGCCCAGCACTCGAGATATTAAATCCACCTAGAAGCAGGGTATAATAATGCTGACCCTGCAGGGATGTTCCAAGAATTAATTCCTGTGGGCTCTCCATTCCGCTTTTCTCCAACACATTCAATCTTAGGAACCCAAGAGTTGGTGACGTTTATCCGATGAATTAAAACATTCCGCTGTTGCCCCTGGAACTCTTCATTACAATCCTGAGTCAATCAATGGCAGAGAGGAATACTATTTATTAGTTAAGTGGCTGCTATTGAATTCTTAATTTAAGTGGGTTTTAATTCAGTGTTTTCCTTGCTGCCCTTCATTTTGCCCTTGCTCATACAAATTTGCCCGTTAAAGCCTGGTGTGGGGCCATGCTGATGCCTTTTATCTTGATTTTGTTGTGTTTTATTTTCTGGAGAATGGTTTTCAGTGGAGGAGAAGGCAAGATGCTCAGAGTAGACAGGGAGGCCAGATCACCAGGCCTAGGGCAGGCTTTGCTGCCAGGAGCAAGGACGTCAAAATGGCTTTTCAGATAAGGTCTTATGGCGAACATGGCCTTCACTGGTGTCTTGTGCTTTGGTTTTGCCAACTCGAAAACTTTACTACAGTTCTCGCACCAGATATGAGTCAGAGCTAGTAGGTGGGATGCATAGACCATCTCCCTGACCGGAAGGGAGCTTTTGAGTGGTGGCTGTTGCAGTCTGCCTTGATCTGCTGCAACTCCAGGAGGTTACCCAGGCTGATCACAGCCACTCCTTACTGTAGCGCATGTTGTTTTCAACAGCTTTATTGGGATATAACTGAATTACAGTAAATTGCACATGGTTAAAGTGGACAATTTGGTAAGTTTAGACTTATGCATACATCTATGACATCATCACCACATCAAAATAATAGACATATCCTTCATCCCAAAAGTTTCCTGTGTCCCCTTGTGATCATATCCTCCCACTCCTAGTGCCCAGGGGGAAGGGAATGCTCGGTGACAGATCTTCTTTCTGTCATTACAGATTATTTACATTTTCTAGAATTTTATATAAATAGGCTCACACAGCATGTAATCTTTTTATGCAGTTTCTCTCACTCAGCATAGTTATTTTGAGATTAATACAAGTTGTTGCATGTATCAGTAGTTCATTCATTTTTATTGCTGAGCAGTATTCCATGGTTGTTTATCCATTTGCCTGTTGATAGACATTTGGGCTGTTTCCAGTTTTGGGCTATTACAAATAAAGTTTCTATGAACATTCATGTATGAGTCTGTGTGGATATGTTTTCATTTCTCTTGGATACAAACCTAGGAAGGGAATGATTGGACTGTGTGGTAGTATATCTTTAACTTGTTAAGAAACTGCCAAACTACTTACCAAAATAGTTGTGCCATTTTCCATTCCTATCAGTGATATAGGAGAGTTCTAGTTGGTCTGTATTGTCCTCGACATTTCGTATTTGCAGTCTTCTTATTTTCACTATTCTAATTGTTGTGGAGGGATATATCATTGTGGTTTTGATTTTCATGTCCCTTATAACTAATGACACAGAACATTTTTCATGGGCTTACTTGCCATTCATATTTTTTTTGGTAAAGTTCTGTTCAAATATTTTGCCCATTTGAGGGACAGTTGTTTGATTTCTTATTGTTGAGCTTTGGGAGTTATATACTCCAGATATGTGGGTTGCATATTTCTCACCTTCTGCAGTTTATCTTTTCATTCTCTTCATGGTATCTTACAAGGACCAAAGTTCTAAATTTTTATGAAGTCCAATTTTTCAGTTTTTTTCTTTTATGTATAGTGCTTTTTGTGTCATATCTAAGACATTATTGCCTAACTGAAGGTCAGAAAGATTTTTCTCTTGTTTTTGTCCAAAAATTCTATAGTTTTAGGTTTTACATTAAGGACAGTGGTCCCTTTTGAGTTTATTTTGTGTATGGTAGAAGGTATATATTTAGCTTTTTTGCAAAAGAATATCTCATTGTTTCATCAAGATTTGTTGAAAAGACTATCCTTTTCCCATTGAATTGCTTTTACACTCTTGTCAAAAATCATTTGTTTGTGGTTGGGTGCAGTGGCTCACGCCTATAATCCCAGTACTTTGAGAGGCTGAGGCAAGCAGATTATTTGTGCTCAGTAGTTCAAAGCCAGCCTGGGCAACATGGTGAAACCCTGTCTCTACTAAAAATACAAAAATTAGCCGGGTGTGGTGGCATGAGCTTGTAGTCCCAGCTACTTGGGAGGCTGAGGTCTGAGAATCGCTTAAACCTGGGAGGTGGAGGTTGCAGTGAGCTGAGATCGCACCACTGCACTCCACCCTGGGCAACAGAGCAAGACTCAGTGTCAAACAAAAAAAGGCAGGGCGCAGTGGCTCACACCTGTAATCCCAGCACTTTGGGAGGCTGAGGCAGGCTGATAACCTGAGGTCAGGAGTTCCAGACCAGCCTGGCCAAAATAGCAAAACCCGTCTCTACTAAAAATACAAAATTAGTGGAGCGTGGTGGTGTGCGCCTGTAATCCCAGTTACTCAGGAGGCTGAGGCAGGGAGAATTGTTTGAACCTGGGAGATGGAGGTTGCAGTGAGCCAAGATCATGCCATTGCACTCTAGCCTGGGTGACAGAGCGGGACTCCATCTCAAAGAAAAAAAAATATGCTGGGATTTTGATTGGGATTGCATTGAATCTACAGATCAATTTGGGGGATAATTGACATATCAATAATCTTCCAACCTATGAACATGGTGTATTTAGATCTTTAATTTTCTGGCACTATTTATAGTTCTTAAAACAGATTTTGCACATCTATTGTTGTATTTATTACTGAGCATTTTATATATTTTGGTGTTACTGTCAGTAGCTTTTCTTATTTCAATTTCCTATTGTTGCTAGTATGTAGGAATACAATTAATATTTATACATTGATCTTATATATCACAAACGTGGTACAACTCTCTTACTAGTTCTAGTAGCTTTTTGGGGATTTCATTGTATTTTGTACATAGATAATCATGGTGTCTGTGAATAAAAGTAGTCTTACTTCTGCTCCAATCTGGGTGCTTTTTACTTCTTTTCTGATTGCACTGGCTAGAACATTCAGGACAATGTTGAATAGGAGTAGTTAGAGTGGATAGCCTTGACTTTTTTTCTGATCTTAGAAGAAAAACATTCAGTTGTTCATCATTAAATATGATGTTAGTTATAGGTTTGTTTGTACATGTTAGTAGGTTGAAGAAGTTTCTTTCTATTCCAAGCGTATTTTTGTTTTCTGTTTTTTTCCTAGAGATGGGGTCTTGATCTGTCACTCAGGCTGGAGTGCAGTGGTGCAATCATAGCTCACTGGAGCCTTGAACTCCTGGGCTCAGGTGATCCTCCTGCCTCAGCCTCTTAAGTGGGTGGGATTATAGGTGCAAGCTACCATGCCCAGCTGATATTTATTGATAGGTTTTTTTCTTAATCAGAAATGGATGTTTGATTTTATCAAATGCTTTTTCTGCATCTATTTGCATGATCCTAGTTTTTTTTTTTTCAGCTTGTTAATACAGCGCCTTACACTGATTTTCAAATGTTAAACCAACCTTTCAGTCCTGAGATAAATACCACTTAGTCCTGATATTTTATCCTTTTAAAATATTGTCAAATTCTATTTGCTGAAATTTCATTTACAATTTCTGTATCTTGTTCATGAAGGGTATTAGTCTGTAGTTTTCTTTTCTTGTAATGTTTTGTCTGGTTTTGGTATCAGGGTAATGCTCCCTCATGGAATGGGTTGGGAAATATTCCCTTCCCTTCAGTTTTCTGGAAGAGCTCATGTAGAATTAGTATAATTTCTTCTTTAAATAGTAGAATTTACCAGTGAAGCCAGCTGAGTCTAAAATTTTCTTTATGGGAAAGTTTTTAAGTACACATTTAATTACCTTAATAGATATATGGCTTTAAAGGGTATCTCTTTATTGTTTAGTTTTTGGTTCAAGTTTTTCAAAGCTCTGTTATTGGGTATATAGTAGTTTCCAATTGTTATGTCCTCCTCCTGATGAATTGATCCTTTTATCATTATGGAATTTTCTCTTTATTCCTGGTAATATTTTTGCTCTGAAATCTACTTTGTCTGACACTAATATAACTAGTCTAGCTTTCTTTTCATTAGTATTAGCTTGGTATATATTTTTGATCCTTTTTACTTTCATCTTTTTTTATATTTAAAGTGGGTTTCAGTTTATAGTTGGGTCTTCCTTTATATCCAATCTAACAGTCTCTGCCTTTTAATTATAATGTTTAGATCACTTATGTTTAATGTGATTATTGATGTTTAGGTTTAGAGTTATCATCTTTCTATTTGTTTTCTATTCATCTCACCTCTTATTTGTTCAATTTTTCCTCTTTTTATGCCTTCCTTTGGACTGAATATTTTTGTGATTCCCTTTTATCTCCTTTGTTAACTACCTGTATTTCCTATATTTGTATTACCTGTATTACCTCAGGTTGCTCTCAGGTTTATAATATATATCTGTAATGTCAAAGTCTACTTTCAAATGATATTATACCACTTTGTGAATAGTATACAAACCTTACAATAGTACATTTTCATTTCTTTCCTTTTGACCTTAATGATAATATCGTCATACATTTTACTTTTACATATGTTATAAACCCCATATTATATTATTATTTTTGTATAATTATCTTTTAAAATACAGATATAAATGCACAAAACCATTTCTAAAGCTATCATTGCTTTGTCTAGATCCATATTTCCACCTGGCTTCATTTTCATTGTGCTTGAAGAATGTCCTTTAACACTTCTTATAATATGGGCCTTCTATTTTTTTTTTTTTTTTGAGCTTTTGTATGTATGAAAAAGTCTTTATTTTACCTTTGCTTTAGAAAGGCATTTTCACCATGTAGAAAATTCCAGGTTGATAATTTTTTCTTTCAGTATTTTAAAGGTATTTCTCCACTGTCTTTTTGCCCACATTATTTTGTATGAGAAATCTGCTGTAATCCCTATACTTTTTTCTGCATGTAATGTGTCTTCCCCTCCACTCACCCTGGTTGCTTTTAAGATTTTGTCTTTATTATTGGTTTTGAACAATTTGATTATGACATGTCTTGGTATACCTTCTTCATATTTCTTATGTTTCAGGTTTCTTGAGCTTCTTGGAACTGTGGGTTTATAGTTTTTTTTAAAAATAAAGTTTAGTAATTTTTTGGCTATTATCTTTTCAAATACTTTATTCCTGTCCTCCAACTCTCTCCTTTCCTCTGGAGACTTTAATTACACATAGAACAAGCTGCTTGAAGTTGTCCCCACAGTGCACTTTTGCTCTGTACACTTTTACAATTCTTTTTTCTCTATGTGTTTCTTTTTGGATAACCTCTCTTGCTATGTATTCAAATTCCTTATTCTTTTTTGGAAAATAGGGGAGGGTGGAGGGAACAAAATCTTATCTGCTGTTATTGGATTCTATCCAGTGTATTTTTCATCTGAAAAAGACAAAATTACAACACATCTGATTTAAAGATGTTAATTGGCTTTTATTTTCAATCTAGAATTGGGCAACACTTCATTCTACAAAATGGAATGAGTGTTCTAATGAGCTGAGCTGGGGAGGTTGGCTTTATAGACAGAAGGGCCCAGGAAAGAGAACCAAATAACAAAAGTAGATTGGTCATTTCAAAGTTACTTTTCTTGTAAAGATTAAAGCAGATAGGACTTTCTTATCATGCTGGCTAAAACTTCCCTATTTAGAGATTTGACTATTATATCTCTCTTTCTCTCTTAATTTCTTGGAAGGTCAGATAAACAACTTAGTTTCAGCTTGGTGGTGTGGAACTTCAGTGTGAGTTACACTCCATTTTGGTTTGGTCTGTTGGGCCTACTGCAGGAGCTCAGTCCAAACCAATGGCCTCTTAGAAATTTTATTTAACACATTCTAAATATTGTAGTTTTCATCTCTAGAAGTTTTAGTCTTTTTATATCTTACTTTCTATATCTTAACTTTTTAAACATATGGAATACAGTTATAATACCTTTTTCATTGTCTTTCTCTGCTAATTGTAAGTTCTGGGTCAGTTTGGATTGATTGGCTTTTTCTCCTTAATATGGGCCATATTTTCCAGCTCCTTTGCATATCTGGTAATTTTGTATTGGATGTCAGACATTGTGAATTTTATCCTGTGTGCTGGACATTTTTGTATTCCTTTAAATTTTCTTGAGCTTTATTAAAGGGCTCAGTTAAGATATTTGAAAAAGTTTGACCCTGTTGGACCTTGCTTATAAGATTTGTTCGGTGGGACTAGATTAATGTGTAGTCTAGGATAGTATTAAGATCTTTCTTAGTATTTTAGCCCTGTGAATTGTGAGGTTTTCAAGTCTGGCCAGTGGGAGCAGCATTATTCCTGATCCATGTGAGCATCATGAACAAACCATAATAGGTTCATTGCCTGATGTGCATGGCAAGTCAGTACACTGAGATACTGGATTGCAGCAGGGAAAGGTTTAATCATAGGGCTACTGAATGAGGAGATGGGAGGAAACCTCAAATCTACCTCCCCAAGAAGTTTAGGACTGGGGTTTTTAAGGGCTTTGGAATGGGCTGAAGTGTGGAGATTGTTGATTGGTCAAAGAATGCAGGGTAAAGTGGAAGCTGTATTGTTGTCTGGGGTAAATACATGGGGTTCGTCGTCTTGTGTCAAGAAGATTAATGACATGGACACACACACATGGAGTGGGGTAAGGAGCGGAAAGTTTAATAGGCAGAAGAAACGAGAGAGGAGGATAGAGGTGTCCGAAAAAGGGAAAAGCGGCGGACTGCAGCAGATTTTATAGGCAGGCTTGAGGAGGCAGAGCCTGATTTACATAGGGCCCACAGATTGGTTCAACCATGTGTGATGTTTACATAGCAGCGGGGAAAGGAGAAGGCTGATCACCCCACCCTAATTTTATTATGCAAATGGGCTTTCCACTTGGCCAGGGCCATCTTGTCTGCTCCTTACTGTACACGTGGCTGGCAAAGAGAGAAGGGAAGATGGAACCGCCATTTTGAACTTGCCTATTCCTAGGTAGTATTTTGCTGCCGGCATTCACCCATGTAAGCTTCCAGCTTTCTTGTCTATGTCTGCAGCTTGATTTTACAGGCTGCTCTTTATTAGAACATGGTTTGGGGGCTGCTTTTCGTTAAAAAGGAAAACCTTACCAACAACTCCCATACCCTCACTATCTGCATAAGTAATTTCTTCTTAACTCCTATATCAGAGTCATGGGACAAGGTGATGAAGAAACTGTATTCTCATGAGATTCACTTCTTCTATGGGGGTCTTCAGGCTGGTTGGTATTAGCTGTTTTGCTGGAATTTAGGATCTAAAAAACAAGCAATTTTTGAGATCCTACCTATTGGAACAATGGGGATGCATGTGGTCAGTATCTAGTGCTACTGTGACTTTCAGTTACAAGGAAGTAGGTCAAAGCACAGCCTGACTAATGCTTAATTATAACTGTATTTCTATCCAGAATTCTTGTTAACCCTTTGAGGGTTACTTCAGTACTATTTCTTTTACCCCTTTTTGGGTGGTTCTTTTCCTGGCTTTGGGTATTTTCCTGACATGTTTGCACTAATCGGTACTCTGATGATTACTTGAGGGGAGCCCTCTACAGATCTCTGAGGTTCTTTCTCTCTCTTCTCTCTGGTGCTCTGTCCTATGAACTTTAACTGCCTTGATCTCCCTGGATGCTCAGCTCTGTCTCTTCTACTCAGGAAGAATGCTAGTGCCTCAGTTCTCCCTTCCTGCTCTATGGCCTGGACACTCTCTCAAGGCTACAGTTTGGGCAATTGTAGGGCTCACATTAGTTTTTCTCATCTCTCAAGCACCACTGTCTTTCAGTGCCTCATGTCTGGTGTCTTGAAAACTGTTGTTTCACCTATATTGTCTAGTATTTTAATTTTTCCAGGTGGGAGGGTAAATCCAGTCCTTGTTTCTCTCTACCTTGGCTGAAAGCTGCAGTCTGCCCTGGATCTTTATTTTTTTAAGTATTTTTAAAGGTATTTATTTTACCTTGACTAGATCCCTGGCACAGGAGGGATTTTTTTTCTTTTTCTCTTTTTCTCTTTTTTTCAACCCCTATTCCACCATAACCCCATCAGTTTCAGAGCCCTGGAAGGCTCTGCCTATTCACCCACACAAATCTGAGTGAATCCTATCCATCCTTAAAGGGCCAGCTCAGGGCACTGCTCCAGCAGCCTTTGCACTGCTGTTAAGTCCAAGCACATCTCTTTCCCCTCCTCTCTATTCTATAGGTCTATACAATCTTTTCAATATTGACTTTGTATATGTATGTCTTCCTCTAAACTGGATGGATCTTTAAGGAAAACACTGGGATTCATCATCTCCCTACATATCACCTTAAGAGGCAGTCACCCCAAATCTCTACATTCATCATAGAAACAGAAATTCCACTAATAAATGTCAGGGACTGCCTCCTTAACCTTGGTGCTCTATTTCCCTCCCACTTTCAGCATTCTGGCTTATTCCATGGGTGGAGGAGGAAGCCAGGTTGGCTTGGTGGGAGGGGAATGGCATCAGTGTGAGGTCACGCCACATCATCCAGAATGACAGCTCCACACCATTGTGACACATTGCAGGATTGAGCGATGCAGTTGGAGGAAAGAGAGGGAGACCCATGTCACTTAGACTACAAACAAAAGGGGGGCAGGTGCAAATGCAAAGCAGGGACCTGACGGGAAGAGGCAGGTACACCTGAGCACACACCAGCAGTGCCTGCAGAAAGTGAAGGCAGGGAGAGAGGAGCCATGCCCCATGAGGGATTTTTTTATTATTTAAGAACGAGGAAACTGAGGCCCAGAGAGAGGAAGTAACTTTTCCAATCACAAAAAAAGAGTCAGTGGCAAGAGGGAGAACTAAGATATCTTTAGGCCCAAATGTACTTGCCATTGTGTTATATTCTCTGTACAAGTTGTCCCAACTCACAATACCTTCACAATGCACTATTCTCTCCATAGTGCTATGAAGAAATGGAAGGTCAGGAAGGTGGATAAACTTTCCCAAAACCACACAGCTAAAAACATGTTTCAACCCCTGGGTTGAGTCCAAAGCCAGTAGTGCTTTGTAACGCAGTCTCCCAGTTCTTCTGGCTAATAGTAAGTGCTGCTTTTTTCAATTCTTTTTAAAAGTTTATTTGTTCTTTCATTAATTTATTCTCTTAACAAACATTTATTGATTACCTTTTCTATATCAGTCACAATATTAAGTGCTAGATAAAAATATGGGTAAAAACAAATCAAGTGGTGTCATTGTCTGGGGTAAATACCCAAGATTCATCTCACACCAGAGAAATTGAGAGCGTGGACACACAAGAAGTGAGTTTAAGAGCAGAGGTTTAATAGGCAAAAGAAAGAGAAAAGAGAATAGCTCTCTCTCCTGCAGAGAGAGAGAGAGGGACACCTGAATGGGTCTCCCAGTTCCATGGTGAAATGCACAGGGTTTTATAGGTGAGCTTGAGGAGGTGGTGTCTGATTCACATAGGGCCGCAGAGATTGGTCAGAGCAGGTGTGACGTTTGCATAGTCCACGAAGAAGCTGGCCATCCCGCCCTGATCTTTTAGTATGCAGATTGGGTTCTCTACCTGGCCAGTGCCACATTGTCTGATCCTTACTGTACACATGGTTGACAAAGAAAAGGGAAGATGGAGCCGCCATGTTGAACATGCCTAGCCCCAAGTAGTCTTTTCCTATTGGCACAGCTGCTGGCATTCACCTGTGCAAGATTCTAGCTTGCTTTTTCAGGCTGCAGCTTGATTTTCTGGGCTGCTTTTTGTTGGAAATGATTTGAGGGCTGCTTTTTGTTAAAAGGAAATCCTTACTGAAGACTCTTTTACCCTCACTATCTGCCTAAATCATTTCTTTTTAGATCCTGCATCACAAGTGTGGTCCTTACTTCCCAGGGTCCCTCCCCTAGTATGAATGTTAGAACTAAGAATACAAATAAATGCTATCAACTATTTTATATGCTATAATAGACTTGTTTGTTTTGTTCAAACATTTTCTTTTATATTCTTTATTTCTTTATTTCTGGGGGGAGACAGGTTCTTGCTCTGTCACCGAGGCTGGAATGCAGTGGTGTAATCATGGCTCAATGCAGCCACAACCTCCTCAGCTCAAGTGATTGTCCTGCCCCATTCTCCTGAGTAGCCGGGACTACACAACCACGCCCAGCTAATTTATTTTTATTTTTATTTTTAGTAGAAACAAGGTCTTGCTATGTTGCTTAGGCTGGTCTTGAACTCCTGGGCTCAAATGATCCTCCCAACTCAGCCTCCCAAAGTGCTGGGATTATAGGCATGAGAGGTTATGCCTGGTCAGATATTTTACTTTTAAACACATGCCGAAGTTTAAGTTCAAGCAAATCACAAGAAAAGAAGCATTAGTGGGTTAATTCAGAGATTGTCTCCTATAGAAAAATTTTATAGAAAAACAGGATGATTAAGTAATCACTGTTAGACTGGATATAAAAAAAAAAAAAAGATTGTTTCAAGATCATTAGATCCTGACTGACAGTCAGCTGAGTGGGTGGGTATCTGGCTTCCCAGAAGAGGTCTTAATCTCATTAAAGTTTGTCAGAAAATTGCTTAAGCATTTTATCAATGCTAATTTCTTCCCAGAAAGAGCTTGGAAATTACATCATGCAAAAAGGTTCTGTCCCATTCCAAGTTTGGGACTGGGTTTTTTTATTAAGTATGGGCACATACCACAGTGGAGCAAAAGAGAGATCAGGTCAATTCCACCACAAGGACAACAGTTAGTGATAACTAGCATCATCTGAGTGTTATATGGCAGGCAGTGTTCCCTTCACTTGACACATATTAACTCATTAATGCTCACATAGTGCTGTGAGGTAGGGGCTTTTCTTATCCCCTTTTCTACAACGGAGGAAAGTGAGGCGCAGAGAGTTTAACTAACTTGTTCAAGGTCTCCCAGCTAGGATCTAGCAGAAAGATCAGGAAGGTATCACAAGGAAGGTGGGTGAATCTGTTCCCCAAGGGGAAGATGGGAAAGAAAATATTCTGGGAAGACTGGACCCCCAATCCCATTCTATGCTATGAAGCTGTGCTTGTTTTCAAAGATGTTGGGGGTTCTGGATCAGTGGAACCACTTGACCCCTGCGCATGTCACTGGGGAAATCCATTTGGGCTTGTGCCTGGGTTTTAGAGGGTGGCTGAGTCAAGTCCCAGCTGTGTTTCTAGACCATGTGTTCTGGTTTGGGCAAAGTGGAGACTCCCCTCCACCTAACAGCTTTCAGACACATAAGCAAAACTTCCGGCCAAGGCAAAAACACATTAGCTCTGCCGGCCATGGACAGGTGGCTGGAGTGGTTTCCAGGGTCATTTTCGCTCTAGCCTTAGTGTTCCATCTTATTTTGTTTGCCTCCTCCTTTGTTCGACATATTTCTGCATTGCCTTTAAACTCCACAGCAGAGGGAGTGTTAAAAGTGGTGGTAAGAAGAGTCTTGCTATTGTAGTGTAAATAAAGTAAAGATGATAAAGTTTTACAGGGCTATGTACAAATTGATAGTTGGTGCAGTATTACTTCAGGCACAGGAAGAGCCTTTCAGAATCTAACCTGTTAGAAATTACAAGAGCTTCTGTGTGAAAATTTAAAGAGAACATTTAAAAAATAATATTTCTTATGTCACCTATAAAATTCTACTAACCCCAAACCAACTATTATATTATTTTTACTTATTATCTCTTCTAAATGTAATACATGCTGGGAGTGTTGTCTGTGGTATATGCCTACTATTTTGTATTCTGCCTGTTTTCAATGACCAGTGGATCATAAACATTTTTCATGTTTCTGCATAATTACCATTTTAATGGCCACGTAATATTCCATTGTACAGAGGTGCTGTAATTTATTAAACCATTCCCCTTAATGTTGGCCATTTATGGTTTTCAGTTTGGGGCTTTTATAGATAACACTACAGTGAGCATCTTCTTGCAAATAGCTTTTTGCTGCTATTGAATTTCCATAGGAATAATTCCTAATAGAGGCATTACTAGTAAAGGACACAGACATGTATATGGCTCTTTCTCTATATTGCTGAATTGCTTTGCAAAAATATTATTTAATACAGTGCCATCACTCTGGAATGAATCTACTAGCTTTTTCTCCACTTCAATAGCAGTTAGCAAAAACTGTTTTTCTAATTTGACAGATAAAACAGTATTTCAACTTGCTTTAATTTACATTCCTTTGTTTACTAGTGAAGATTACTATTTCTCCATGTATTTGTTTATATTGTATATAATTTTCTGTGAATTATCTGTTTGTTATGGTCTTGGTGTTTTTATAAATTTAAATGCACTCTTTGTAGGTGATAACTATTAATCATTTTTGTTTTGTTTATTCAAATACTTTGTTGTCCTTTTTAATTTTTATTTTTATTACAGAAAAGCTTTATATTATGTATGGAAATTGTCAATCTCAATCTGTGAGTACTTCTTATTTTTCTGAAGAAGAGATAGTAATTCTTTTACCTATCTCTTGTGTGTTTTATATGCCTTTCATTTAATCATTTATTCAACATCGAGTTACCAGGTGCCTTTTGTGGGCCGGATATTCTTCTAGGTTCTGAGAATCTAAAATTTTCATCTTCTTGGAGATTACATTTTAGCGAGAAGAGAGACAATAAGCAAAAACATAACTAATAAGCATGGCAGCAATAAATCTTATAAAGAAAAAAATAAAGCATAGTCAGAGGACAAACAATGACCAGGGAAAGATTTAGTGTTCAGGACAGGCCACTGACAAAGTGACATTTGCAATAGGGAAGACAGGGAGGGCCAGTATCAAAAGGTATCATTCAAGCAGACCTGGATGAGATGACAGAGGGAACAGAAAGTGCAAAGGCCCTGAGATGGGAACATATGTGGCATCCTGAGTGTATTAGTTTGTTCTCTCACTGCTATAAAGAACTGTCTGAGACTGGGTAATTTGTAGAGAAGAGAGGTTTAATTGACTCACAGTTTGCATGGCTGGGGAGGCCTCAGGAAAATTACAATCATGGTGGAAGGCACCTGTATTAGTCTGTCCTCACGCTGCAAATAAAGACATACCTGAGACTGGGTAATTTATAAAGGAAAGAGGTTTAGTGGACACAGTTCCACATGGCTGGGGAGGTCTCAGAATCATGGCAGAAGGTAAAGGAGGAGCAAAGTCAACGTCTTACATGGTGGCAGGCAAGAGAACTTGTGCAGGGGAACTCCTATTTATAAAACCATTAGATTTTGTGAGACTTATTCACTACCACAAGAACAGTACGAGGGAACCACCCCCATGATTCAATTATCTCCACCTGGCCCCGCCGTTGACACATGGAGATTGTTACAATTCAAGGTGAGATTTGGGTGAGGACACAGCCAAAACATATCAGCACCTCTTCGCAGGGGGGTGGCAGGTGAGAGAATGAATGCAGGAGGAACTATCAAACACTTGTAAAACCAGCAGACCTCAGATCTCGTGAGAACTCACTGTCATGAGAACAACATGGGGGAAACTACCCCCGTGATCCAATTACCTCAGCCTGGTCTCTCCCTTGACATGTGGGGATTATGGGGATTACATTCAAGATGAGATTTGGGTGGGGACACAAAGCCTAAGCATATCACTGAGAAACAGGGAAAGCCATGTGTTTGGAGTGAAGCAGAAGAGGTGGAGAATTGGACAAAACAAGGTTGTTACCAGATGGTATGGGGCCAAGGACACTGGATTTAATCTGAGGGAGATGGGAAGCCACAAAGTTGAGAGGGCATGAAACAGACATCTGATTTACAGTTTAACAGGATCACTGGATATTTTTATATTTGAATCATTTTGGCTGATTTAACTCTCCAGGTATGTAATCACATCATATACAGGAGATATTTTTGTCTCTTCTTTTTCAGTATTTATTTCCATTGGGGTGTCTTTATCTTTTCTGTCGTTGTTTTTAAAAACTTTCCAGACAATGTTAAATAATAATATTTTTATGAATGATTTCAATGACAATGATAATAGTAGGCATCTTTATATATTCTGAATGTAGAGGAATTATTGCTAATTTAAATATGGATGCTCTATGCTGTTAACCGGAATTCTTTTTAATTCTAGTTCTGAAATTTTTATTAGGAATGATTGTTGATTTCTATAAAATACCTGTCAAGTATGCACTAAAATTATAAGATGCTTTTCCTGCTTAGCGTCTTGATGTGGTGTAGCATATTAATAGAACCCCTTATATGAGGCAACACTTGCTTGCAACCCTGGGGTAATCCCACTTTGTCATGGTATAATTTTAGTGTATATATCATTGAATACACTGCTATTCTTCTATGACCTATCTGTGCTCATGGTCCGCTCAGTCTAGCCCCCTCTATCCCTGACTTGGTCCTGCCCTGACTGTGGTCCAGAGAGCTGTGGGGCAGAGGCCAGGGTGTGTGTGCATGTGGTGGTTGTTGGGGGCATGGGATGGGGGGTGTCAAAGCACCTGATGATGATTTCGCCAGCATCACAACCTCAAGTACGATATGGTGTCTCATCCTTTTAAGTTTTAGTTTTTAACAGGATATGTTAAAAACTAACATATTTAGTTTAACAGGATATGCCTATAATTTAAAGAATCAGAGAGTTTAATTAAAGTTATTACAGAAAATAGCAGTCCTTTTCCCATCCTACCTCATTTTCCATTTGCGAGAGACAACTACATTTTTTCTTAGAAAAAAAGTGTGTTTTTTTATTTCCATTTTCTTTAAGTAACAGGTGTATACAATTATTTGTCATTTTTCTATTTTAAGCTTTATTATTATTATTATTATTTTATTATTTATTTTTTTTTGAGACAGAGTCTCGCTCTCTTGCCCAGGCTGGAGTGCAGTGGTGTGATCTCAGCTCACTGCAAGCTCCGCCTCCCGGGTCCACGCCATTCTCCTGCCTTAGCCTCCCAAGTAGCTGGGACTACAGGCACCCGCCACCACGCCCGGCTAACGTTTTGTATTTGTGTTAGCCAGGATGATCTCCATCTCCTGACCTTGTGATCCACCCGCCTCAGCCTCCCAAAGTGCTGAGATTACAGGTGTGAGCCACCGCGCCCGGCCTAAGCTTTATTATTAACTGACTTCCTGCTATGGAAGATGACTGTTTAGCTCCCTTTACCCCATATTCACACTAGAAACACACTCCCATATTCCCTCTTTATACCATAATTGTGATTAGATCCAAATTTAGTATTTACAGTATATTATAGTGAAAATGTACTTCAGTTACACCTGAGCTATATGATTCCATTTAGGCACAATTTTTGTTTTCTGGAATTAATAATTGTTTTTGTTTGTATGTCTGATGCTTAGTTTTCTATATATTTATTAATAATTCCATCCCCAACATTCTTTAATTGGATAAATACCTTCCTAATCCTTTCAAATACATCAGGCAATCTGTCAGTTTCATCTCCTTGTTGAAATCTCTCTGGATACTTTGACCATTTTTGTCTGATTGCTTTCTGGAGCACAGCTCTCAACCTGGGCTCAACCGGCTCTAGCATTCTAGGAATTCCCCCATCCTCTCTTCTGTTTGGATGTCCTGTTTCCTGAATCTAAAATTGTTCCTTTCTTGGTTTGCCCCCTTGTTTTGATGGAGCGCATTCTCCAATAACTTTATGAAAAAAAGATGCTTGAGATACTTTCTTCTTCTTTTCCTCTATTCCTTAAAAAATATGTTTTTACTCTTGAGCGTATATACCATAGAAAATTCATTTTTTCTTTTTTTTTTTTTGGTGTCTTGATCTATTTTTTTATTTCAATAGGTTTTTAGGGGAACAAGTGTTGTTTGGTTACATGGATAAGATCTTTAGTGGTGATTTCTGAGATTTTGGTGCACCCATCACCTGAGCAGTGTACACTGTACCCAATGTGTAGTCTTTTATCCCTCACTCCCCTCCCACCCTTCCCAAGTCCCCAGAGTCCATTGTATCATTCTTATGCCTTTGCATCCTCATAGCTTAGCTTCCACTTATAAGTGAGGACATAGAATGTTTTGTTTTCCATTCCTGAGTTACTTCACTTACAATAATGGTCTCCAGCTCCATCCAGGTTGCTGTGAATGCCATTATTGAATTCCTTTTTTTGGCTGAATAGTATTCCATGGTGTGTGTGTGTGTGTGTGTATATATATATACACACACACACACTACTTTTTTTTCCACTTGTTGATTGATGGGCATTTGGGTTGGTTCCGTATTTTTGCAATTGTGAATTGTGCTGCTATAAACATGCATGTAGAAGTGTCTTTTTCATATAATGACTTCTTTTCCTCTGAGTAGATACTCAGTAGCGGGATTGCTGGATCAGATGGTAGATCTACTTTTAGTTTTTTAAGGAATCTCCACACTGTTTTCCATAGTGGTTGTAGTATTAATAGTTTACATTCCCACCAGCAGTGTAAAGATGTTCCTTTTCACCACATCCACATCAACATCTATTATTTTTTGATTTTTTAAATTATGGCCCTTCTTGTAGGAGTAAGGTGGTATTGCATCATAGTTTTGATTTGCATTTCCCTATAATTAGTGATGTTGAGTATTTTTCATGTTTGTTTGCTGTTTGTATATCTTCTTTTGAGAATTATCTATTCATTTCCTTAGCCCACTTTTTGATGGGATTAATTGCTTTTTTCTTGCTGATTTATTTAAATTCCTTGTAGATTCTGGATAGTAGTCCTTTGTTGGATGCATAGTTTGCAAATATTTTCTCCCACTCTGTGGGTTGTCTGTTTACTCTTCTGATTATTTCTTTTGTTGTGCAGATGCTTTTTAGTTTAATTAAGTCCCATCTATATTTATTTATTTATTTATTTGAGATGGAGTCTCACTCTGTCGCCCAGGCTGGAGTGCAGTGGCGCAATCTCTGCTCACTGCAAGCTCCACCTCCTGGGTTCACACCATTCTTCTGCCTCAGCCTCCCGAGTAGCTGGGACTACAGGCACCTGCCACCACACCTGGCTAATTTTTTGTATTTTTAGTAGAGATGGGGTTTCACCATGTTAGCCAGAGTGGTCTCGATCTCCTGACCTCGTGATCCACCCACCTTGGCCTCCTTCTATTTATTCTTGTTTTTGTTGCATTTGTTTTTGGGTTCTTGGTCATGAACTCTGTGCCTAAGCCAATGTCTGGAAGAGTTTTTGTGATGTTATCTTCTAGAATTTTTACAGTTTTGAGTCTTAGATTTAAGTCTTCAATGCATCTTGAGTTGATTTTTGTACAAGCTGAGAGACGAGGATCCAGTTTCATTCTTCTACATGTGGCTTGCCAATTATCTCAGCATCATTTGTTGAATAGGGTGTCCTTTTCCTACTTTATGTTTTTGTTTGCTTTGCCAAAGATCAGTTGCCTGTAAGTATGTGGCTTTATTCCTGGTTTCTCTATTCTGTTCCATTGGTCTAAGTGCCTATTTTTATACCAGTACCATGCTGTTTTGGTGACTATGACCTTATAGTACAGTTTGAAGTTGGGTAATGTGATGCCTCCAGATTTGTTCTTTTTGCTTAGTCTTGCTTTGGCTATGTGAGCTCTTTTTTAGTTCCATATGAATTTTGGATTGTTTTTTCTAGTTCTGTGAAAAATGATGATAGTATTTTGATGGGAGTTTCATTGAATTTGTGGATTGCTTTTGGCAGTCATGGTCATTTTCACAGTATTGATTCTACCCATCCATGAGTATGGGATGTTTTTCCATTTGTTTGTGTTGTCTATGATTTCTTTCAGCAGTGTTTTGTAGTTTTTCTTGTAGAGGTCTTTCATCTCCTTGGTTAGGTATATTCTTGAGTATTTTATTTTATTTTTTGCAGCTTTCGTAAAAGGGGTTGAGTTCTTGATTTGATTCTCAACTTGGTCACTGTTGTACAGCAATGCTATTGATTTGTATACATCATTGGTTTTGTATTCTTAAACTTTACTGAAATCATTTATCAGAGCTAGGAGCTTTTTTTTTTTTTTTTTTTTGTGGGGGGGTAGAGAGTCTTGCTCTGTCAGCTAAGCTGGAGTGCAGTGGCATGATCTTGGCTCACTGCAACCTCCACCTCCCAGGTTCAAGCAGTTCTTGTTCCTCAGCCTCCCAAGTAGCTGGAATTATAGGCGTGTACGACCATGCCCAGCTAATTTTTTACATTTTTAGTGGAGATGGGGTTTTGCTGTGTTCTCCAGGCTGGTCTTGAACTCTGTCCTCAAGCGATCCACCTGCCTCGGCCTCCCAAATTGTTAGGATTATGGGCATGAGCCACCACACCCAGCCAGATCTAGGAGCTTTTTTTGATAAGTCTTTAGGGTTTTCTAGTTATAGGATCATACCAGCAGTGAGCAATGACAGTTTGACTTCCTTTTTACTGATTTGGATGCCCTTTATTTCTTTCTCTTGTCTGATTGCTCTGGCTAGGACTTCCAGTACTATGTTGAACAGAAGTGGTGAAAGTGGGTATTCTTGTCTTGTTCCAGTTCTCAGGGAAAATGGTCTCAATGTTTCCCTGTTCAGTATAATATTGGCTGTGCGTTTGTCATAGATGGCTTTTATTACCTTAAGGTATGTCCTTCTATACTGATTTTGCTAAGAGTTTTAGTCATAAAGGGATGCTAGATATTGTCAAATGCTTTTTCTGTGACTATTGAGATGATCATGCAATTTTCATTTTTGATTCTGTTTATGTGGTATATCACATTTATTGATTTGTGTATATTAAACCATCCCTGCATCCCAGGTATGAAACCCACTCGATCATGGTATATTATCTTTTTGATATTCTGCTGTTGGAATTGGTTAGCTGCTATTTTGTTCAGGACTTTTGCATCTATATTAATCTGAGATATTGTTCTGTAGTTTTCTTTTTTTGTTATGTCCTTTCCTGATTTTGGTGTTAGGGTGATACTGGCTTCATAGGATGATTTAGGGAGGATTCCCTTTTTCTCTGTCTTTTGGAATAGTTTCAATAGGATTGGTACCAATTCTTCTTTTAATGTCTGAGATAATTCAGCTGTGAATCCATCTTGTCCTAGACTTTTTTGTTGACAATTTTTTTATTACCATTTCAATCTCACTGCTTGTTATTGGTCTGTTCAGAGTTTCTATTTCTTGCTGGTTTAACTTAGGAGGATTGTATACTTCCAGGATTTTATCCATTTCCTCTAGGTTTTCTAGTTTGTGCACATAAACATATTCATAGGAGCCTCAAATGATCTTTTGCATTTCTGTGGTATCGGTTGTAATATCTCCTGTTTCGTTTCTAATTGAGCTTATTTGGATCTTCTCTCTTCTTTTCTTGGTTAATCTTGCTAATGGTCTTTCAATTTTGTTTATCTTTTCAAAGAGCCAGCTTTTAGTTTCATTTATCTTTTGTATTTTTTTAATGTCATTTAGTTCTGCTCTAATCTTGGTTATTTCTTTTCTTCTGCTGGGTTTGGGTTTGGTTTCTTCTTGTTTTTCTAGTTCCTTGAGGTGTGACTTTAGATTGTCGATTTGTGCGCTTTCAGACTTTTTGACGTAGGCATTTAATGCAATGAACTTTCCTCTTAGCACTGCTTTTGCTGTATCTCAGAGGTTTTGATAGGTTGTGTCACTATTATTGTTCAGTTCAAATAATTTTTTAATTTCTATCTTGATTTCATTGTTGTACCAACAATCATTCAGGAGCAGATTATTTAATTTCCATGTCTTTGTATAGTTTTGAGGGTTCCTTTTGGAGTTGATTGCCAATTTTATTCCACTGTGGTCTGAGAGAGTACTTGATATCATTTCTGTTTTCTTAAATTTATTGAGACGTGTTTTATGGCCTATTATATGGTCTGTCTTGGAGAATGTTCCATGTGCTGATGAATACAATGCATATTCTGCAGTTGTTGGGTAGAGCGTTCTGTAAATATCTGTTAAGTCCACCATTTGTTCTAGGGTATAGTTAAAGTCCATTGTTTCTTTGTTGACTTTCTGTCTTGAAGACCTGTCTAATGCTGTCAGTGGAGTATTGAAGTCCCCCACTATTATTGTGTTGCCATCTATTTCATTTCTTAGAAATAGTAGTAATTGTTTTATAAATTTGAGAGTTGCAGTGTTAGGTGCATATATATTTAGGATTGTGATCTTTTCCTGTTTAAATAGTCCTTTTATCATTATATCTTGTCCTTCTTTGTTTTTTTTTAATTGTTGTTGCTTTAAAGGCTATCTTGTCTGATATGAGAATAGCTACTCCTGCTCATTTTTGGTGTCCACTTGCATGGAGTATCTTTTTCCACCCCTTAACCTTAAGTCTATGTGAGTCCTTATGTGTTAGGTGAGTCTCTTGAAGACAGCAGATACTTGGTTGGTGAATTCTTACCCATTCTGCCATTTTGTATCTTTTAAGTGGAGCATTTAGACCATTTACATTCAATGTTAATGTTAAGATGTGAGGTGCTACTCTATTCATTGTGCTAGTTGCAGCCTGAATATCTTGTTTTTTATTTCATTGTGTTATTGTTTTATAGACCCTGAGATTTATGCTTTAAGGAGGTTCTATTTTGGTGTATTTCAAGGTTTTTGTTTCAAGATTTAGAACTCCTTTGAGCAGTTCTTGTAGTGCTGGCTTGGAGTGGTGAATTCTCTCATCATTTGTTTGTCTGAAAAAGACTTTATTTTTCCTTCATTTATGAAGCTTAGTTTTGCTGGATGCAAAATTTTTGGCTGATAATTGTTTTGTTTAAGGAAGCTAAAGATAGGACCTCAATCCCTTCTAACCTGTAGGCTTTCTGCTGAGAAATCTGCAGTTAGTCTGATAGGTTTTCTTTTATAGGTTACCTGATGCTTTTGCCTCACAGCTATTAAGATTATTTTCTTCATCCTGACTTTAGATAACCTGATGACTATGTGCCTAGGTCATGATCTTTTTGTGATGAATTGCCTGGGTGTTGTTTGAGCTTCTTGTATTTGTCTGCAAGGCCAGGAATGTTTTACTTGATTATTCCTTCAAATAAGCTTTCCAAACTTTTAGATTTCTCTTCTTCCTCAGGAACACCAGTTATCCTTAGGATCAGTAATTTAACATAATTCCAAAATTCTAGGAGGCTTTGTTCATTTAAAATTTTTTTTTCTTTGTTGGATTGGGTTAATTCAGAAGCCTTGTCTTTGAGCTCTGAAGTTCTTTCTTCTACTTGTTTGATTCTATTGTTGAAAGTTTCCAGTGTATTTTGCATTTCTCTGAGTGTGTCTTTCATTTCCAGACCTTGTGATTGTTTTTATTTATGCTATCTATTTCTCTGGAGATTTTTTTGTCCATATCTTATATTATTTTTAAAATTTCTTTAAGTTGGTTTTCACCTTTCTCTAGTTCCTCCTTGAGTAGCTTAATAATCAACCTTCTGTATTCTTTTTTTGGAAATTCAGAGATTTCTTCTTGGTTTGGATCCATTGCTGGTGAGCTAGTGTGATATTTTGGGGATGTTAAACTACCTTGTTTTGTCATATTACCAGAATTACTTTTCCGGTTTCTTATCATTTGGGTAGACGATGTCAGAGGAAAGATCCGGGGCTCAAGGGCTACTGTTCAGATTCGTCCCACAGAGTGATCCCTTGATGTGGTGCTCTTCCCCTTCCCCTAGGGATGGGGCTTCCTGAGAGCCAGACTACAGTGATTGTTATTGCTTTTCTGGGTCTAGCCATCCAGCAGACCTACCAGGTTCTGAGCTGTACTGGAGAGTGTCTGCAAAGAGTCCTGTGGTGTGATTCATCTCCAGGTCTGTCAGTCATGGATGTAAGCACCTACTCCAGTGGAGGTAGCAGGGGAGTGAAGTGGACTTTGTTAGGGTCCTTGGTTGTAGTTTTGTTTAGTGCACTGGCTTTCTCGAATGCTGGTTGTGCTAGCAGTTGGTTGGCCTCTAGCCAGGAGGTAGCACTTTCAAGGGAGCATCAGCTGATACAAGCTTGCCTAAGGTCTCCTAGATAAGTATTCGGGTTTCTTAGGTGATGGGCAGGGCCATAGAGCTCCCAAGAGATTATTTATTTTGTCTTCAGTTACCAGGGAGGGTAGAGAAAGACCATCAAGTGGAGGAGGAATTAGGTGTTTCTGAGCTCAGACTCTCCTTGAGTGGGGCTTGCTGCAGCTACTGTGGGGGATGAGGGTTGGTTCTCAGGCCAATGGAGTTATTTTTCCAGAGGGATTATGGCTGTCTCTGCTACTATGTCATACAGGTCACCGGGGAAGTGACCTTCCCACCAGGGAAGTCACCAGGAGGAAAGCCATCAGTGACAGGCTTCACCAAGCTCCCACACAGCCAGCAAGGCCAGTCTCACTCCCACCGTGCCCCACCAACAGTACCAAACTGGTATCCAGGCAGCCGGTGAGTGGGGCTGAGATCTTGCCCCCGGCTACAAGGCTCCCTGCTGAGAAAGCAGGAAGGGCTTTCAGGCCCCACCTCTCCCCTCCTGCCACAGCTTCTCTGCTGGTATCTGCACTTCCTGTTCACACCTCACCCCCATTCTGCCCAGGAAAACATCCCATTCAGTTGAAATTATTAAAAAGTTCAGCTGGAAGTTTCCTTCTCTCTGTGATCCTTCCCCAATTCCACTGGCAGCCTTCCCCAAGGAACCCTGTAAGATAAAGTCAGAAATGGCTTCCCTGGGGACCAGGAGCGCCTACAGAGATCTTTTTGCTGCTTCTACTTTTATATTTCATTCGGCTCTCTAAATTTATTTCAGCTCTAGGTAAGGTTAACTCCTTCTCCCATGATCTGGATTTTCAGGTTCCCCAGTTAGGATGTGTGTTCAGAGGCAGACTTTCCCTCTCACACACTTTGGGCACTCAGTTTTTGGGCTGTCTCACAGAGTTTGCAGTGGCAAGCCGCTTCCTTCAAAAGGTCTTTGAATTCTTTTGGTTTTCCTGGTATGTTCCTGTGGTAGTTCTTGAGGCAAAAGTTCACAATGGGAGTCTTCACACACTGTTCTGTCCATCCGAGTGGGAGCTGCAAGTCAGTCCTACCTCCTATCTGCCATTTTTTCAGGAAAGTGCATAACACTTATATGCACAGTTTAACAAATATTAATAGTTATAATGCAAACACCCAAGTAACTTAAAGCCACCCACTTTAAGAAAAGGAACATTATCAGAATCGCTGGAAACTCCCCCTTCAGAGATAACCATTATCCTTATTTTATGGTAATAATCCCCTTGCTTTTCTCTTACCAGCTGTGTTTTCATTATTTTTAATTTTGGACTTTCCTAGTTTTGAACCTAATAAAAATAGAATCATTTTATATATATTATTTTAGGTCATATGTTTTACATACACAGAACATTGTGTTTGTAAGAATCATTTATTTGGTTGTATGCAGTTGTAGTTCATTTTTATTACTATATTCCATTGTATGAATAAGTGAAAATATACACTAATTTAAAAAAGTATTTCCATTACTGATTGGATATTTGGTTATTTCCATTTTGGGGCAAATATAAACAATGCTGCTGTAAATCCTCTTGGTATATTTGATGGTAACCATGTGCACACATGTTGATAGAGTATATAGCTGGGATGCAATTATCTATCATAGGGTATGCCTACCTTTCTTTTTACTGGATAACATGAAACTGCTTTTTTTTTTTGCAAAGTGGTCATATCAAACTATGCTCCCACAAGGAAGCAAAGAATATACCAATTATATTACCCATTGTCTCATCTTCTTGTCAACACTTAGTATTGTCAGAGCTTTCAATTTTTGCCATTCTGATGTGTATATGTATGGTTTTAATTTTCATTTCCCTGATAGCCAAGGTTGAGCATCTTTTCTTATATTTATTGGCCTTTTGGATTTTTGTACCCTCCCAACTGTTCCTTCCCTTTGGATGCTTCTATGGTTGGGAGTCTCAGCTCCCCACATTTGTACTGTTTCCTAGGTTCTCAGCTGTTTTCTTTGCTCCCAGCCTCCATTCTTCTCCTCACAATGGTTCTTCCTTGATGGGGCCCTTACTTGTAATTTGCTTATTTGCTCTTTGCATCATTTCCTGTGATCTCTGCTCTGTGCTGTATTGTAGAGGAACGATCCTTTCAAATTTCATCCCCAAGTTTTCATGATTAACTGGATTTTGGCTAAGTTTGGCCAATGGAAGACATTAACAGGAAACTGGAGTTTTAGGAGGGGAGAAGCCAGAATATTGCTCCCCCACTGTCTGCTCCGGACAGCATTTCCAGCAATGACTGTGGTTTTTCCACGTCCTCAGTCCTAGCTCCAGCAACACTTTCAGCCTCTGAGAGCCAGTAACACCACCCTTGCCCTTTCCCCTCCCATTTCTCAGGATGGTTGCCATTGCTAATCTGTGGATTGCTCCATGATCCCCTGTTTGGTTTTTCAGTCTTTCTAACACTTTTATGACTAATTCCCATATTAAATTTCCTCTGCAAAGCTACCTGGCATGGACTTTGTTTTTCTGTGTGGACCCTGACTGCAACAGCTTCTTTGGGCCAAACTTTTCAATCAAGAAACTGTCAGAAAATAGGATAAAGTTGAAATCCTCTTATTTAACACCTTTATAGTCTGATCTCACCTTAAATTTCCACAGTTAGCCCTCACTATTCACACATCCCATCTACTGTTCTTATTAGACTTGTCTTTTACTTCCCACCTCAATCTTTTGCTTTAGGAGGGTCTGCCAGTTGAAATCCTCCTCCTCCCACAGTAACATTCTGTTCATATTTCAAGATGCAATTAAAGTGTTATTTCTTCTATGAAGTCTTCCTCCAGCTCAAACGAAATCCTGAACTTCTCTTCCCTAAGGCTAGCGTGGGTTTTAGGTGGTGCCTTTGTTGAGTTCTTGAACTATAAGTTTATCCGTTTCCCTAGGGTTCATTTGCCTGTTCAACAGAGACTTATCAAACACTTCTCATGGGCTAAAACCCTGTTCCAAGTTTCTGAGAATAGGTATCCATTTATGAACTTAAAAGGCTTCTAGAAGAGGTGACATTGGCCTTACACCAAAGTGTGGGTTAACTTAGATTGATTCTCTACTAGGATTTAGATAAACTTGGACATAGGGAATCAGAGTTAGATGAGAAGTATGGGAAAATGTAGATTTGGTTGTAGAGATATTTAGTGAACTAACGAGTAGATATGAAAAAATTATTCAGAATACAGAATAGAGAAACAAAAAATTAAGAAAATACCAGAGATGCGAAGAGACACAGAAGGCTGAATAGGAAGGTCTAACACATGTCTAATTCTTAAAGGTAAAAGAGTAGTGAGATTGAGAAAGAGGTGATCTTTAAAGAGAAAATGGCTGAGGATTTTTCAGAATTGATTAAAAATTTAAATTCTCAAATTAGGGGAGTAAAGTTGATCTCATAAAGATAAATGAAAAGAAACACACGTTTAGAAATTTGAAAGTGAAATCGTATGATATTAATGAGAGGTATTAAATCAGCCAGGGAGGAAAGATGGATGTCCTACAAAGGACAACAAAACTGGAAAAACAGCTGACTTCTCAGCAGCAACTTTGGCAGCTAGAAGACATCTTCAAAGTGCTGAGGCGGGGGGTAATGTATCAAATGAGGATTTTATGTGTTTATAAATAATAAAAAAAATTTGGACAAACAAAAACTCAGAGAGTTCACACTAAAGGAGAGTCACCAAAGGAACTCCTAAAATATGTATTTAAGAAAGAAGGAAACTTGTCGCAGAAGGAGGATCTAAGATGCAATGGAGAACAAAAACCTTGGTAAACAGATGGGTAAATATAAACAAATGTTAATTTTACAAAAACACCAATAATGATTCATTATGGGATGAAAAAAATGAGATACATCTAAAATTTAAATATATAACATAGAATGAAATGAGCACAAAGTGCTCTACAGTCCTTGATTTGGTGAAGAAAATGTAGTGGTATTAATTTTGGACTTCAAGTTAAGTATTCATGTTAAAACATTTAAGAGTAAGCACTAAAACGTAGAAATGGAGTGTGTAATTTCTAAAACAGAAGAGGAAACTATAATTTTAAAACCTCAATTTTTTCTAAAGGAGGTTATAAATGAGAGGAAAAAATGGTAGAAAAAAACACCATATAAAATGGTAAAATAAATGTATATCTCTATTAGTCATTACAATAAATATAAATAGGTTTAATCTACCAGCTAAAAGAGAGATTGGTCAGATTGGATTAACAAAAACTCAAGTTCAGTCCTGTCTGCAGTTTTAAGAGACAAAAAAAAATTGAAAGTGAATGAGTGGAAAAAGATACACTGGGCAAACACTGGCCAAAAGAACGCTAGTATTGTTATATTCATATCACAAAAATAAATTTCTTAAGCAAGAAGCATTATTAGTGCTAACAAGGTTCACAGCATAATAATAAATTTTCAATTCTCTAGGAAGGTATCACTTCTAAATTTGTATGCACTTAGTTTCGAAATACACAAAGGAAATACAGAGCTACAGGGAAAAATGGATAAATCCACCCTCATGAGCAGGAGATTTAAATACACCTTTCTCAGTAATTGATAAATAAACTATTCCCAAAAACTGGTAAGCAAACAGAAGATTTGAAAAAGGCAATGAAGATGTTTAAAGTAGTGGCTATATGTCCAATTGAGAATACATATTCTTCTCAAGCACACATGAGCAATTCCCAAAACCAACTTAGTATGAGGTCACAAAGCAAGGCTTAATAGGTCATTAAAAAGCAAGATGTGGAAAGAGTTCATGGTGTGCTGTGAATCGTATTGCACCCTAGCAGGTAAATACACACACACACACACGCATGTACACATGTACTTATATAGGCATAAAGTATTTCTGGAAAACTAAACAAGAAACCAGTAACAGAAGTTTCTTCTTCTGGGGAAAAGACCGGGGTTGGGGTTAGACAGAAACCTATTTTTCATCATACATGTTTGTTTTTCAATTTTTTTCTGCCATCAGTGTGTCTTATTTTTTATTAAAATTATAAATTAAAAATGTATTTAGGTGGCTGTAAAATAGTTTAAGATAATAGATATTATAAAACATCTTACTATGAATATGGTATAGTATATAATAACGCATTGTAAACTCAGAGAGAAAGCAGTCTGCTTGTGGACTATAGCGTTGCAGAAGACTTCAGAAAGAAGGGTTGTTTTTTTTTTTGCTGGATCTTGAGGGTCACATAGGATTGAGATTGGGATAAAAGGGGAGGGCATTCTAGGTGCTTAAACCTCTGGGAGCAATTCCACTGAGGCTATTGGGTTGTGATCAGTGGCGCTGGAGGTTGATACATGGGAAAGGACTTTCACTGGAAAGTTTAGTGTTGGAAGGAACTGAGCGGAGATAATGACTGACTGATGTGGATGGAACTGACCCAACCACCCTCAAAGGAGAGGCCATTACCACCTGGAGAGGCTCTGAGGTGGCAAGGTTGAAATCTCATAAATGCATTTCTAGAATTTCTCGGCCTTTGGGCTTTGCCACAAGCAGCCTCCCACCCCCTGGCAGCAGCTGATATAATTTACCTAAACATTTCCCTTTATTAAAAAAGCACAGATGAATATGGGACCTATCCCAGAAACTATGAACACCCATTTAAAAACAACATGGCTCTCAACATGCAGACCTTGATTTTCAAAAGTGCTGTCGATTTGGCTTATGTTGTAGCTGCGTTTCTGAGTACAGGTGTTTCACAAGTGTCCTTAACTGCTAGGAAGCTGGGGAAAGCAGGTGGCATCCAGTCAGCTAGAACAGGGGCAGTAATGTAGGCAGTAAGATAGCACTGACTGATTCCAGCTCACCGGTCTTCCTGTTAGGATATCCACTGTTATGTATGCTCTTTGTATTCTGGCTTTCTAGCCTGACATTCAAAGCCTTTTACAATCTGAATTCACCTCATCTTAGTCCATTTTGTGCTTCTGTAAGAGAATACCAGAGACTGGATACATTATAAAGAAAAATTTATTTCTTACAGTTCTGAAGGCTGGCAAGTCCAATATCAAGGTGCTGGCATCTTGCAAGGACCTTCTTGCTGTGTCATCTCATGGAGGAAGGTGGGGGGTGAAGGGAGAGAGAGAGCGTGCGCGCGAGAGAGTGCAAACTTGTCATTTTATAATAAACCCACTCCCACAATCATGGCATTAGTCTGTTCGTGAGAGTAGAGCCCTTATGGCCTAACCACCTCTCATTAGACCCCACCTGCCAATGCTGCATTGGGAATTAAATTTCTAATATATGCTTTTGGAGGGGACATATTCAAGCCATGACATGCCTCTCCCATTCAACATCCTTACTCCCTGCCACCTCAAAACCTGTACTCTTATATACTGTTTCACCTACATGCCCTTCTTGTTTCTGTTGTTTTGCTGTTGCTTATAGCCTTCACCTCCAACACTCAACCAGGGGGTTGGTGTTGATGGTGGCATCAAGATGGCATGCTGTTTATCTGTTCTCAATGAATTGTACATCTTAACTGGGGTACTGGGATAAAACTTATGAGATGTATGCAAATGAAACTGCTGAGAATAATAACTGGCTTATGAGCAGGAGAAGCCATGGAGAATGGAAAGCCCTACTGAATTAACTAGGAGGCAGGAGACCTAAATTTTAGTTCCAGTTCAGCCACAGACTTACTGTGTATGTCTTTCAATTACTGCAAAACTAAGTACCCCAAAATTTCATGGGTTAAAATAACAATCCATTTTATTATATATCATGATTTTGTGGATCAGGAATTTGGACAGATCTTAGCTGATGATTCTTCTGTTCCAGGTGACCTTAACTGAGGTCATATGGTGGTACTTAGCTGGCAGATGGGCTGGTCTAGAGGGTCCAGGATAGTATCACTCACAAGTCTGGCATCTTGGCAGATGTGTTAGTTTCTCGGGGCTGCCATAACAAAGTATGACAAAGTAGGTGGCTTAAAACAACAGAAATGTATTTTCTGACAGTTCTAGTCTGAAATCAAGGTATTAGCTGGGCTCTCTCTTAAGGTTATAGGGAAGAATCTTTCCTTGCCTCTTCTAGCTTCTGAGGATTAGCATCAATCATCAGTGTTCTTTGGCTGATGGATGCACCACTCCAATCTTTGCCTCTATCTTCACATTGTCTCAGGATCCTTGGAGTGTTACTTTTCTGGCTGGAAACCTCTGTGGCCAGTAGTGCCTTTGCCTGAGTTTTGCTCAGGCCTCCTGGGCTCGTTTTGCCCACTCAGCCTGGCAGGCTGTGCTCAGCTGGCACTACTGGCCTGGATCCCACGCCTGCCAAGGATGAGCCAGGTGTGGAGCAGCGAGGGGTATGTGAGCAAATGAGCATGGGGTCTGGCCACTGTGCACAGCTAAGCATGCTGGCTGCAGCAGGGTGGGCAGCACCAGGCACTGGCACAGGTACCAGCTCCCTGCAAGGCTGTGCCGGGACCAGACCCTACCACAAGAAGCTTACATGGCTGGCACTGGGGAACTTGGTGGTGCCTGGAACCGCAGAGCCCTAAAGAGGGTGTCACAGCCCTGGCTCAGGGAGCTCCTTGGTCTGGGCTTCCCAAAGGGCCGCAGCTCTTCTCTCCTTCTCTCTTCTCTCCTTTTTGGTGCCTGCAATATAATGAGCAAGGGGCATGCTTCAGCCCTGTTTGTGTTAAAGCTCTTTCAGCCCCACCATCGGTGGGTCCTGAGTTCTTGTCCTGCATCCAGGAAGAATGAAGTACGTGGACAAGTGAAGGCTGAGCAAGGCAAAAAGGTGCTCTGTTAAGCAACAGAGCAGCTCAGAGGAGACCCACAGCGTGTAGTTCCTCTCCACAGGCAGGTTGGCCTGTTGTCTGCTCAGCTCTCAGCAGAGAGGAGACCCACAGTGGGTAACTGCTCTCTGCAGGCAGTTCATCCTATTATTTTCTCAGCTCTCAGTAGAGAGTACAGTGGGTAGCTCCTCTCTGCAGGCAGGTTGTCCTGTTGTCTATCCAAGTCTGGCTGAGACCAGGGTTTTTATGGGCTTCAGAGGGGAGAAAGTGCACTCTGATTGGTCTATGGGTGGCCATGGGAGGGTCCAGAAAAAGCACCATAAGTTCTCACTCTGGTCTGTGGAAATGGCAGCCTGGCCCCCAGGCCTCAGGCTGTCCCTGGCCTGAAGGTGGGGTTTCACCAGGGACCTGCACTTTTTACCCAGGAGCCTGTCTGCCTCCTGCTACCATTAACCGGCCATCCACAGTGCCAGTGCGCCCAGGCTGTTAGTGCCAAAGGTGCCTGCAAGCCTGCACCAAGCCACCCTTAGCACCCCTTCAGACTCCCTCCCGTTCTCCTTGGCACCCAAAGTCCAGAGGGGGCCGAGGCAGCAGGGGTCTGGTGTGTCAGTTCTGGCCTGAGCATGCACATACCCAGCTGGCTTGTGACAGCTCCCAGGCTTGGCCACAACTTTGCTCCAAAATCAGAGTGGGCACCAGGAGCAGGGAGAGGCCAGGCAGCGGGAGCAGGCACTTCTGAGCCTGTAGGGGCAGGGGGCTTTCCGTGCAGAGATGCCTGGGTCTGCACTCTCACTCTGCACCTTCCCCTAGCAGTGTTTGTTAACTCTTCCTCTATGGCGCCATGCTGCTGGCCTCAGGCTGCCCTTTCGCCTTGGACTATCAGTAGCTGCACAGCCCCACCCACTGGCAGCTCACATCCTTGCACCAGATGTGATGATGTCTTCACCTCTTCCCATCCTATGTCCATCCCCTTCCAGCATGTTCAATTCCATTCTCTTCAACAAACCTGAGCTGAGCACCAATTATGGCCAAAAATCTGTCCCAGGCATGGGAGCAGCACACCTGTCATGGTGCTGGGAAACTTCTAGGAAGATCCCATAGGCATCATTTTAGTTCAGTGGCTTTATTTTTTTAGGGGAAACTGAGGAGCAAGGAAAAGGAATACACAGGGATTCCGTCTGAGAGCTGTGTTTAAGCCCAACTGTCCTGTTCAGGCCTTGCTTCCAGCTCCCAACCAGCTTCCCACTGGGTTGCTTTCAGCTAGGTTGGGGCAGACATCCTGCAAACACTGCTGAAACTAGTCAGCAAGAATCCCTGAACAGGGGATAAACCTTGCTGTGTTGGGGAGAGGACTGGTGGATGAAGCTTTCAAGCCTTCTTCAGGGGAGTGTTGTTTGATGAGCCTGTAAGAAGGAATGTTGATTCCTGCACTTAGTTTCTCTTTTTGGCTAATCTGCACAAAGAAACATTAATGATTTTAATTATGGGGTTGGGTTAATACATCATGTAAATGATTTTATTTAGAAAATGCAAACTAATCCCCTTTGCAGAAAGGCTCTGCTTCGAGGCCCTCCCACCTGTTTGCCTCACTGGGCAGGAGGGAGGGAGGTGGGGGTGGCTGCCTCCCAGGCAGCCCCCTGCTTCCCGGAAAGCAGAGCCTGCCAGACAACCTGCAGGGCACATTCCCCACCACGTGGAGGCCAAAAGGAAAGCCTTGTTCCCCCTTGGCCACCCCCTCAGTGCCCCACACCTGCCCCGCTCCTTGGACTGAAGGCCTATGAGGGAGATGGACAGTCAGGAAGGCTGTCCAACTCCCCCACGTCTTCCTCGGGCCTCCCTGCAGACTCTTCGACAATTCCCGCCAACAGAGCTGATTATTCCTCAATTTGTTCCAACCTGGAAATAAAGACAGATAAAGTGAAAATATTCTGGGAACAATGCCAAGCCAAAGGCATTAAATTATTAAGCGATCTCTATCTGAGTAATGGATTTATGCCCTTTAACAACTTTAAAAGAAATATAATGTTTTTCATACCCTCTTTTAGGGAACTTCTTATAAATGAACTGTCCATTTTATTAGTATTAAAGGAAATGGGGATTGAATCAGAGCTTCTAGGGCAGGCGATTATCTGCAGATTTCTCCTTAGAGCTGGGAAAATTAACAACATGGAATTATCCACACATTTTTTTTAAAGGGCACTTTACAAGATATTGTACAGTAAATTGGAAAATGTATAACTATCCATCAAGGTAAATCTTGGGAATAAAATAATTAGAAACCACACAACCATGGCCAGGGAAGATTAGAGCTAAAATTAGACTGTGTGGCTGTTTTTTGAAGTCACCAGAGTGGGTGCTGATGGTGGAATGGGGCAGGAAGGCTGGTGGCACACAGCTCAGGCAGAATGTCGGGGTCTGGGGCAAGCTGCCTGGGCGGGCACGTGGCAGGGGGAATCTTGGCATTTTGATGAGATTTGAGCGGGACGAACATGCTGTTTTGACTGGGATCTGGCACTGTCTTGTTTTTCCGCCTCCCTTCCCATGACCCCGGCTGTCTTCACCTCCAGCCTCGCACAATCCTGCCGTGCTTATGTTTCCAGATGGTTCGAGGCTCTGTGGCTGCCACTGGAGAGCCAGCTGGAGTCCTTTTGTGAGGGAAGGAGAAGAGAGAAGGGAACAGAAATATCCTTGATGTTAAAGTCTAAAGTGAGAGTGTGTTTGTGTATGAGAGGGTGTGCACACCTGCACAAGTGGGGGCGTAAGGGTGCATGGGGGTGTGTTCATGTACGAGTGTGTATGAGCACGAGTGTGTGTGTGTGTGTGTGTGTGTGTGAGAGAGAGAGAGAGACAGAGAGAGAGAGACTCCCTCTGAGCTGAAAGGCCTCTGGTTTTTGCTTCTACTCAGAGCCTCCTGACTCCTGGCATGCAGGGAAGGGTTGTGGGCAGGCAGGGGGGCGGCAACCACAGTGGGCAAGGACTACTGCCCTTCTTCCTGCTGCAGCCTCCACCCTTGGCAGCCACTCTCAGGCTGGTGGGTGGAGCAGTGAGGAGGGGTCCTACTGGGGAGGAGGATGCAGGGGTGAGAGACAGAGAGGCCCAAGAGGATGTGCCCCACCCATCCGCAGCAAGGCCAGCAGTGCCATAACCTTCTCTCATAGCAAGGACCCAGTGCTGTCTGTGCCAGGCAGATTGCAACATCCTCCTGGCCAGAGGCAGGCTTGGGAAGGGATTTGCTCTCAGGGCTCACCCTTAACAAAATCATCTGTGGTCAGAACCAGCAATCAGTCTCGTAGTCTGCCTCTCCCATGAGGAACTGAGGCCCGCACAGGTGAAATGTGAGGATGTGAGTGGAGGACCTGTTGGTTATCACTCTTGGGACTGCTATTTATTGCCTGCAGTCATACTCTCCAGCCAGGTCCTGTCTCCCCAGCTCGGGAGCCATGCCATTGAGCATGCTTCCTGCCCCATCTAACTTGCTTAATGGCAACCTGTTCATTCAGGGAGACGCTGGAAGCATCCTCCAGGTGGGGCGGCCTCTCCATCACCTTTTTGCCCCACTCACCTCTCTCTCTTTGATGCCCATCCCTTTCCTCCCATTGCTACATTGCAGAAACACCTGCATTGGACTTTTCATATGGAATGAGAAGTTATGCTCTTTAGTGTACCACTTACCCCTTGTAACAATGTTTCACCCAAACTCCTGCCCTCTCACTCTGAGAGGGAGAGAAGGAGAGGACAAGGGGACCCTCCATGTCTGCAAAAATTATAATACCTTCCAGGCAGCCTATAATTTTTCTTTTCTTAATTTCCCAATGTTTCCTATTTCGTTGCTAGAAGGCAAAGACTAGTCCAGCAATCTCCAGTGAAAATTTTTGTGGTAAGGCAGGGTTTGGTAAAACAGGCTTCCTGTTTAGGACCTGAAAGAATTAGCAAAACTCTAAAAGGTGGTCAGTTTATTTCCTATTCACTATAGGCTTCATTACAGTAATGACAGTGTAAACAATCGTTGACACTTTTGGGGTCATTTGAAATTCCTGTGGCAAAGGGAGACTAAGAGCAAACAGAAAGATGAGACTTGAAGGTAACCCACAGTGTTGGGCGGAGGCCGTTCCAAGTAAGACAATGACACATCCTTCTCCTTAGTGACTAGAGGACGGCAGAAAGGAAGAGGGTGGAGCAGCTTGCTCAGCCACAAACCCCCAGAAATGTACCTGCCCAGAAGGATGGAGCGAGAATTCAATGGGAGGAGGCTTTTGAAGGTGCCCTCTAAACTGCCAGGCCGTACACATGTGAATCAGCTGCAGCAGCAGCAGCATTCCTGGTGGACACAGTGGCATCTTTTTCATTGCTCACTGTAAACAGAATACAGTGGCCTTTCAGTTCGTGGATGCTTGTCCAAGCCCTCCTGGCCCAGACAGCCTTTTCAGGCATGGCTGGCTCTCCTTGGGGCTTGAGAAGAGGCAGGTTGGTAGGAGAGGCTGCAACTGTGCTTTAGGGCTAAAGAGTATATAGCTAACTCTTTTTTTTTTCTTTTTCTTTTTCTTTTTTTTTTTTTTTTTTTGAGATGGAGTCTCACTCTATTGCCCAGGCTGGAGTGCAGTGGTGTGATCTTGGCTCACTGCAACCTCCACCTCCCAGGTTCAAGCGATTCTCCTGCCTCAGCCTCCCGAGTAGCTGGGGCTACAGTTGTGTGCCATCACGCCTGGCTAATTTTTTGTATTTTTAGTAGAGACGGGGTTTCACCATGTTAACCAGGATCATCTCAATCTCCTGAATTCATGATCTGCCTGCCTTGGCCTCCCAAAGTGCTGGGATTACAGGCATAAGCCACTGCACCCAGTCGAATACCTAACTCCTAACAGTATGATGCTCAAACTCAATCTTGTGGCCAGCTGGCCAGAGAGTCATGCTGTCAGTGAACATGTACTGCTCCCCACCATGGGTGACACCTCATGTGACACCTGGAGGTTGCAAAGGTGTGTGTCATGCATATTTTACCCCCAGGTGCTTGCAGTGCAGTCATGCACATGCAATCTAAAATGCCTGGCCCTCAGTTTTCTCATTTTTGAAGGATGGAATTAGCCTTAAATACCTCTACAGTCCATTCCTTCCAGCCCTACCATTGTTTAAAGGCCTCAGCTCCTCAACATAGTACCTTGCTTAGTGTGTATGGTTGATTGTGATTGATTGTTAAGGACTAAGATTTGGGAGGAAGTAAAAACTAAAATGGGGCAAGAAGTTAGCCATTTGAGGTTGTCATTGTATGCCAGCATGAGACAGCTTAGAGGACACCTGGAGGTGTTTCCTGGATGAAGGGATCTACCTGTATCAGTTAGCTATTGCTATGTAATAAATAGCCCCCAAACTTAGTGGCCTAAAACAGTAACCATTTATGTGTTTACTATTTTGGTCAGCAGCTTGGGCTGGGCTCCACATGGGTTGGTTGGGTTTGCTCTCATGTCTTTGTTCAGCTGGAACAGTCTGAGATGACGGGGCTTATTTTTTCATGTCTCTCCCATCCTTAAGGAAGTGTTTCCTCAGGCTGGGCGCGGTGGCTTATGCCTGTAATGCCAGCACTTTGGGACGCCAAAGCGGGTGGATCGCGAGGTCAAGCGATCGAGACCATCCTGCCCAACATGGTGAAACCCCGTCTCTACTAAAAATACAAAAATTAGCTGGGCGTGGTGGTGTCTGCCTGTAGTCCCAGCTACTCGGGAGGCTGAGGCAGGAGAATCACTTGAACCTGGGAGGTGGAGGTCACAGTGAGCTGAGATCATGCCACTGCACTCCAGCCTGGTGACAGAGTGAGACTCTGTCTCAAAAAAAAAATTAGGAAGTGTTTCCTCACATGATGGTGACATTCTAAGAGGGAGAGGACAGAAGTTTCAAGACCTCTGGAGCCCTGGGCCCAGAAATTACAGAGTCACTTCCTCCACATTCTGCTGGCCAAAGCAAGTCACAAGGCCAGTCTATATTCAAGTGCTGAAAAAATAAGTGCTACCATCTCATGGGGGATACAGCAAAATCACATTAAAAGGGGGCTTGTGTATATGGATGGAAGGAATGATTGAAAGCACGATTGAAATAACCAGCCATGCTACCGAAAGCAGAGCTGCTTTCCTTATTGTCTGTAACGCAGCAGGCAGTTTCCATGGGTCTTGGGTCACTGTGCTTGTTCATTCTCTTCCTCTCCCTCTCCCTTTCCTCTTCCTCTCCCTTTCCTCTTTCTTTACATTCTCTCTCCCTCTCCTTCCCCTTCCCCTCTCCCTCTCCCTTTTCGCTTCCTCCCCTTCCCCTCTCCCTCTCCCTTTTCTCTCCCTCTTTTACCTCTTCTCCCTCCCATTTCTAAAACTCCAATAATGTCAGGTTAGCCCATCAGATGAGGTAGGTGATAAGTGTAGTGGGGTACAGTGGTGGAAGCCAGTTGTAGATGGGGAGTATTTATGCTCAGGCATACTCCTGTGTTTTATAGAGCAAAGACATAGGTCCATACAGCAGATGCCAAGCCACCTGGATTACCTGGACTGGGAAGAGGGCAATCAGAAATATTACAAAGAGAGTTCTGCAACCAATTGATGAATTGATATTTAACTGATAGTTTACTGTGGATAAATTTAAGTCACCAAAATATTCTAGCAGTTTGGATGGAAATGTATATTATACATAGAGAGAGATATAAAAGTAGTTGCTTGAGTTAACAGAGTATATAGAACCCAGTTTAATGATTTCATTATAATTGACTTTGCTCTGTAGAGTATGTTTAAGCTGCTTCCTGAGAGCTATGCAAAATGTATAGTTTTGTATACATCCTCTGCCCAGCAACTCTGAAAGATAACTGTGATTCTTCCCAATTCATGGAATTGGGAAAAAGGCCTTACGGGTCTAATTGGCTTGCCCATGGCTAGTAAGTGGTAGTGTTGGTGTTTGAACGTACATCTGTCAGACAGAGCCCCTCATATCAGCACCCAGTACTGGAACAGAGTTCTGGAAAACTCTGTTCTTACCATGGTTTGCTGTTAATGAAGGACAGGGATGCCCTGGGCTCTGAGATGGTGTGTGGAGCCCAGGCTGAGGCCCCGGCATGTCTGCTGTCCTCACTGGCTTCCCTTCCCTCAGTGGAGGGAACTCTCTCCCCTCAAGGGCCTCTATTCTGTGCCTCCTTGTGTCCCATGAACCTTCCTCTGCTCCTTGTGCTCATGGCAGCTGTTTTCTCCCATGCTTTTAGCTCTGTATGGTGTTATGAATCAGATCTTGTGCCTTAATGTTTCTTCATTGGTTCTAGATTTGGGACCTTCATGGACTTCTCTGGAGTTGATGGCTGAGGGTGCTGAGCCTATGAGTATGGATGCATAGGTTATTGGTATAAATGCATGCAGGCCCTGAACCACTTAGAAATTGGGTTCAGCTGCTAGTAGCAGAGACCATAGACAACTGTGACTTAAATAATTTCAAAGTTCTTTTTTTTCTTATGTACAGGAAGCCTGTAGGTAGACAGTTCAAAGCCAGTATGAAATATCTACAGTCATCTGGGACTTCCGTCAGTCTTTTCCATCATCTTCAGCATCTTTGTAGTCCAAGATGGCTGCTGGAGGTCCAGCTATCACAACTTTTATAAGGCCTTTTAAAGGGCCTGCCCAAAACTGCCACATACATCCTGTGAGCCGCTTCTGTCTCCAAGGTTTTCTGGGACATGTAATTTTTCAGTTAAGTAAGTCACTTAGGTTTCTAAATCACAAGGGGAGAATGGCTATTAGGTAAGGAAACAGCAGACTCTTAAACAGATCCTTTACCTGAGACCTGCTTGTTTGGATGGGCTGGCAGTTCTCCCATTTCATACATACAGAACATCAGGTTAAAGGACGTTAAGTGACTTGCTCAAAGTCATAGTAGCAGAACTGGAACTGAGACCTGAGACTCCTGGCCACCTCTTTGTATGGCCAACCCATTGAAGAAGTAAGGTGGGACACCATCCTCACCCCTCCTACACACACTCCCCGCCAATGTGTGCACACGTGTCTAGGGTCTGTCAGCCAAAAAGCCCATTGTAAGGTGCTTAAGTAGAAGAAATATTCTGGATCCCATAAGCTTCCCCCTTTGCAACCCTGCTTTCTGTGAAGGCCAGTTAATTAGATGTCTCTGTTAAACATGTGTGGTCTATTAGCTTGCTGAGAAAGATGGGGTTGGGGGGCATTGGTTAAGGGACTAAAGCCCTCAGGTTTCCAGGATATGTTTCTAGAATATGACAATTAGAATAAGGGGTATGGGGGGAATTTTCACCTCTATCCTGACACCTCTGCCTTTATCTGGGGGCCTCTACTGGGACAAACCTGTCTCCTGCAGGTCAGTAACCAGGTCTCCAGATTCCTGGGTCTCCAGGCTGCCTGTTCCTGCACCTTGCCCATCTCCCACTACCTCTGCAGAGCCCAGTGTAAACCCATCCCCAGCTCTTCCCTAAGGACGCTGAGAAACTCTGTGTTGGGATCACATGCAGTTATTGGGCTGAAATCGTGCTGTTAATTTAGTCTTCAGGATTTATTGGTGTGTTTGTTAGAAAAGGTTGCTGGCCCAGAGCCTGGGCATGGGGGTTGCTGTCTCAGAACACAGCTCAGGGCCACACAGCTCCAGGGGCAGGGACTTCCTGGACCTACAGGATTTAGCTCCACATCTGCCTCTTCCCCTCTCCTCTGCAGATTTCATGCTGCTTCCTTGGACTTCATTGGGTACAGAGCATAGGAGGCAAGGCTTCCAGAGCTGGTGGCTGCAGGTCTGGTGGAGTGATGAGAAAGCTGGACACTCTTTCTCATGCCCTTGTGGAGGAGGGGACCTGCTTGTAAATTGTGATAATGGTCTCATATCAGTCATACATACACATTTTAAGGCAAGAAGAGTCTCCTGCCCTGTGTCTGTGTGGAAAGCCTCTCACCTTCTTTCCAGAAACATGATGTGATGGGAATTGTCCTGGGGCTGGTATCTAGGGCAGATTTGGGAGGCAGCAGGCAAGTC